>NC_000006.12:30666060-30969090 GCF_000001405.40 Homo sapiens
ATTAGTGGAAAGGGGGAAAATAAAAGGCTAATCCAGCATTTAGAAGCACAGGACTCAAACCGAAAACAATTCAGACAAAGATAGAAACCAGTGAGGGGGCCAACAGGAGGCAATCTTCAGCCCCAGTTAGATGTTCTTTGGTCTTAAACGGAATGACTGTAGTTTGAGGAAGGGAGAAAAACTGATTATAAAAAGTTAGGACTACAGCATCAGAGTGTTTCTGTAAGGCAAATGTAATCAGGGATGTTTGGCTTTCTGGTACTAACCTCTCTTCACCATGCTGTGTCTCACTTAGTTTCTACACATTTACCTTTGATACAAACTTTTCAGGACACATTATGGATGACAGCAGAAAACTGGCAATATCTATAAGGCCCTTTCCTGCCAGGAGTCCTCCCACTATGACATCATCCTCTCTGTGATCACAACTTCCTCTACTGCAAGGTCAAAGCCCCTCTGGTGGCTGGGTGGGCGTGGTGACTCACACCTGTAATCCCAGCACTTTGAAAGGCTGAGGTGGGTGGATCACCTAAGGTCAGGAGTTAGAGACCAGCCTGGCCAACATGGTGAAATCCCGTCTCTACTGAAAATACAAAAATTAGCTGGGCATGGTAGTGGGCACCTGTAATCCCAGCTACTCGGGAGGCTGAGGCAGGAGAATCATTTGAACCCGGGAGACGGAGGTTGCAGTGAGCTTAGCTCACGCCATTGCACTCCAGCCTGAGCAACAAGAACAAAACTGCATCTTTAAAAAAAAAGCCCCTCTGCTGTTCTACCCTTAAGGGGCCTGGTTCTATTTAGTTGTTTGGCTTTTCTTGTTTGTTCTGTAAAGACTTAAAATGCAGTTTATGATCATGACCTAATCTGGGTACCACAGTCAAATATTCCTTCCATGGAAGAGCCAGATAGATTTTTTTTTTAATATGGGCAAAAAATCAGAGCCATTTGAGCATTAAAAAGAATAATGATGTGAGATTATAAAATACTGAAAAATAAAAATTCATGAGTCCAATTTGACACACACAAACAAAAAACAAGGGAAAAAAATCTGTCACCAGTGAAATGACTGTTACAGCAAACGCCTTACTCTAAAAATTCGTATTTAAAAGGAAACAAACATTTACCCTTTTTAAGAAGGAACTGTAGCTTGTTCCTAGTTGTTGAGGAAAAGCTCTTCTTTATAGACAAATTCTAGCCAATACACGTAACAGGAATGACAGAATCAAAAAATCACCATTTCGGCCGGGCGCGGTGGCTCACGCCTGTAATCCCAGCACTTTGGGAGGCTGAGGCAAGAGGATCACGAAGTCAGGAGATCGAGACCATCCTGGCTAACATGGTGAGACCCCATCTCTACTAAAAATACAAAAAATTAGCCGGGCGTGGCAGCAGGCGCCTGTAGTTCTAGCTGCTCAGGAGGCTGAGGCAGGAGAATGGCATGAACCCGGAAGGCAGAGCTTGCAGTGAGCCGAGATCGCACCGTTGCACTCCAGCCTGGGCGACAGAGCGAGACTCTGTCTCAAAAAAAAAAAAAAAAAATCACCATTTTGCAATCCCCAATAAAAATAACATGTTCAGGAAAGGATTACCAGTGGCTTCTAAAAGCATTTGATGAAAGGCTATTGGTAGAAAGGATATTAATACTAATATATAGATACACAACTGGATAGTATGTCCCCGTGATATGACATAATATGAAGTGCACATCACCGCCCAAGAAGTGTTCCTGCCACAACTGTTTAATCTGAGTGTCAATAAGCTTTAGACCCAATTCCTGCTTCAAAGAAAGCACAGGGCAGAGAAGTACTTAACACCACAAGATAAGAATCAGGCAAATCCAGAATGTAGGACACTGCAAGGTGAGACAGACAGAGAGAGAAACAAACTTAACATCTAAGACCCAAATGCAATGCATGAACCTTGACTGCATTCTTGTTAGGAAAAAGCAGTCATTAAAGTTATTTTGAGGGTAATGAGGGTATCTTTTATTGTAGAGAGATCTTAGTCGATACATAAGAATTACTGTTCAACTTCCTGACTGTGACAAGAGCATTCTGATTTTAGAGGACAATATCTTTATCCTTAGCAGGTACACACTGATGTACTTAGAGATAAAACGCCATGATGTCTAAGACTCTTTTAAATGGTCTGAAAAGAAAAAACATACCACATTTACAATTACAATGCAAATACTACCCATAGTATTAACCATTTTTCAATCTGAATAGTGTCTATGAGTGTTCTTTGTTCTATTCTTTCAACTTCCCTATGTGCTTAAATATTTTTGTAATCGAAAAAGAAAAATTACAGCTGGGCACAGTGGCTCACGCCTGTAATCTTAACATTTTGGGAGACCGAGGGGGGTGGATCGCCAAAGGTCAGGAGTTTGAGATCAGACTGGCCAACATGGTGAAACCCTATCTCTACTAAACATACAAAAATCAGCCAGGCATGCTAGTGCATGTCTGTAGTCCCAGCTGCTCGGGAGGTTGAGGCAGGAGAATCACTTGAACCCGGGAGGCGGAGGTTGCAGTGAGCCGAGATCATGCCACTGCACTCCAGCCTGGGCGACAGAATGAGATTCTGTCTCAAAAAAAACCCGAAAAATTAAATTCAGGCCAAAACAGTAACACCACTACCACCACAACTGCACTGAGATGTCCCAGAAGCCTAACCACAGTCAATTTCAGGAAGAGATATGAGATAAATTGGTCAGGAGAGACCTGGGAACCAGTAGGCCATTCTTAGAACTCCAAAAGTTGGCCGGGCACGTGGTGACTCACGCCTATAATCCCAGCACTTTGGGAGGCCGAGGCAGGTGGATCACCTGAGGTCAGGAGTTCAAGACCAGCCTGACCAACATGGAGAAACCCCATCTCTACTAAAAATACAAAATTAGCCAGGCGAGGTGGCTCATGCCTGTAATCCCAGCTACTCTGGAGGCTGAGGCAGGAGAATCGCTTGAACTCGGGAGGTGGAAGTTGCAGTGAGCCAAGATCACGCCACTGCACTTCAGCCTGAGCAACAAGTGCAAAACTCTGTTTCAAAAAAATAAATAAATGAATTTTAAAAAGTAAAAACGGCCAGGCGTAGTGGCTCATGCCTATAATCCCAACACTTTGGGAGGCCAAGGCGGGCAGATCACAAGGTCAAGAGATCAAGACCATCCTGGCCAACATGATGAAATCTCCTCTACTAAAAATACAAAAAATTAGCCGAGTGTGGTACTGCAGGCCTGTAGTCCCAGCTACTCAGGAGGCTGAGGCAGGAGAATCGCTTGATTCCTCCACCAGGGAGGCACAGGTTGTAGTGAGCTGAGATCGCACCACCACACTCCAGCCTGGCAACAGAGTGAGACTCCATCTCAAAAATAAATAAATAAAAATAAAAAATAAAACAAAACAAATAAAAAGAAGGCTGGGCATGGTGGCTCACGCCTGTAATTCCAGCTCTCTGGGAGGCCAAAGCAGGTGGATCACAAGGTCAGGGGTTCGAGACCACCCTGGCCAACATGGTGAAACCCCGTCTCTACTAAAGGTACAAAAAATTAGCCAGGCGTGGTGGTGTGCGCCTGTAATCCCAGCTACTCAGGAGGCGGAGGTTGCAGTGAGCCGAGATCGCATCATTGCACTCCAGCCTCGGTGACAGGGCAAGACCCCGTTTCAAAAAAAAGAAAAAAGGTTTAAAAAAAAAAAAAAAAAAAAAAAGGAACTTCAAGAGTCTCAAAATTCTATTGGGGTATTGGGGAATCTAAGTGTGACTTTACTTGACAAGACCAGGCCTTTGGAAAACAGCTTACCCTACCTAGTTTCACACCATAAAAAGTCCAGTTTATGAATTACAAGGGCTCTGTCCCTGTCCAGTGAGAAGACACAGGGAGATCACAAAGCCACATAAGGGGTGCAGGAATTAGGTGGTGGGAAGGTATTTGGAGATGGTGTGCCTAAGCTGAATGGTCAGCACATCCCTGTACAGTGGGACTGCTGCCCTGCCCTTGCCCTCCAGCAACCTTCTTGACAACATTCCAGCTGCCTCATATCTCATTAGGACTCAGGAATAGGGAAAGCTCACAATTTCATTCACTAATAGAGTATATTTGATCCTAAAGTTAAGAGTCAAGGAGGACTTATGGGTAGCCTCCTTCCCCCTACAACTTAAGAAGGATCCTTCCCTCAACAACATAAGTCTATCCTCAGCTGGCTCCTAACAACCAAGCCCCTCTTCTAGAAACCTGACCACCCCATCAGCATCCACACTGTGCTTCCTCTGTATCCTCTCTCCCTATACACTCTATCAGAAAGTCTTTCCTTTTGTCTTCTGATCTTGGCTCCCTAGGCCCTGGGACTCACCATGGCCTTCCGGTCTTCCTCGGCCATCTTGAGGCGCTTCTGAGCCTCTTCATAAGCCTAGAAGAAAAAACAAGAATGGAGGGGTGTGAGGCCAAAGAGCCCCCACACTGACAGCTGCTCCCCTCTAGAATCACAAGGATCATTCAGATGCGCCCTAACACAAAAAATGTCCCCTCTCAGTGAGGAATCTCTCTGATTGCAGGTACAGCAGACAGTTGTCTTAGCCACAGGATGCACAGGGCTTCTCTCACCACAGAGGTGAACATCTCACTAGAGACAGCCCCTTGTCTTCCCAGAGATCACTATCTCTGCACTCACAGCCAACCTCAGATTTCACCCTGGGATCTTGGGGATTTACAGAACATGCTGCTCCTATTCACCTTCTTGTCTGACCGTTCCAGGACATTTCGAGTCCGATCCTTGTCCCGCTGTCGAACCCGCTCAGCAAAGGCATCACGCTCCTCCAGGTCCTGAAGGCGTTCACGCTCTGTCCGTTCCCACTCATCTTCCGACTCTGGCTTCTCTGTCTGCTGTTTACTCCCCCTGCAGCCCATCCAGGGGATTAAATAAGGGCATAGAGAACACTTCAGCCTGCCCCATCCTCTCTCACCCTGCTTCTGACTTACCCTGTTTTCTTCTTCCCTTTCTCAGAAGCCTCTTCCTCCTCTTCTTCCTCACGCTTCTTCCTGAGGTGTTTCCGCTTTTTACGTTTCTTCTGGAGGCTGCTTCCAGCCCTACTCACAGTCTCCTCACTGCTCTCTTCACTGTCTTCCAGTAACCTATAAGATCGGTTCTTCTCCAGCAGGGCCCGGGCCTCTCGCTCTGCTGCCCGAGCTGGCTTTTCTACCACTGCCTTTCGTGGTACCTGTCAGTAGAGGGGAAGATAAGGAGGTCTGAGCAACTCCTGATCTCTGCCCTCCCACTTAGCTCTGTTCCTAATTTAAGCAATTACTTAGTCTTTCCTGCCCCCGCGGCCCGGCCCCACTGTCAGGCAATGGCGTGATCTCGGCTCACTTCAACCTCCGCCTCCCAGGTTCAAGCAATTCTCCTGCCTCAGCCTCCCAAGTAGCTGAGATTACAGGCACATGCCACCACGCCCGACTATTTTTGTATTTTTAGTAGAGATGAGGTTTCACCATGTTGGCCAGGCTGGTCTCAAACTCCTGACCTCATGATCCACTCACCTCAGCCTCCCAAAGTGCTGGGATTACAGGCATGAGCCACCACACCCGGGCACAATTACTTAGTTTTAAACCAGCTAACCAGCATTCATTCTCTTTCTTCCTCATGGCTTCACCCCATCTTCATCATCCTGAATGGGGTTTTTTATTTTTTTTTACAGACAGGGTTTCACTCTGTCCCTCTTGGGCTCAAGGGATCCTCCCACCTCAGGCTCCTAAGTAGCTAGAAACACAGGTGCACACTACCACGCTCAACTAATTTTTAATTTTTTTGTAGGACGAAGGTTTCGCCATGTTGCCCAGGCTGGTCTCGAACTCCTGGGCTCAAGTAATCCTCCTGCCTCAGCCTCCCGGGGTGCTGGGATTACAGGTGTGAGCCACTGCACCCGGCCCCCTCTGTTAATTAAACGACTGAAAGGAAGTTCAGAAGATGAGGGGGGCCGGGCATGGTGGCTCACGCCTGTAATCTCAGCACTCTGAGGGGGCTGAGAGAGGATTGCTTGAGCTGAGGAGTTAGAGACCAGCCTGCGCAACACACCAAGGCCTCATCTCTAAAAATAAAAATAAAAATAAAAGATATTAGCCGGGGGTGGTGGCGCGCGCCCGTAGTCCCAGCTACCGGGGAAGATGAGGTGGGAGGGTCGCTTCAACCAGGGAGGTCGACGCTGTAGTGAGCCGTGATCTTACGACCGCACTCCAGCCTGGGCGACGGGGCGAGCGAGACTGTGTCTCTCAAAAAAAAAAAAAAGAAAGAAAGAAATGCAGAAACTAAGATCCCTACTGAATCGCAATCTGCATTTTAACAAGAACCTTGGATGCATGTTAAGAGTTCGAGAAACACCGTTCTATTGCGCTTAACCCGACACACCTAAGCCCTCCTCAATCTTCTCCACTGAGCTGGGCGTCCAGCAGCTAGCACAGTACCTACGCGACAACGGACAAAGAATAAGTGCTTGTGAACTGAGCTTTCTTAACTTCTCGATGGACCGTTAGGCCAGCCTCACCGGGACAAATCACAGGGCCCCTCCCCACCCCTGCCGACACCTTGTTCCAGAGTCTCAGGGCGAAGTCCCGGGCCGGCCCACTGAGATCCAAGGTATCAGTGTCTCGTAGGCGCTGCACGAACTCCTCGGCAGAGGTGCAGCGCTGTGCGGTACCGATCAGAAACTGGGCGACGTGCCGCTCGCTCAGCCCCAACACCGAGTGCAGCTCGTCCTGAACCCAGCGCTCCAGACCCGCCGGCGTCGCCATGGCGACTCACGCTCCCTGCTCCCGGCCCTGAAGCGTCGGGCAGCCGCGCTCACTGCTGGGCCGGTCAGAGGCCTGGAGCCCTCGGCTGGAGCCTCAGCTTCGCAAGTCAGCTACCTTGGGACCTCTAGGATCTTCCGACATCCCAAAGCTGTCTTCCCGTACCGCGGAGCCCGGAAGGGGCTGTACTTTTTCGGCCTCTAAGCACTACGGTGGCCGAGCGAGTTCAAACCTCGCGGAACCATACCTGAAAACTCGGGGTAATTCTTTTTTCTTCATTTCGCCTCTGTCCAGTTTCTCTGACGCCCCCTGATGGTCAGTCTGTGAGTGCTTCGCTCACGCATTCATTCAACAAGTGAAATTAATTTAATGGATGCCTAATGTGTGCTCATTGCTTTCCGTCCCTGGGATATAGCAGAGGACAAATCAAAAGTTCCTTACCAAATTTACATTTTGCGGTGGGGGAGGGACAGGATACATAATAAAGAAAGTATGGAAATTTTATAGAGCCAAAAACTATACAAAGTAAGGGAGGAATGAAATTCTATTTCAGATTGGAAGATCGGGTCCATGCTCATAAAACATATTAGCATTGTTGGCCGGGCGCGGTGGCTCATGCCTGTAATCCCAGCACTTTGGGAGGCCAAGGCGGGCGGATTATCTGAGGTCAGGAGTTCGAGACCAGCCTGGCCAAGATGGCGAAACCCTGTCTCTACTAAAAATATAAAAATTAGCCTGGCGTGGTGGTGTGCGCCTGTAGTCCCAGCCACTCGGGAGGCTGAGGCAGGAGAATCATTTGAACATGGGAAGCAGAGTTTGCAGTGAGCCGAGATCCCACCACGGCACTCCAGCCTGAGCAACAGAGGAAGTCTCTGTCTCAAACAAACAAAAAAGTGACCGTTGCTAGGACTGGTTTGCCTGCAGCAGGAGTGAAGACAGGTCAGGTATAAGGGAAGACCTCTAGGCAGGAAGAAACTGGGGAACTGGGGAAAGTTGTTAAAGACAAAATCTCCAAACTAAGGAACAGGCAAACTGTGTTCTGCATTTTTGCTTAACAGCTTGAGAAAATCACTGGTGGCTGCTTATTTAAAAGTAAGCAAGGCCAGGTGCAGTGGCTCTTGCTGTAATCCCAGCACTTTGGGAGGCTGAGGCAGGAGGATATCTTGAGACCAGGGGTTTGAGACCAGCCTGGGCAACAGGGTGAGACCCCACCATCTCTACAAAAAATTAGCCAGGTGTGGAGGTGTGCACCTGTAGTCCCAGCTACTCTGGAGACTGAGACAGGAGAATTTTTTTTTTTTTTTTTGGAGACAGAGTCTCGCTCTGTTGCCCAGACTGGAGTGCAATGGCACGATCTCGGCTCACTGCAACTTCCGCCTCCCAGGTTCAAGTGATTCTCCTGCCTCAGCCTCCTGAGTAGCTGGAATTACAAGTGTGACAAGCACATGCCATCACGCCCAGCTAGTTTTTGTATTTTTAATACAGATGGGGTTTTACCATGTTGGTCAGGCTGGTCTCAAACTCCTGACCTCATGATCCGCCCGTCTCGGCCTCCCAAAGTGCTGGGATTACAGGCGTGAGCCACCGCACTGGGCCTGAGACAGGAGAATCTCTTGAGCCCAGGAGCCAGAGGTTGCAGTGAGCCGAGGTCAGGCACTCCAACCTAGGCAACAGACCAAGACTATGCTCAAAAAAAAAAAACAAACAAAACAAAAAGCTGAATTTGTTACTCGATGCTCTGCTGTCTGATTTGTTTGATCCTGCATCATACTTTTGTGATTAATTGCAGTTACCAGGCACTACTGTTAGGAAATGAAACATTGTTCTTATTAATAGCCACAAGTGGATCTACATCACTGACTTTTTTTTTTTTTTTTTTGGAAAGGGAGTCTCGGAGTCTCACTCTGTCGCCCAGGCTGGAATGCAGTGGCGTGATCTTGGCTCACTGCAGCCTCCACCTCCTGGGTTCAAGCAATTCTCCTGCCTCAGCCTCCTGAGTAGGCGGGACTACAGGTGCGTGCCACCACGTCCAGCTAATTTTTTGTATTTTAGTAGAGACGGGGTTTCATCATGTTGCCCAGGCTGGTCTCAAACTCCTCAGATGAGGCAGTCCACCCGCCTTGGCATCCCAAAGTGTTAGGATTACAGGCATGAGCCACCACACCTGGCCTGACCTCTTGAATGCATTGTTTTCTGTTTCTGAGATGGACTGTGAGCACCCCTGGCACCTCGGAGCTTCCTAACTCTGTTTTCCTGGGTCACAACTGGAAACTTTTTAAGACCTTTACCTAACAGGCTACTAATATAATCATTCTGTTTCCTTCCCTACCCAGACCTTCTCTGAACTGGCTGAGTCTTTTGACACCTGGCTTGTTCTCTTGCTAGTAAATTGAAAACCTTTGGCGTATGCTTAAGTTCAATTTGTCTCATATATTTTGTTTTATAGTAAAGGTGTGGGGCCTCCTCTGACCAGTCTGAGAGGAGCAACTTGTAGTGGTAGAAGGACTATAACTATTCAACCATATCTTTGTTAGCCTGGAGAGCTAACAACAAACAAACAAATTTTCCTGATGAGTAAAATATTGATGTTCCACATTTGTATAAGATATTCTTTGAAATGGGAAAATTCCAAATATCAACTACATGGGCACCAAAGCCATGCACTATCAAGATGGTTTTTAAACCTTTTTTTTTTTTTTTGAGATGGAGTCTCACTCTGCTGCCCAGGCTGGAGTGTAATGGCGCAATCTCAGCTCACTGCAAGCTCCACCTCCCGGGTTCATGCCATTCTCCTGCCTCAGCCTCCCGAGTAGCTGGGACTACAGGTGCCCACCACTATGCCCCGCTAATTTTTTGTATTTTTAGTAGAGACGGGGTTTCACCGTGTTAGCCAGGATGGTCTCAATCTCCTGACCTTATGATCCGCCTGCCTCGGCCTCCCAAAGTGCTGGGATCACAGGCGTGAGCCACCGTGCCCGGCCTTTAGGCCTTTAACGATATAAAATCCATTGTCTATCAGAGGGGAACCTTTTCCAGGAAACTGACTCTTGTACATACTTACTTCATTTTGCAGCAATTTCAGATTTAGTATTCGTAGCCCCAGCTCTTTAAGTAAGTATCCCTGGATTAGCCACATGGGTTGTGTCATACACTACCTAGCTGCCTTCATGGCAGCAGGCTTCTGAATACTAGAACCCTTCAACTCAAAGTGTCCTCTGTAATATTTTAACCCTTTTCTTCTATTCATTCATTTGTTGTCATTCATTCTAGAAATAATTCCGTGTCTACTAGTTGACAGGTACAGGATATTGCAGTGAATCCAGCTGATGTAGTCAGCCCTCATGGCACTTCCAGTCTAGTGGACACTTCAACTGCCCTTTCTCATGTCACCTGCTTGTCCTGCGTGAAACCCACGTGCAGCTTCCCAGACCCCTTTTGACATGTCAGTGCCGAGTTCCTGGTTCATCCCCCATCATTTTCCTCTCCCCCAGCCACCAGAGCCTCCCCTCACATACCCTTTTTTTTTCCCAAAGAAGGAGAAGCAGACGAGTTGAAGAGAACTCCATTTTATTATGGAAAGTTAAAAAACAAACAAAACAAAACAGGCAATTGATAAAGGCGGCACAATGGGGAAGGAGAGGTGAGGTGTCTCCTTAGCCACCCGACACCATCTCAATTCAGTTCAATTGTGAACCACTAGGAGAAACAGAATTAAATAACTATCAAGGGGTACAGAGTTAAGAGTTCCAGCCTTCCCTCTTGGGGAAAACTAAGGCAAAGTAATACTGAGAAAAAGTGGAGGAAGCCACACCTTCAGGTCACTCCAATGAGGAGACTGGAGGGGACAGAGGAGAGAATTCCACGCAGACACAGCAAGTAAGCGTGGCTTGTAAACCTGGGACTTTGGCAGGTGGGGCTGGGAGCTGATGGAATTTGTAAACCAGGCTGTGGTCAAGGGAGGAGGCAGGAGCTGTAAACAAAGGGGCAGTGACCTAGGAAATGAAGGAGATGTGCCTATAAATGGAGTGGGGTCTGGGCCTCCCAGAGAGACGAGTGCTTAAATCCCGAGAGTCCCCACGGGATGGTGGGGAGGAAGGCTGTGGGGAGAGTGTACCCTGCCATGGGGGGCAGGTGCTCCATCTCCACCCTCCAGGGAGTTCTGTGCCCCTTCTCAGGACTTGGCGCTCACTCTTGGATGACCTAGGATGCACCAGCACGTTTAACCCCACCCACACCAGGGACTTTGGATTAGGGTAGAAATTGGGCAATTGGCTCTGCCCCCAGAAACAGGGTGGGGAAAGCAAGTTACAAGATGTTGGTTGCCCTTCCCTGCCAGGCTCATTATCAGGGTCTGTCTGCCCTGAATCTTCCGGGCTCCAGGATCTTCAGTTATAAGAAGGAGGGAGGTATATCCCTATGTTGGAAGATGGTCACCGCCGGCAGGACTCATCTGTGGGAGAGGGGGCAATAATGTTAGAGAATGAGTGAGAGCCTCTGCCTTCTGCCCACCCTTCCCCCCCACACAAATTGAAGGGCAGTTGGCATGCAGGAAGTCCTATAATATCTTCCATATCTAAAGCATGTTACCACCAGTAACCACATCCATCACTCATTTAGCTCGGACTCTGTGCCAGGCATCCTTATAACTGTTTAATCTCACCATAACTCCAGGAGAGATTAAGTAATATGATATCCAGCTGTGGCTCTTGGTGCTTCACAAAAAATTACTTAATCTTGGCCTGGAGCACCTGTAATCCAAGCAATTTGGGAGGCTGAGGCAGGAGGATCACTTGAGGTCAGGAGTTCAAGACCAGCCTGACCAACATGGGGAAACCCTGTCTCTACTAAAAATATAAAAACTAGCCAGGTGTGATGGTACACATCTGTAATCCCAGCTACTAGAGAGGCTGAGGCACAAGAATCGCTTGAATTTGGGAGGCAGAGGTTGCAGTGAGCCAAGGTTGTGCCACTGCATTCCAGTCCAGGCGACAGAGGGAGACGCTGTCTCAAAATAAATAAATAAATAAATAAATAAAATTACTTAATATTTTCTACAAGTCTAGGAGGTAGTTTTTGGTTTCTGTTTTTTTGAGACAGAATTTCACTCTGTCACCCAGGCTGGAGTGTAGTGGCGTCATCTCGGCTCACTGCAACCTCTGCTTCCCGGGTTCAAGTGATTCTCCTGCCTCAGACTCCCGAGTAGCAGGGATTACAGGTGTCCACCTCCATGCCTAGCTAATTTTTGTATTTTTAGTAGAGATGGGTTTTCACTATGTTGGCCAGGCTGGTCTTGAACTTCTGACCTTGAGTGATCCACCTGCCTCGGCCTCCCAAAGTGCTGAGATTACAGGCGTGAGCCACCGTGCCTGGCCTGTTTGTTTCTTTTGAGACAGGTCTTCCTTTGTTGCCCAGGCTGGAGTGCAGTGGGTGGTGCAATATTGGTTCACTGCAGCCTCCAACTCCTGAGGTCAAACGATGCTCCCACCTCAGCCTTCCAAGTACCTGGAACCACAGCTGCGCACTGCCACACCTGGCTAATTTTTTTTTTTTTTTTTGAGACGGAGTCTCACTCTGTTGTCAAGGCTGGAGTGCAGTGGCACGACCTCGGCTCACTGCAAGCTCCGCCTCCCAGGTTCACGCCATTCTCCTGCCTCAGCCTCCCAAGTAGTTGGGACTACAGGTGCCCGCCACCACGCCCAGCTAATTTTTTTTTGTATTTTTAGTAGAGATGGGGTTTCACCGTGTTAGCCAGGATGGTCTCGATCTCCTGACTTCGTGATCCGCCCGCCTCGGCCTCCCAAAGTGCTGGGATCACAGGCGTGAGCCACCGTGCCCGGCCCACACCTGGATAATTTTTCAATTTTTTTGTAGAGACAGGATTTTGCCATGTTGCCCAGGGTGGTCTTGAACTCCTGGGCTCAAGCGATCCACCCGTCTTGGCTTCCCGAAGTGCTGGGATTACAGGCATGAGCCACAGGAGGTAGTTATTATTAACTTCATTTCATAAATAATAAACTAAAGCAAGAGATCAGATGGTTTCCCTGAGATCACACAATTAAAGAGACAAGCTGGAATTCCAACTCAGGCCTGTCGACCCACCCTGTGATTTTGACCAGATTACAGCACTCAGGAAGAGTTCTCGTTTTGAAACCTGAAGACTCAATGTGTACTTCACTGCCGGGGACCTCAGTTTGCCCATCTGTTAAAGGAGCATGTTGAACCAGAGGACCCGCCAAGCCCCTTCCGAGTGCCTACATGTAATCCTCCCTCCTCTCTCCTGGACCACAGCGCCCGCTCTGACAGCAGGGGGCGCCCTCGGGCCGGCGGAGCCTCCGCTTACCCACAATCAGGGCCTTGGTGCGCAGCCCGCCCTGGAGCTCTGGCTGCAGCAGCAGCAGCTCTTCCTCATCCTCTTCGTCGTCGGGTTGGGCTGCTGGAGGGTTGGGGGCACTGGGGACCTCAGGCTCCGGGCCCAGCTCCTCCAGTACCGAACTCTCGGAGGGGTATTGGTACGTGGTCTCCAGGGCTGTCTCGCTGAAGGAGATCTTAAGCTGAAGGAGGGAGAAAAAGGGGGCAGGAGGCAAGGTCAGCAGGGGAGAAGCCCGCGGGGGTTGAGGGAGAGAAAGCGGGGGCGGGGGGGGCGGAGTCTGCAAGGGAGCAGGTGGGACTGGCGGAACGTGGGGGTGGGGGCTGGACTCAGGTGCCCCACTCACTCTCCCCATCCACTCTGGGATCCAGTTTTCCTTTCCATACTGGCTCTCCAATTCTAGAGTTTCCCTCTTCGATCATATCATTTCAAAACATCAGACTTTGCCCTGTACGTTGGCAGGGGCTTGGGAGGCAGAAGTGAATAATATAAGACCAAGGTCCCTGCTATTTCGAGTGTGGGAGGCAGAGGGGTAAAAAGAAATTAAAATACATGGCGATAAGTCTTGTGATCAGAACCGAGTCTTTGGGCACCTTGGGGGCAATCGAGTGAACTTCCCAGAGGAGCCCAGCAGACTGGCCAGTGGGGAAAGAACTGGCTGGGGAGCGAGTCTCAGACAAAAGCAAGGTTTTCATACCCACAGCCCCTTGCTGTCCTATGCAAAACCCAGGACCCTGGGCACCTGTTCCCTCCTACTCTCCTCATTCCTCTCCTATCCATAGCAAAGGGAGTCTAGGGCCTAGGAAGAGATGGGAGATGAACAGAAAGGCCGAGAGGAACCAAGAGACTCCAGCAACACACAGGGGAAAGATGAGCCGCTGACACCCTGAAGGCTGGGGGAGATGACAAGGGCAGAAAGGAAAGTCCACACAAACCTGGGGTGGGGGTCCACAGTGTGCCCAAAGGGACAGGCACAGAGACAAAATACCAGACAGGGCACAGAAAACCCTTGGTAATCACACTGTCCCAAGAGCAGGCGAGTCCCAGCTGTTCTCACTGCCTTTCTACCCTTCCCCTTTGCCCTATTAAGAAGCTCAGGGGGAAGGGGCAGGGTGGGATTAAGTCTAGGAGCCAAAGGGATTAGGGAGACAGCAGGAGGATTCCATATGAACTACTTGGAAAGGTCCAAATGATCTACTCAGGCCTTCCCTGGCATCTGTTTGGGAAGACTTGGGGTCAGCCGTACATCCCTGAGTCCCCTAATGAACTGAGGTATGAAAAGAGAGAAGCCAGAAGGGTGGCTGGGCAGGTGGTTGTTAAGAGCTGCATCAATATGACACCAGTCAGGCATGGTGGCTCACACCTGTAGCCCCAGCACTTTGGGAGGTTGAGGCGGGAGGATTTCTTGAGCCCAGGAGTTCGAGACCAGCCTGGGCAATAGAGTGACACTGTCTCTAAAAAAGAAAAAAAAAGAAAACCAGATATGACACCTGGGTCCCCATGGGAAGGTAGAACTCAGGAACTGTATATGTTACTCCTTGTTGGCTCTGAACCCTGCAGTGTCTCCCCATCTCACTTGGAGCAAAAAGTCTACTCCAGGCTGGGCGCGGTGGTTCATGCCTATAATCCCAGAACTTTGGGAGGCCGAGGCGGGCGGATCACAAGGTCAAGAGATTGAGACCATCCTGGCCAACATGGTGAAACCTGTCTCTACTAAAAATACAAAAAAATTAGCTGGGCATGGTGGCGTGCACCTGTAGTCCCAGCTACTCGAGAGGACGAGGCAGGAGAATTGCTTGAACCCGGGAGGCGGAGGTTGCAGTGAGCCGAGGTCGCGCCACTGCTCTACGGCTTGGGCAACAGAGCAAGACTCTGTCTCAAAAAAAAAAAAAAAAAAAAGTCTACTTGATTGCCCCCAAGGTGCCCAGAGCCTGACCAAAGCCTACAGGGTGCTCCCAGTATGCCACCCTCCCCTTGCCTCTCTGGCCTCTTCCTCCACTCCAGCCACACTGGCCTTGGTTCCCTCCACGCACTCCTACCTCAGGACCAGAACAGTACTAGCTATTCCTTCTGCCTGGAACACTCCCCCAAAATATCCCCATGGCTCTGACCCTCCTGATCACCCTATTTTGAAGTCTCCATATTCACTCCCCCTACCTCCTGACCCTCTAAGTTCCACTGTTCTATTTTTTTTTCCATAATCACTTACCACCTTCTAACTTACTAGATAATTTACTAATATATTATACTCATGTCTGCTGTTGAAAGGAGCTTGGGGCCGGGTAAGGTGGCTCACCCCTGTAATCCCAGCACTTTGGGAGGCCAAGACAGGTGGATCACTTGAGGTCAGGAGTTCGAGACCAGCCTGGCTAACATGGTGAAACCCCGTCTCTACTAAAAATACTAAAATTAGCCGGGTATGGTGGCGTGCGCCTGTAATTCCAGCTACTCAGGAGGCTGAGGCTGGAGAATCACTTGAACCCGGGAGGTGGAGGTTGCAGTGAGCCGAAATCTCACCATTGAACTCCAGGCTGGGAGACAGCGAGACTGTCTCAGAAAAAAAAAAGAAAAGAAAAGAAAAAAGAAAGGAGCTTAGAAGTTGGTACAATGCAAGAGGTTAGGGTTTGTTCAGACCTCACATGAGGTGCCATCAGAGGACCAATGCTGGGGAAACGATCTGCGGGTGGTCCAGCCTGTACACATTTGACCCCCAGTTCATGTCTGTGGAACTGCTGGTAGAATCTAGTGACAGCAGCCAGACTGCTTATATCCCAAGTTCTCAGAAGGGACCGCTTAGGTTTCTGTAACTGACAGATTTACCCACATTTCTGGGAACCCATTTTTGTTTTCTTCTCATATCCTCTTTTGGAATAATAACCTCTGTACTTTATTTTCTACTCTGAAAATGACTTATTTTATTTGCTCTCGGTCTATGTTTATATCTCCCCCCCTACCCTGCCTGTCTCCTCACCCCCCACCAACTTCTGACTGGGCTTCTCAGAAATGCACAGCCTGCATGGGAGTGGGGGGGTAGAGAGGGGGTGACTCACTCGCTCCTCTCCCATCAGCTATATAAGGTCACAATGGGGCTGGTCTCTCAGCCCAACCAAGAGGCCTCTGGGGTAGGGCACCAGCCACAGCCATCCCCTGGGCTCCAGTGGCAGGGCTGGGATTTCTCTCCTGATGGCAGGGATAAATTTGATGGAATTAGCCTGCAAACGAGTTATTTAGGGAAGGTGAAGCGGGGGTTGGTGGCAGGGTCCTCCTATCTCCTATTCCTGAGCCAGTGTGTTGCAGCAGAGCTGGGACAAGGCACCCAGTCCCTGAAGAACAGGTTGCTGACAGGGGGTAGAGGGTGGAGGGTGAGGCGTCTGGGTCAGAGGAACTCTGTGCTGCCTCCTCCCCACCCCCACCCAAGCAGCGGCTGCTTCCTTATTCTCTCACCACATCCTGAGCACAGATCTGGCAGGCCCAGGGCCCAGGGCCCAGGGTTCCCCACTCAGCCCCACCAGCCTTCCGGCCCCCACCCCAGGCTTCCTGTTTGGGCGATCTGCTTCCGGCTCCCCTGCTCTCTGGCCTAGGTATGGTCACCAGCACAGGTCCTGCCCTGCACTTGCTTCCTGGCTCCCCTGGGATGCTCCCTGGGCTTTGGGCCCCAAAGCTTCATGCTTCCCTCTGCTCATTCTTCCCCAGAGGCACAAGCCTCTCTCAGTAGGAAGTGACTTTTCTGAACACCTCACCCGGGTAGCATTTCCGGACTTCTGTTTTTTTCATCTGCCCAGCCCTGAGGGGAACAGGCTGGTAGCAGTCAGAGGGCTGAGGGTAGGTTCCCAAGAACCATGGCTTAGAGGTGGGAGCTTACGCTTCATGTGAAGATGAATTGGGGGATCAAATGAACCCCCCTCCACCCAAGGCTTAACCCGTATCTTTAGTCCCTGTGGTTCCCCACTGACACTGAGGACACAAAAAAATCAAATCTGAGGATGTTAACACATGGGATGAGAATGAGACTGGGCTTCCCAGGCTCTGGGGAGATGTGTGTGACTGGAGGGACTTCCTAAGTCTGAGATGTCTGAGTGTGGGACCTCTGTCTCCCTAGAGATTTTCAAGCTGGAAACAGATGGATGTGCACAGGGAAGAAGTGAGGCCAGGGCCAGGGGGAGTCATCCTGGCTGCCCCCACTTTCCTGCAGGTCTTTGTTGCAAGTCTAACCTCTGACCCTCTGCTGGCCTCAGCCCCAACCCCTGTCCAGAACTCCCACTGTGCTCCCTGGCCAGTGCCTGTTCTCAAAACTGTCTCCAAATTCACTTCTCTCTTTTGCTACCCTAAGGGGAGGGAAAGTCCAGGATGGCAGGAAAAGAGGGGAAAACCGATCCCTGAGCCAGTTCTTGGGAGGGAGGGGAAACCCAGGGAGGAAGGACAGGGGAGTGAGGGGCGGGGGTATTTTGGAAGAGGAGAAGGCTTTTCTTGTCCCAAGAGAGAAGGGAGCACTGTCTGAAGCAGTGGCCCAGCTGGGGGTGTGCAACCCCGAGGTCACCCACTTCAAATGGCCTCTCTGTGTCTCTCCCATGGGGCAGACTCGGGGTTCAAAAGCCTTCTCTCTGATCTTTGGCCGGCCCGGTTCCATCTCCCCTCTCCCCTCCATCCTAGGATGTCCCTATTCAGCTCTGCCCTCCTTCCCACGGGGCAGTTGGACCTTTCTCCATTCACTTCTCCCTGCAGTTTCTCCCTAGAACACAAACCCACCCCACCCCCTCCACCACCCCAGGCTCCCTATCCCTTCTCCCCAGAAAAACTGCAAGTGCTCTCACCCTGGTGACCCTGCCCTCACTGATTCAAGCTCGTCACTTTAGGCTCTCCCACTGGATGGGCTGGGGCAGGTCACACTCAGGAAAGGAAGGAAAGAAAAGGGGGTTGGAAACTCAGAGCCCAAGGGAAGGGAGAATGAGCAGCCTGGCACACCCTGAAAGAGACACACCCAGAGACAGCCTTTGCTGGGGCAGGATCTTTTGGGCTCAAAATGGAAAAGGAGGGCTCTGAGAAGGAAGGGTGTATGTGCAGAGCGAGGAAGGGTGGTGGCAGGAATTAACAAGAAAGAATAGAGGAAGACAAGAAAACAGGGGTATAAAAAAGAAAGAGACCAGAGTCCAGAGAAAATTGACAAGTGGACTTCTAAGAAGTCTGGCTTGGCTGCTTCCCTACCTGTTTGTGGTGTCTTTCGGGGGACCCCTTGGCAAGGCAGCTGCGGCTGAGACGGAGGTAGCCCCCCAGAACCAAGATCTCCTCGGCAGTTGGGTACCGCTTCTTCCCAGCCCCCGGGACTGCAGCATCAACTGTGGCTGGAGAGGTTGGGGTGGCTGGGGTCGCAGGGGGCACAGACCGCCGGGGGTTGACGGTGAAGGTGTGTCCACTGCGGCGGGGGGCCCCCACCCCTGGCCCTGCCTTCACCCCATAGAACAGGCGGCTCATGAGGGGATCCCCAGGAGGTTGGGGGGCAGTTGGGGCTGGGGGTGGGGGAGACAGAGGGGCTGGTGGTGGGGGCTGGAGCTCCACTGCTTCCTCTTCCTGCTGTCTCAGGCCTCCAGTCCCAGCGTCCTCTGGTGGGAGGGGGGAGGGCACAGAGCAGCAGTTCTGCAGGGCTCTCAGAGGCCTGCCCTGAGCCCCCGCCTCCTCCTTCTCAGCCTCCCCTTCTCCAGCCTCCACACCGGGAGATTCCAGAAGCTTCTCTGCTGACTCTGGAGGTTCTGGTTTCTGAGTTTGAGCCTCTATGTCCCTGGGTGTCCATTCTCGAGCCTTCCCGGAGTTCAGGGTCCATTTCCACCCTTCTGTTGGCTTCATGCCCCTCTCGCCATCTTCCACAGGCCTCTGCTCTGCTGCCTCCACTCCTGCGGAACTGTTGCCTTGGGCCTCCCTTGTCAGGGTCTCGGACAGCTCTGCAGTCTCTTTTGGAGCTACCCCTGGAACTGGCCACTCTTCTTTTCTCCCACATTCTTCCGAGTAGTCTTGTCTTTCTTCTCCTGACCTCAGCCTCCACTCTGTTGCCTCCAGTTGTACCAAACTCTGTTCCTGAGACTCTCTGGAGTCAGGTCTCCATTTATGGGCCTCTGTCAGGCCCAACTTCTGGTAGGCAGATTCCCCTGGGCTCAGTCTACTTTCCACCTCTTTTCTCCTGGGGCTTTGCTCTCGAGACTCTGCTAGTCTCAGACTCCGCTCTGGAGTTTCTCCAGGACTCAGCCTCCATTTCCATGCCTCTGACAGTCGGGAGCTCCTGTCTCCCACCTCTCCTGGGCTTTGCCTCCAGTCCCGAGCCTCCAGAGGCCTCAGGCTCAACTCTTGGGCTCCCCCTATCCCCAGCCTCCTCTCTCTGGTCTCCCTCGGACTTAGTCTCTCTTCTCTTGACTCTCTTCCCTTGGGGCTCTGATCCCGCATCTCCCCAGGGCTGGGTCTCCGCTCCCGGGCCTCCAGAGGCCCAGGCTTTCTCTCTGCTAGCAGCTCTTCACTCCGTTGTTGTTGCTGCTGCTGCTGCTGCCGCTCCTGCCGGATGAATCGGTTCTGGTGCACTGGCCCGATGGCCTCCAGAAGGACCGCAGACTCATCCGGGTCTGGAGGTCCAGCCTCTACAGTCCCTAGCACAGGGCTAGGCTCCCCAGGGGACAGCCCAAGCTTGGCCCGGCGGCGCTCCAGGAGCCCTCGTTTCCAGGCTGGCATCTGGGACAGGCGCTCCCGTTCTGCTTTCTCTCGGCCTCGAACGGACGCCTCCTCCTGCCGGCGCCGGGCTAGCAGCTGTAGCTTCCAGTCTGGGATGGTGGCCATGGTCGTCTTGAGGTGAGGGTAGGGAGCACTGGGGACAGAGAACAGGAAGGAGAGGCTCCAGAGAGTGAGACAGCCCGGGGGTGAGACTGAGGGTGGGAGGAGAGGAAGTGGAGGGGGAGAGGTGGGACACAAAGCAGGGCAGAGGGGCTAAGGATGAGGACAGAGGGAAAGACGGAAGGCAGAGAACTGGGGAAATGGAAAAAGTGAAGAGAAGTTGTGAGCCCAAGTTGGGGGTGGTGGGGGTGATGTGAGAGGAAGAGTCCGGATTGGAGGCAATGAGGGCAGGAGCCAGATGTGGCAGCACAGGGTTAATGCGTATTAAAGACCGTCTCTAGGATGTGAGAAAGAGAGAGAAGGGCGAAAAGGAAAGTTGGCGTGAGGGAGAAGAGAGAAATGTGGCAGGGGTGAGGGGAACCTGGGTGCAGGCCAGGCTGCCTCAGCGATACCCCAGGGAGGCTAGTGTGGGAAGGAAGGACCAGGAATCCCTGAAAGGACCAGGAGGCAACGGGACCTGAGGGGGTGTTGGGGAGGCAAGGAGGGGCGGAGAGCGAACAGGTCTAGAGGAGAAGGGAAACCAGGGAAGAGGGGAAAGGAGGGCGGCGGCAGCAGCCGGGCGCGTCTCAGCGCGGGCCCCAAAGGTCCCGGCTCCGCTTCCAGCACCGCTCGGGCCACGCCTCTCCCCAGCCCCCACCCCTCTGCCCCGCACTCCGCCCCCGAGGCGGGTCGGGGGAAATAGCCACCCCCGAGACTTTCGGAACCCGGGCGTCAGGGCTGCCAGCGCGTTCCCAGAACCCTGGCGTCCACCCCCACCCTGTCCTGTCACCACCGCCTGCCTCCCCCACCGACTGCCCCACGCGACCCCAGAGTGCCAAGGGCCGGCTCCATGTCTCTTCTCCCCGGCGCCTGCAAGTCCTGCGCCCCGTCCCCGCTCTCATGAAGCCGTGACAGAGCCGGCCGTCTCCACCCCGCTGTAGCCGCACAGACTGACAATCTCGGCACAAAGAGGAGACAGCCAAGGTCCGGGCCAGGGACGGGAGCAAGGACAGGGGCGAGGAGACACCCACTCCCCAAGTCTGAGCCCCTCAGTCAACTCACAGGCCGCGGGACCCCCGGGGGAGGGGGTGCGGAGGAGCCGGGCGTCCAGAGAGAGGAAGAGGAGGAGAGAGGGACCGAGGGAGATCCGGAGACTGGAGGGAGGGGAGGAGGGAGGGAGAGGAGGAGGGAAAGAGGCAGCAAAGGAGGAGGGACGGAGACAGAGACCAGGGGGCCGGGCGGGGGCGGCGACCGCTTTGTCTAAGGACAATGAGGAGAGGGAAGGGGGCGCAGGGCGGAGCCGAGGAGAGGGCGGGGCCTAGATCCCTCCCACCCCGCGTGGGACTCGCTGCGGGACTGCCCTCTTCTCGCCCCAACCACTGGTCCTCCGCTCTGTCCCCAGGGGCCCTCACCAGCTTCCCGCCCGGACACGCCAGGTGTCCAGATCCCTTCCCCCAGCTCGCCGACCCAGGGCGGTGGCCCGTGACTCAGGCCCCTCGTGGGACTTTGGGAGGAAGCGGCAGCTGCTCCGAGCGGGGCCCGCCCTTCCCATCTCCTGCCGCTCCTCCCTACGCTTTTGCCTTCTCATCTGGGTCTGTAGGTCCAGCCTCTGAAGTCCTTTGTTTTGCGGGGTCGAGGGCAGCCGCCAGGCTGTGGGGGGCTTTGTGGATGGGCGGCAGGAGAGGCGCTCAGAAGCCAGAGGTTTTGGATGCTCCCTCCCCTACCAGAGCTGCTGCCCCGACTCTTTCTAGCTTCAACCTGTCTCCCTTGGGTCTACAGGTCGGCTGCCGGGAAAAAGGGGATTTGAAGGAATGGGAATGGGGACCCGGCCGCTCTGGCAAAGTGGGGGCGGGTCTGCGGGGGTGGCCGAACCCCAGCGGTTGCCAGAGGGCGTGGTGGCTGCCCAGACTCCAGTTCGGTGCTCCCAGGCTCCCTCTGGCTTTCTTTCCCAAACTCAGCCCTGTAGCTTGGGAGACACTGACAGACTGCATGCCATATGTAGAAAAAGGCTGACTTTTATTTTCCTGCAGAGCATCTTCCTCGGGAGAGCAGGGAGCCCCAAGTCATCGAGTTAAGAGCAGGAGAATCCCCTTGACTAGGTTGGGGTCTGAGCCCAGAGGCAGGGCCTAAGGAGGTGCAGAGACTAGGGCCGGGAGTGGTGAGGCAAGGTTGGGGCCTGGAGGGACAGCTATGACCGTTGAACTTGCAGACCCTGGTCCACCTTCTTGGAGTGGAAGCCAGCGGTGCAGAAGGGGACCCCTGAGGCGCAGAGGCAAGTAACAGTGCCAGGGGAGTGGTCAGGGCAGATCCTTTCCTTCTCAGGAGGCTGTTGAGGGGGAGAGTGTCATGCTCTAAACAGTGAAGGGACAGATGACTTCCATACCCCACTCTTCCTTGCTGGTGAGAAGTGGACCTTGGAGTTCAGTGGCTGAAACTCAGAATTTAGGGTATGGAGCTGGACCCAGAGAATAAAGTCTCAAGTAGTAGAAGGGGCATCTCCTTCAGTCCATGGATTTGGGCCTCTGGCATGAAGCAGCCAGGGCCTGGATGTTAAGGATTTAGAATTCAGTGGGAGAGGAAGAACAGGGCTTGTAACCAGAGTGAGCTCCTCACTCTGCCTCCCCATCCTGGGGCCGAGAGAGCAGGTGGAGTTTTCTTTGTAGCTGGGCCCGGAGGTAGCGGAGGTCTTGCTGATCAAGCCCGTGAGCCAGGCCCAGGTAGAGGGTAAGGAGGAAAGCAAGGAGGAGACGGTCCGTGCCCAGGGTAGGCACCACCCACAGCACTGTCAGCAGCTCCACACACACTGGGTGGCGCAGGTGGGAGAAGAGTCTGAGAGCCCGGGGAGACTTCAGGGCCAGAGGCTCGCCCAGCCCCAGCACATGGTAGTATACCTAAGAGAGGGAGAAGAGCTTAGAAATGGAGTCAAGCCCTTTTCTCATCTTGGGCACTTCTTTCCTCCTCTTCCAGGCACCACCCTTCTAGAACTCAGGCCCAGGAACCCCCCTTCTGAGACTTGGATCCCTGATCCTGACTTCTGATCCATGTACCTTCCCCAGGCCCAGGAGGCCCATGCTTGCTGCCCTTACGAGGGAAAGTCAAAGGGAAGGGCCACGAGGGAGAAGCAGGGAGACAGTAGAAGAGCATGGGAGGAGGGAAACCCTTGAAAGGGAACGAGGAGTTCTAAAATGGGTCAGAGGTCATAGGTAGGGATCTCGGAGCCTCACCTGTTTGAGGCCCATGAGCTCAGCATAGTCAAAGACGAGAAGGATGCTAAAGATGAGGAGCCAGGAGATGACATGGAGCACAAAGCAGAGGAGCGGCACCCAGGTGGCCCATGGCTCAGCCCGAGCCTCCCACAACACAGGGCCTTTGGGTATGGGCTCCCAGTACCGCATCACCAGCTGTGGAAGGATAAGGGGCTGGGTATCCCAGTGGCCTAGTCTGCCCGACCTTGGGAGACCCAGACCCAGATCTGCCCCCACCACAGGCTAGCCTGCAACTCTCCCCCACCTCTCTCCTAAGCATCACCACCAAATATTCACCATGTGGAGGGTGCGTGCTGGGTGAGGTCCCAAAGATGTAAGGATGGCCTGTCTCTACCCTGAGAACTTATAGAATAGATGGGGTGACCTGATAGCTACGCAAAGTAGTAGCCTGTGCCAACCACCCAGTGAAAAGACAGACAAGGCCTTCTCTTCAGACCTAGGGAAGTGGTTTTGAAGAAAGGGTAGGACTGAAGAGAAGGGATCTCAAGCAGGACATAAACAAAGTTGCAGAGGTGAGAAGCATATCTTGTGCTTAGGGAAGGACAAGTACACCCTTCTTGATAAAAAGTAGGATATGTGCTGTGGAGGAATGGAAGCTGAGATTAGTTCCTCAATTCTCCTCCTGAACCCATATTTTGCCCCTCCAATCCACGGCACCCCTCCCACACTTGGTCTCCCTTGGGGACTCAACTGCCAGGATTTCATACCTGCAAGGCCAGGGCCTCATACCTGCAAGGCCAGGGCAGTGCAGGCCACATACAGTGACCTCTGAAGGACCCCAAAGTACCGGGATGTCCATGCCTTCACTCTTTCAGCTGCCATGAGGCTGTGCTGCCCAACAAATAGAAGCAGGAGCCCCAGATCCCATGCCAGGGGGGCAAGGATGCTGCGGTCCTGCAGGGCAGCCAGCCATCCCTGGCGGGCATCTACAGGAAGTTGAGGGAAAAAGAGACAAAAGATCGAAACAGTGGCAGAATGTTTCCCCCACCCTCATCTCCTCTTGGATCCCCAGGCCATGTCCCTTACTGCTTTCAAGAGCCTTAATGCTTCCTCTCTAGGCTGTGCCCATCTCACTTTTCCATCCCTAGTTTCTGCCCTCTTCCCTAGGCCTCCTGCAAACCTGGGGAAGAGGATTTATAGAACACCACATGTTAGGCAGTTGCAAAAAGCATGGCTGGAGAGGCCACGCTGGATTGCCCCTCTTACTTCGGTTCTCCAAATGCTCCTTCTTTTTAACACTCTCCTCTCAACAGTCCTCTCTACAAAACACTTTACTTAGAATACTCCGGTCACCGCCCTTTTCGGCTCCCTCAGTCCTCACTCTCCCGCCTCTCCAAAACTCTAATCCTTGAGTTCCTAATTTAGAACTCAGGTCTCCCTCCCCTGTAGCTTCTCGGCCGCTTTCAAGGTTCGAGTTCCCTCTCTTGGACTTCCCCTGTCATTTGTTTCCAAGCCCCGCCCTCAATCCCTCTCCTACGGCTCCACCTTCCTCCTCCCAGTTCATCCTCGATCCCTCCCGCTCACCCGGACCACCAGACTCCGGGATCCCTCCAAGAAGTGGCCGAAGGGAGGTAAAGCGCACGAACTCCACTCCGGTGCCAAAGGCCAGGATGAAAGAGGCGAGGGCAGCAGGGATCAGGAGCAGTGCAGGGGCCATGGCGAGAAATGGAGGGGTGGGGAAAGGGGCGGGGTCGGGATTCCCGCTGCCACAGGCCCCGCCCGCGGCCCCGCCCCCGGCTGAATCCAGCCCAGGAGGGCGGGGCTCCTGCACGCCACCGCCAGGCTTCCGGCCCGCCTGGCGCAGCCTTCCCCATCCAGCTGTGGATCCGTCCTGGGATGCGTGTCCCGGCCTGCTGTCTCTCCGTCACAGAAGGGAATGTTAGAATCCCGAGAGAGAGCTGTTAAGGGTAGCGGCTCTGCAGCCGCTCACGTGGGTTGAATCTCAGCTCGTCTAGTTTTCCCATCTAAAATGAAAAGTTACTGTTTTACCACAAAATAAATTAATGTATGGAATACATTGTACAGAATACAATATACAGAATAAATTCTGTAACTTACTATAAAGTTGAGTTGTTGACTGGCCAGTTGCTAAGAATGGCAAATAACTTCTCTGTAAATACTGAAAGGTTTGTTGTAATAGTGCCAGAGATTGTTGATTAGTAACCACGAGAATAAACATGTTAAAATATTTGTGATAGTAACCTTTGTCAGAATTAAAGATCATGCAGCTAAGGACCTTGTCACAGTAGACGTACACATAGTAGGGACCTTAGATATCATTAGACTAATTCCATCAACTTATAGATAGAAGAAACAGGTCCAGAGAGATAATTGCCTGAGTTAGGAAGCTGCTAATCCTGTAGGCTAAGGGACCAGATAATTGCTGAGCAGCCTCTCGCAGGCTTTACATTCCTTCTCCGTCTCCTGGGCTCAGTACTCCCACCCTCCTCTGAATCAATGCTGTTGTATGCTGTACCAGACATCTTATGTTTTCCCTTGAATTCAGTCTCCACCCTGCTTTCTGCTTCAGTAAGTTGTCCCAAATGGACGGTATCAATGAAAGTCACAGTTTTTATTGAGAAAGTCCTCTCGCCGGGCGCGGTGGCTCACGCCTGTAATCCCAGCAGTTTGGGAGGCCGAGGCGGGTGGATCACGAGGTCAGGAGATCGAGACCACGGTGAAACCCCGTCTCTACTAAAAATACAAAAAAAATTAGCCGGGCGCGGTGGCGGGCGCTTGTAGTCACAGCTGCTCAGGAGGCTGAGGCAGAAGAATGGCGTGAACCCGGGAGGCAGAGCTTGCAGTGAGCCGAGATCGCGCCACTGCACTCCAGCCTGGGCGACAGAGCAAGACTCCATCTCAAAAAAAAAAAAAAAAAAAAAGAAAAGAAAAAAAAAAAAAGAAAGTCCTCTCTACACGACTGCTCTGTCCTCATCTTTTTGAGCTTGGAGGTGATCACAACAGAGCTGTGGGTACTAAGGCACTGCACTATTCTTTCTGATTTCCCTACACCCTGCCTACTTCTTTGTAATTATCACTTTATTAAACTCTCCCCCAAATTATCCTAATTTCACTGTGCTATTCATTTCCTGCTAGGACCATGAATAGAGACACTTACCACACAAAGCAATGTGCTACAAGCTATGGGGTTCATTGGAAGTGTAAGAGGCCAGACTCGGTGGCTCACGCCTGTAATCCCAGCAATTCGGGAGGCTGAGGTGGGTGGATCACTTTAGACCAGAAGCTGGAGACCAGAATGGCCAACGTGGTGAAACCCCATTTCTACTAAAAAATTTTAAAAATTAGCTGGGTGTGGTGGTATGCGCCTGTAATCCCAGCTACTTGGGAGGCTGAGGCAGGAGAATCCACTGGGTGATGGAGCAAGATTCTGTCTCAAACAAAAAAATAAATAAATAAAATACAAGGAAGTGTAAGAAAAGATCCCTAATCTCTAGATGTTTAACCTGAGGCATTTAAATAGTACCACTCATGAAGAGGGAGTGTAGCTGAGTGCTACATGGTGCTCTACAGACAGCAGGTATGGTAAGAAATCAAGGTCTCTGGCTGGGCGCAGTGGCTCACAGCTGTAATCCCAGCACTTGGGAGGCCGAGGCAGTTGGATCATCTGAGGTCAGGAGTTTGAGACCAGCCTGGCCAACATGGTGAAACCTCGTCTCCACTTAAAAGACAAAAATTAGCCAGGTGTGGTGGCAGGAGCCTGTAATCCCAGCTTCTCGGGAGGCTGAGGCAGGAGAATCGCTTGAACCCGGGAGGTGGAGGTTGCGATAAGCTGAGATCTCGCCACTGGACTCCAGCCTGGGTGACAGAGTGAGACTCCGTCTCAAAAAAAAAAAAAAAGGAGCTGGGCGCGGTGGCTCATGCCTGTTATCCCAGCACTATGGGAGGCCTAGGTGGGTGGATCACGAGGTCAGGGGTTAGAGACCAGCCTGACCAACATGGCGAAACCCCGTCTCTACTAAAAATACAAAAATTAGCCGGGTGTGGTGGCACACACCTGTAGTCCCAACTACTTGGGAGGCTGAGGCAGGAGAATTGCTTGAACCTGGGAGGCGGAGGTTGCAGTAAGCCGAGATCGCGCCACTGCACTCCAGCCTGGGCAACAGAACAAGACTCCATCTCAACAACAACAACAAAAAAAAAAGGAGCCGGGTGCAGTGGCTCACGCCTGTAATCCCAGCACTTTGCGAGGCCAAGGTGGGTGGATCACCTGAGGTCGGGAGTTCGAGACCAGCCTGACCAACATGGAGAAACCCTGTCTCTACCAAAAATACAAAATTAGCTGGGCGTGGTGGTGCATGCCTGTAATCCCAGCTACTCAGAAAGCTGAGGCAGGAGAATCACTTGAACCCGAGAGGCGGAGGCTGCAGTGAGCCGAGATCACGCCATTGAACCCAGCCTGGGCAACAAGAGTGAAACTCTGTCTCAAAAAAAAAAAAAAAAAAATGGAAAGAAAGAAATCAGGGCCTCCGGGACATGGACAATTTTAGAGTATGAAAGCTTTGAGTTGTGCAAGGGGACTAATATTTATCTGGGTCATACTGTCTGCCACCCCCACAATGGCTGTGCTTAATGTATATTATGAGATTAGATATGTTTAATAGCCAGCAAAATGCTTGGCAAATCTCATGCTATTTCTACTACACCAAAGTTTTCCAAACTTAAGTATTACTTACATGCAGAAAAGTGTACATAAGTAATCAACTATTTTTTAAAAATTGAAATTCATGCAACATAAAATTAACCTTTTTTTTTTTTTGAGTTGCGGTCCAGGCTGGAGTGCAGTGGTATGATCACAGCTCACTGCAACCTCGAACTTCTGGGCAAATGGTCCTCTTGCCTCAGCCTCCTGAGTAGTTGGGACTACAGGCATGCGCCACCACATTCAGCTAACTTTTTATTTTTTGTAGTGATGGGGTCTCACTATGATACCCAGGTTGGTCTCAAACTCCTTGGCTCAAGTGATCCTGCTGCCTTAGCCTCCCAGGGTGCCACCATGCCTTGCCTAACCACTTTATTGTATTTATTTATTTATTTATTTTTGAGACAGAGTTTCGCTCTTATTGCCCAGGCTGGAGTGCAATGGCGCGATCTTGGCTCACTGCAACCTCCGCCTCTTGGGTTCATGTGATTCTCCTGCCTCAGCCTCCCAAGTAGCTGGGATTACAGGCGCCCACCACCACATCTGGCCAATTTTTGTATTTTTAATAGAGATAGGGTTTCACCATGTTGGCCAGGCTAGTCTCAATCAAACTCCTGACCTCAGGTGATCCACCCACCTTGGCCTCCCACAGTGCTGGGATTACAGGCGTGAGCCACCACACCCGGCCTAGCCTAACCACTTTAAAGAGAATAATATAATGGTATTTAGTACATTAGTATATTAGTAATAGGTACAACCACCACCTCTATCTAATTTCAAAACATTTTTTTTTTGAGATGGAGCTTTGCTCTTATTGCCCATGCTGGAGTGCAATGGCTGATCTCCGCTCACTGCAACCTCTGCCACCCAGGTTCAAGCAATTCTCCTGCTCAGCCTCCCAAGTAGCTGGGATTACAGGCATGTGCCACCACGCCTGGCTAATTTTGTATTTTTAGTAGTGACAGGGTTTCACCATGTTGGTCCAGCTAGTCTCGAACTCCTGACCTCAAGTGATCCACCTGCCCCAGCCTCCCAAAGTGCTGGGATTACAGGCATGAGCCACCACGCTGGGCCTTCAAAACATTTTCATCACCCCCAAATAAAACTCCATACCCATGAAGTTACTCCCCATTTTCTCATCTCCCCCACCCCACAGCCACTGGCAACCACAAATCTGCTCTTGTTCTCTATGGGTTTACCTATTCTGGATATTCCTTACATGTGTAATCACATAATATGTGTTCTGTTTCTGGCTTTCCTTCACTTAGCAAAATATTTTGATATTCATCCTCAAAATATTGTAGCATATATCAGTATTTCATCCTTTTCTATGGTTGAATAATATTTGATTATATGGATATATCACAATTGTTTATCCACTCATTTGCTGATGAATATTTGTGTTGTTTCCACCTTTTTGGCTATTGTAAAAAGTGCTGATATGAACACTCACGTACAAGAATTTGTTTGAATAACTGTTTTCTTTTCCTTTTTTTTTTTTTTTTTTGGAGACAGAGTCGTGCTCTGTTACCCAGGCTGGAATGTAGTTGCACAATCATGGCTCATTGCAGCCTTGACCTCCTCCCACCTCAGCATTCCAAGTAGCTGGGATTACAGGCATGTGCCACCACACCTGGCTAAATTTTTTTTTTTTTTTTGAGAGAGAGTCTTTCTCTGTCACCCAGGCTGGAGTGCAGTGGCATGATCTCAGCTCACTGCAACCTCTGCTTCCCGGGTTCACGTGATTCTGCAGCCTCAGCCTCCCCAGTAGCTGGGATTACAGCCACATGCCACCATGCCCAGCTAATTTTTTTATTATTATTATTATTATTTTTTGAGACAGAGTCTCCCTCTATAGCCAGGCTCGAGTGCAGTGGCATGATCTTGGCTCACTGCAAACTCTGACTCTCTGGTTCAAGTGATTCTTCTGCCTCAGCCTCACGAGTAGCTGGGACTACAGGCGCACGCCACCACGCCCAGCTAATTTTTGTATTTTTAGTAGAGAGGGGGTTTCACCATGTTGGACAGGATGGTCTTGATCTCCTGACCTCATGATCCACCCGCCTCAGCCTCCCAAAGTGTTGGGATTACAGGCGTGAGCCACCAGGCCCAGTTAATTTTTTTTTTTTTTTAGACGGAGTTTTGCTCTTGTTGCAACGGCATGATCTTGGCTCACCACAATCTCCACCTCCCAGGTTCAAGTGATTCTCCTGCCTCAGCCTCCGGAGTAGCTGGGATTACCGGCATGCACCACCACGCCCAGCTAATTTTGTATTTTTTAGTAGAGACGGGTTTCTCCATGTTGGTCAGGCTGGTATCGAACTCCTGACCTCAGGTGATCCAACCACCTTCGGCCTCCCAAAATGCTGGGATTACAGGCATGAGCCACCACACCCGGCTAATTTTTGTATTTTTTAGTAGAGATGGGGTTTTGCCATGTTGGCCAGGCTCGTCTTGAACTCCTGACCTCAGGTGATCTACCCACCTTGCCTCCCAAAGTGCTAGGATTATAGGCGTGAGCCACCGCACCTAGCCCATTTTTGTATTTTTTGTAGTGACAGGGTTTTGCCATGTTGCCCAGACTGGTTGCCCGTGAAGTCCTGGGCTCATGCAATCCTCCCACTTTGGCCTCCCAAACTGCTGGGATTATAGGCATAAGCCACCCCACCCAGCCTGGACACCTGATTTAAATTCTTTTGGGTGTACACCTAGGAGCAGAATTGCTGGACTGTTCGGTAATTCCGTATTTAACTTTCTTTTTTTTCCTCCAATTTGAGAGCAGGTACTGCTTAAGTGCTTAGATTAGAAAAACAATCACAGTAGACACCTTAGCTCATTCTTCTAATAAGTCTGTTGATCCGGTTCTCCCTGTTGCCAGCATGTCCACTTTCTACAAAATGGGTGGTCTTTTTCTTTACTCTACCTTGTGGAGAGGATAATTTGAAGGGCTACAGGAAGTTATTTGCTTCTTTGAAGCATTTTCCAACAGTATAGATCTCAAGAATCAGATCCTCCATGCAGGTGATGCCATATTTACCAAGAGATAAAGCAATCAAAGTGTCATCTGTCAAAGCAATTTGCTTCTTATTGATTTTTGCCATAACCATGCTGGTAGATTAGTTCATTTACTGACTTCAGCTTTGGGTACCCCCATGCCATATATGGTTCTACAATCCTCAGCATGTTCATTGAAGCCTTGTTGAGCTTCACAAAGGTTCCACTGAAGATTTAACAAAGGCGAAGAAGCTGCAACACCTTTCGGACCTTTGGGTTCACACCACTGATACCTCTGATCCTGATGACAAACGGCAATTTGGGTTTTGCAGGTACATAGAAGTTGCCAGCTTTTCTGGCCATCCTAGCCATTCGAATTTCAGTTCTGTACATCTGCCTATATTCCTTGTGATAGTGCTTCACTTTTTCATAGATAAGCTTCCTCCTTGCCTTTTGAATCATCTTTTGGGCAAATTTCTTTCTCGGGCCTTTGATCTTCAGCTCTGGGAAATTCCTTCGCTTTTTAAGGGTTTCTGGCATAGCAAGAACCTCCTTCTTTTTCTCTCTCTTTTTTTTTTTAAGACGGGGTCTTGCTCTGTCTCCCATGCTGGAGTGCAATGGTGCGATCTCGACTCAATGCAACCTCCCCCTCCTGCATTCAAGCAATTCTCCTGCCTCAGCCTCCTGAGTAGCTGGGATCACAGGGGCTGGCCACCATGCCCGGCTAATTTTGTTTTGAATTTTTAGTAGAGACGGGGTTTTGTCATGTTGGCCAGCCTGGTCTTGAACTCCTGACCTCAGGTGACCTGCCCACCTCGGCCTCCCAAAGTGTTGGGATTACAGGTGTGAGCCACTGCACCCCGGCCCTCTCCTTCTTATCTACAACACTCTACATGAGGGTTCCAGCCAGAAAAGAGGCTACTTTTTTTTTTTTGTTTTTTTTTTGAGAGGGAGTCTCGCTCTGTCGCCAGGCTGGAGTACAGTGGAGCAGTCTTGGCTCACTGCAACCTCCACCTCCCGGGTTCAAGCGATTCTCCTGCCTCAGCCTCCCGAGTAGCTAGGACTACAGGCGCCTGCCACCACGCCTAGCTAATTTTTTGTATTTTTAGTAGAGACGGGGTTTCTCCATGTTAGCCAGGATGGTCTCAATCTCCTGATCTTGTGATCTGCCCACCTTGGCCTCCCAAAGTGCTAGGATTACAGGGGTGAGCCACCACGCCTGGCCTTTTTTTTTTTAGATGGAGTCTTGTTCTGTTGCCCAGGCTGGAGTGCAGTGGCACGATCTCAGCTCACTGCAACCTCCACTTCCCGGGTTCCAGCAATTCTTCTGCCTCAGCCTCCCAAGTAGCTGGGATTGCAGGCACATGCCACCACGCCCGGCTAATTTTTGTATTTTAAGTAGAGACGGGATTTCACCATGTTGGCCAGGCTGGTCTCTAACTCCTGACCTCAGGTGATCCACCTGTCTTGACTTCCCAAAGTGCTGGGATTACAGGCATGAGCTGCCGTGACTGGCCTTTTATTTTTTTGAGACAAGGTCTCACTCTGTTGCCCAGGCTGAAGTGCAGTGGCTCGTGTCCACCCACTGCAGCCTTGACCTCCTGGGCTCAAACGATTTTCCTCTTAGCCTCCCAAGTAGCTGGGACCATAGGTGTGTGCCACCATGCCCAGTGAATTTTTGTATTTTTGGTAGAGACGAGGTTTTGTCATGTTGCCCGGCTGGCCGTGAACTTCTGAGCTCAAGTGATCTGCCAGCCTTGGCCTCCAAAGTGCTGGGATTACATGTGTGAGCCACTGTGCCCATCCATATGTTTAACTTTTTGAGGAACCATCAAACTGTTTACCACAGAGGCTGAACCATTTAACATTCCTACCAGCAATGTATAAGGATTCTAATTTCTCCACATCCTTGTAATCAACCAACTTTTAAAATTTAAATCTGGCTGGGCACGGTGGCTCAAGCCTGTAATCCCAGCACTTTTGGAGGCTGAGGTGGGTGGCTCACTTGAGGTCACGAGTTAGAGACCAGCTTGGGCAACATGACAAAACCTCGTCTCTACCAAAAATACAAAATTCATCGGGCATGGTTGCACACACCTATGGTCCCAGCTACTTGGGAGGCTGAGAGGAAAATCGTTTGAGCCCAGGAGGTCAAGGCTGCAGTAAGCCGACATCGAGCCACTGCACTTCAGCCTGGGCAACAGAGTGACACCTTGACTCAAAAAGATAAAAGGCCAGTCATGGCGGCTCATGCCTGTTATCCCAGCACTTTGGGAAGTCAAGACAGGTGGATCACCTGAGGTCAGGAGTTCGAGACCAGCATGGCCAACATGGTGAAACCCCGTCTCTACTACAAATACAAAAATTAGCCGGGTGTGGTGGCATGTGCCTGTAATCCCAGCTACTCGGGAGGCTGAGGTGGGTGGATCACTTGAGGTCAGAAGTTAGAGACCAGCCTGGGCAACATGACAAAACCTCATCTCTACCAAAAATACAAAAATTTAGTAGAGCCCCGTCTCTACTAAACAATAAAAAAAAGAAAATTAGCCAGGCATGGTGGTGTGTGCCTGCAGTCCTAGCTACTCAGGAGGCTGAGGTGGGACTATTGCTTGAACTGGGAGGTGGAGGTTGCAGTGAGCCAAGATGGTGCCACTGCACTCCAGCCTAGGTGACAGAGATGAGACCCTGTCTCAAGAAAAAAAAAAAAATCTTAAGAAATGTCATACAAATTGTCCTAAATAGAAGATAATGATGAATTAAATACAAGTCTATGACTTTTTTTTTTTTAAGTTTGTGTCTTGAGACCTAGACATTTTAAAAAACTACACTACACCATAAGGCACAGAGTGAATATTTATTTATCACAGAGGTCAAGCCGAAGCTCTAATTTTATAAATCCTGGAAAAGCTGGCCAGAAAAGTACAGAGACTTGCCCAAAGTCAAAGCTAAAGATGCTTCCAGAGGCCAGGAGAGAAGAAAATGTTTTAGTAGCACTCCATAACTGGACCCTCAAATCTACTCACTCCAAGCATCCCTTCAAGTTCCTGACCCCAAAGTAAGAATCTCAGTAAGAAAAAAATAGAGATGGTTTCCAAATAGGAGGTAGGACACCATGAGTGGCATCGAGCAATAACTGCAACAGTCTGGCTAAAGATAGCTGCCACTTATGACATCTGAGCATGAAACTAGCTAATTTTAAAATGGCCATTTAATACATGCATGTAAGAAATCTTGTATCCCCTAAATCTATACAAATAAAAAACTATAAATACAAATAAAATAAAATGGCCATTAAAAAAACAAACAAACAAACAAAAAACAACCTGTGGCTTCCAAATCCCTTATCTTTTCATTTATTCATAAAGATTTCTGGTCCCACCCATGTTCCAGGACAAGTTGTATCAATATACCCCAATCCTTTCTAACGCCCTGAGTTCTTTCTTCCACATATCTTCTAATTCGTGGTCTGGGAGGGAAAAGGGTAGTGGAGTTCTCAGGTGGATGACATCTCCAAAGGGGAGAGGACAAAGGCCTCTGGCTTGGCTTCCTGCTTCAGCACTCCAGTCAGCAGGAACTCAGGCGAGAGGAGGGGCAGCCCAACCCGTAGTGGAATGGAGCAATGAGGGAAGTCCTGAGGGCATGTGATCACAACTCTCTGAGGCTGGGGAAGACAGAGCAAAGGCAAAATCAGGTGAAAAAGAATCCTAGAAATGGGTTCAGGACCCACTAACCAGTCTTACCATCACTAAAATAATACCTCCTAATATGAAGCCAAGTGAAGCACACCGCATACTGTCTATGAAATACTCTTGCTAGGCCGGGCGCAGTGGCTCATGCCTGTAATTACACAGCACTTTGGGAGGCTGAGGCGGGTGGATCACGAGGTCAGGAGATCAAGACCACGGTGAAACCCTGTCTCTACTAAAAATACAAAAAAAAAAAAAAAAAAAAATTAGCCGGGCGCGCTGACGGGTGCCTGTCGTCCCAGCTACTCGGGAGGCTGGGGCAGGAGAATGGCGTGAAAACCCAGGAGGCGGAGCTTGCAGTGAGCCGAGATCGCGCCACTGCACTCCAGCCTGGGCTACAGAGCAAGACTCCATCTCAAAAGAAAAAAAAAAAGAAAAAAAAAAAAGAAATACTCTTGCTAGAGGCCAGGCACAGTGGCTCACGCCTATAATCCCAGCACTTTGGGAGGCCGAGGTGGGTGGATCACGAGGTCAAGAGATCGAGACCATCCTGGCCAACATGGTGAAACCCCGTCTTTAGTAAAAATAAAAAAATTAGCTGGGCGTGGTGGTGTGCGCCTGTAGTCCCAGCTACTCGGGAGGTTGAGGCAGGAGAACAGCTTGAACCCGGGAGATGGAGGTTGCAGTGAGCCAAGACTGCTCCACTGTACTCCAGCCTGGCGACAGAGTGAGACTCTCTCAAAAAAAAAAAATACTTTTGCTAGAAAGATGAACCTGAATTTATTCAAGCTTTTACAATTATCTGCAATTTCCAGGAAATATGGAGTACAGAGGAACAAGATAAATTATATGACAAGGAGGCAAACCCAAAATTCCAGACTGAGGAACATTCTAAAGGACAAGTGACCCAGCTTCTGCAGGAAATAGATGGCATAAAAAAAGCTGGGTGGGTTAAGGGATGCTCTAGAGTAAAGATAATTAAGAAGATAATAGGTGTGGCAGTATGTGGACCTTATTTGAATCCTGATTTGAACAACTGTATAGAGACATTTTTCAGACAATGGGAGAAATTTTATTAATGGAGTGTGAGCAAATGACCAATAAACTACTGTTAATTTTGCTTAGGATCAATAATGGCATTGTGATTATGAAATAAAATGTACGTATTTCTTAGAGATATATATTTAAGTATGTAGGAAGAAATAATATAATATTGGCAGTTTGCTTTAAAATATTTCAGCAAAGAAAGAGAAAGGAAAAAAAGAAAGAATAAAGAAAAATAAAAAGAAATGAAATACTTCAGCAAAGAAAATCAAAGGAAAAAGCCGGGCGCGGTGGCTCACGCCTGTAATCCCAGCACTTTGAGAGGCCGAGGCGGGCAGATCATGACCTCAGGAGATCAAGACCATCCTGGCTAACACAGTGAAACCCCATCTCTACTAAAAATACAAAAGAATTAGCCGGGCGTGGTGGCGGGCACCTGTAGTCCCAGCTACTCGGGAGGCTGAGGCAGGAGAATGGTGTGAACCCAGGAGGCGGAGATTGTAGTGAGCCGAGATTGTGCCACTGCACTCCAGCCTGAGAGTGAGACTCCATCTCAAAAAAAAAAAAAAAAAAAAAAAAAGAAAATCAAAGGAAAAAAGGGATAGATGGAGCAAATGTAGCATAATCTAAATTAAGCTGCTGCTGAATCTCGGTGATTGTTATATGGGGGTATCAGCAGATCTGTCCCCTCATTCCTATCCCTTTCTATACCATAGGTCTTTTCCCCCACCCTCTCACTACTTTATATTCCTTTCTGAACCTCCATTTTTTTCCCTCCAATCTTTGCCATTCCAGCCACCTCTTTAACTGCCACTGCCACCTCACCCAGACCCAGAACATCCTAAGCATACCTTATAGGACCGAGGCATGCTGGGTAGGTATGTGCCTCCACAGCAGCTAATAATCTCTCCCATCTGAGGTGGTGGTGGCTGGACTCCAGGGGTCACATAGATCTCATAGCCCTAAGAGAAAGAAATGATGGAGATGGTATTGTAGATTGGGAAGCACTGGAGGGAGGGCTGAAGCACAGGTTAAAAGATAGCCTCTCACCTCTAGCAGCCTTCGCTCCCGAGCCCTGCTCAGTGCGTCTTGAAGGCTAAAGCCAAAGTTCTTCTCTTGCTCAGGGTCGGTCACCACATATTCATCCGGGGGTAAGAAGAAACCAGCCTTGCGGGACTAAGGACGGCAGCAGTCAGCATCAAAGCTCAGCCCAGCCCCTCAATCAGCTCTGCTGCCTAGCATTTAGAGAGAGCTCACAAAATGTCTTTTAAATCAATGCAGGCTTCTGGCTCACCAATGCCCCTGTCTTCCTGTAACGCCTCTTCCCTTCCACCACTTTCTAGGGCACTATATGAGCAGTCTTGCCACTATATCGGTCTGTCATCATCCCTTGGCCTCTCACCTGATGCAGCCAGTCCAGGGACAGAATGGGGATTCCCCGCCCCAGGGCACACAGGAACTTGACTGTCCGGCGGATGCGATCAGTGACCAGGTGGGAAGCCTCTGCCGCTGAACCAGCCAGACTTCCCCCCAGTGCCAGCACAGCCCGCTCTCCCCGAGCATCCACCACTCCTGTGAAGAGCACCTGTGGAAGGGTTGACCTGAGGTGGTTACGGCAACCCATGCCATCAGCACCCATCTCTACAATCCTCTAGGTCTCCTTGCATCCTCCCCTCATCTCTGTCTCCCACAAAGTCCCATGCCTTTGTCTCTTACTTTGGGGGCTGTTGATTCTTGGTTAAGTTTGGTCCGTCGGAGGCTGCGGCTTGGTATTCTGTTGGGCTCCTCCTCTGCCTGGTCTCTCTTTCTCTTGCCTGGTTTTGGAGTCACGACATCCTGAGATTGAGAAAAATCTTGGTGGGAGTTTCAGAGCCCTGAAGTCATTTTTCCCAGCTTTGTGGTCCCAACCCTCTCCTCACCTCTTCCTTCCCTGGCTTCTCTGCAGTATCTTCTTCCTCTTCCTTGATAATCACTGTCTTCTGGGAGACTTCCCCTCTTTGGGGCTGTTTTTGATGTGGTGGTGAATCCATGGTAGCTAAAGACCTCTTGCGGCTTTGAGAGGCCTTAGGCTGGAGCTCCGGGGTGAACCTAGATCTACCTGCTGGTTCCACCTTTTGGATCTGGGAGGCATGAATTGGTGTCTCAAGAAGCTGGGGAGAGGCAGGCTCAGGAATGGCTGTAAGGGATTCAGCTGCTCTCACTGCTCCCCATCTTTGGTTCCTTGAGGCCTGGGATTTAGGTTCCAAGGGTGCAGAGCAAGGCTTATGGTCAATGGGAGCTGCGAGGGAGCCAGGGTTCCCAGCGGCTCTCTGCCTCTTGATGCAACTGGGTTGAGTAATAGGCTCAGGGGAAATAGGCTGGTCTGTGGTGACAGGAGATTGGAATTCAGGGGTGGTAGGAACCGGCATAGCTCTTACTGTGGAAGACCTCAGTGTTTTGCTCTGACCACCCTGAGCTATGGCCTCAGGGGTGACGGACTGGTCTGTGGGGGTAAAAGGCTCAAGATCAGAGGCTGCTGGTTCAACTGGTTTGGGAGTCTTGACAGAGGACCTATTTGTCTTTCTCCTAGTGGCCCTAGATGTGAGCTTGGGGGTGACAGGCTGGTCTGTGGAGGTGGTAGGATGGGGCTCAGGGGCTGTGGGGACAACTGGCTCAGGGGTCTTGACAGAGGACCTATTTGTCCTGCACCTAGTGGCCCGAGATGTGGGCTCAGGGGTGACAAGCTGGTTTCTGGAGGTGGAAGGCTGAAGCTCAGGGGCTATAGGGACAATTGATTCAGGGGTCTTGACAGAGGACCTATTTGTCCTGCCCCTAGTGGCCCGAGATGTGGGCTCAGGGGTGACAGGTTGGTCTGTGGAGGTGGAAGGCTGGAGCTCAGGGGCTGCGGGCACAACTGTTTCAGGGGTCTTGACAGAGGACCGATTTTTTCTTCCCCTAGTGGTCCGAGATGTGGGCTCAGAGGTGACAGGCTGGTCTGTGGAGGCGGAAGCCTGTAGCTCAGGGGCTGTGGGGACAACTGTTTCAGGAGTCTTGACAGAGGATCTATCTGTTCTTCCCCTAGTAGCCTGAGACGTAGGCTCAGGGGTAACAGGCTGGTCTGTGGAGGTGGAAGGCTGGAGCTCAGGGGCTGTGGGGACAACTGTTTCAGGGGTCTTCACAGAGGACCTATTTGTCCTGCCCCTGGTGGCCTGAGATGTGGGCTCAGGAGTGACAGGTTGGTCTGTGGAAGTGGAAGGCTCGAGCTTAGGGGCTGTGGGGACAAGTGTTTCAGGGGTCTTGCCAGAGGATCTATTTTTTCTTCCCCTAGTAGCCCGAGATGTGGGCTCAGGGGTGACAGGCTGCTCTGTGGAGGTGGAAGGTGGGAGCTCAGGGGCTATAGGGACAGTTGATTCAGGGTTCTTCACAGAGGACATATTTGTCCTGCTCCTAGTGGTCCGAGATGTGGGCTTAGGGGTGACAGGTTGGTCTGTGGAGGTGGAAATCTGGAGCTCAGGGGCTGTGGGGACAACTGTTTCAGGGGTCTTGACAGAGGACATATTTGTCCTGCTCCTAGTGGTCCGAGATGTGGGCTTGGGGGTGACAGGTCGGTCTGTGGAGGTGGAAGGCCGGAGCTCAGGGGCTGTGGGCACAACTGGTTCAGGGGTCTTGACAGAGGATCTATTTTTTCTTCCCCTAGTAGCCTGATATGTGGGCTCAGAAGTGACAGGCTGGTCTGTGGAGGTGGAAGGCTGGAGCTCAGGGGCTGTGGGGACAACTGGTTCAGGGGTCTTGACAGAGGATCTATTTTTTCTTCCCCTAGTAGCCTGAGAGGTGGGTTCAGAGGTGACAGGTCGGTCGGTGGAGGTGGAAGGCTGGAGCTCAAGGGCTGTGGGCACAACTGTTTCAGGGGTCTTGACAGAGGATCTACTTTTTCTTCCCCTAGTAACCTGAGATGTGGGCTCAGAGGTGACAGGCTGGTCTGTGGAGGTGGAAGGCTGGAGCTCAGGGGCTGTGGGGACAACTGGTTCAGGGGTCTTGACAGAGGACCTATTTGTCCTGCTCCTAGTGGCCTGAGATGTGGGCTTGGGAGTGACTGGCTGGGCTGTGGAGGTGGAAGGGTGGGGCTCAGGGGCAGCAGAGGTAGCTGGAAAGGGTGTCATTCTGGAGGACTTCCGAGTTCTAATTTTAGGCTTTGGGTGGAAAGGCTCCAGCTCTGAGGACAAGGGAGCCTCTGGAGCTTCCTGACTCCCATCTTGCCTGGTCTTACGAACGGTTGGCTTGATAGAAGGTAAAAGGGGAGAAAGAAGGGGCGGAGGTGCAAGATGTTTCTGGCTCTGAGAGTTAAGGGGCTTTTGGGGTGGGGCTGGGGCTTCAGGTACTGTAGGAGGCAGACAAGCATCTGGAGATTCCTGATCGCCCTAGGGAGAAACAGAAGCAAGTGAGGGGGAGGAGGTGGAGAAAAGAGATAGAACTTGGATACTGTTCTTGATACTTGTTTATGGTTAGATAGGCTTACCAGATTTCCACCGGGCGTGGTGGCTCACGGCTATAATCCCAGCACTTTGGGAGGCCGAGGCGGGCGGATCACGAGGTCAGGAGTTCAAGACCAGCCTGGCCAACATAGTGAAACCCCGTCTCTACTAAAAATACAAAAAAAAAGGCCAGGCATGGTGGCTGATGCCTGTAATCCCAGCACTTTGGGAGGCCGAGGCGGGTGGATCACAAGGTCAGGAAACCGAGACCATCCTGGCTAACACGGTGAAACCCCGTCTCTACTAAAAAATACAAAAAATTAGCCGGGCGTGGTGGCGGGCGCCTGTAGTCCCAGCTACTTGGAAGGCTGAGGCAGGAGAATGGCGTGAACTCGGGAGGCGGAGCTTGCAGTGAGCCGAGATGGTGCCACTGCACTCCAGCCTGGGGGACAGAGCAAGACTCTGTCTAAAAAAAAAAAAAAAAAAAAAAAAAATTAGCTAGGTGTGTTGGCAGGCGCCTAGTAGTCCCAGCTACCTGGGAGGCTGAGGGAGGAGAGTCGCTTGAACCCGGGAGGCAGAGGTTGCAGTGAGCCAAGATCGCGCCACTGCACTCCAGCCTGGGTGACAGAGTGAGACTGTCTCAAAAAAAACAAAAAAATACACAAAAATTAGCCGGGTGACATGCGCCTGTAGTCCCAGCTACTTGGGAGGCTGCGGCAGGAAAATTGTTTGAACCCAAGAGACGGAGGTTACAGTAAGCTGAGATCACGCCACTGCACACTCCAGCCTGGGTGACAGAGACAGACTCTGTCTCAAAAAAGAACAAAAACAAAAAATATGCTCACTGGATTTTCCTTTCTGTCTATGATCTCTCCTCCATTAGACTGGGATCTACCTGGGAAGCTACCTTTTTCCCACAGACCTGTCTCCATAATGCTACTATAGTGTTCTCCACACGTGGATGATGGTAAGGAAAAGGATGGCTGGGGCAAAGAAAGAAGAAACACGAAGGGTCTTTCTTTTGAGTCAGGTAGGAGATACAACTTAGGAAACAGATATGGAAAACAACGGGTGCCGAGGATAAAGGAATAGAAGCCAATCAAGGCGTGACAAAAATGGAAGAAAACTGAATAATGAGAAAGGAATAGATTAAAGTGAGGCTAGGTGAAAGAGCATTGGAGAAGATATAGAGATGACTTGTGGAATAGGAGGTAGAAAAAGTAGCTCTCACCCTGGAAACCTTCTCAGCAGCTCTGATCCTGGAAGCCTTCTCAGCAGGTGGCATCTTGCAATTCAGGAGGCCTAGACAGAAAGTAAACACAAAGGTGGCTGAGTTCCAAGCAGCTGGTTGCCCAGGGGTTGATTATCACGAGGCCTGTGTATCACCTTGGGTTCCCCTCTGCCTTCACTTACCTTTCTGATGCCTCCTGGGGCTCACTGGGGATCCCCTTCCACCTGACTGGCTCCCAGAAGGTACGGGGGCTGAGGTAGGTCCCGGAAGGTCCCCCGCCCCCACCCCAGGCTCTGGTGTTGGGCTGGAGGCCTGCCCTTTCTGGTCCTGGCTCCCTCCCTCTGGCTCCCCTCTCTGTGTATCTCTCTCCAGGATCACTTTGGGCACCTTCTCTTCTAACTCGGCTGGATCGCACTCTCTGTTTGCTACTGGTCTCTCTACTTCTCTCTCAAATGCTTTGCTTGGAAGGGTCTGCTTCTGTACTTGTTTCTCTTGTATTTCCTCAGATGTCTCAATTTCTACCTTCAAACTCTCCCTATCTCTTTCAGGACTTGCACTTTCCCCATTTTTGTCAGATTCTTGTCTCTGGGTGTCTCTAGCTAACAACTGTTTTTGTTCTCTGTCCTGTTTCCCCTTGGTTAATTCTTCCTCTCCTGTCACATCTGTCTGTCTTTCTGGTAGCAGTTTCTCAGTTTCTCTCTCCAATGGCCCTCTCTCAGGGCCCACCCTCTCTGCTGTTTCTTTTGGTATACCCATGACTTTATCCACAGTCTGCCTCCCTCTGCCTTGAATCCCCATTGGCTCTGTGTGAACTGGGCTCTCTGGATGTTGGTCTCCTGGTATTGCCCTAGGTGGAGACAGGCAAGGTCCATAGGCCTCAAGGTGCGTGTCAAAAGGCTGGGTCTCAGAGTCCTCAGACTCTCTCAGACAGAATGGCTGTGTAGCCAGGACCTCCCATGGTTCATCTAGGGTACCTGGAAGGGGAGGAAGGAAGAGAGAGAGAGGGAGAGGGAGAGAAAAGAGGGAGAGGAAGAGGGAAAGGGAAGTACAGGTTGACATAATAAATATGATGAGAAAGGATTTAGATAAACTCATGAATAATAAATCTGAACAGGTTATTAAAGGTAAGCTGGGAATAAGGGTGGTAGTTATAACATTTAACGTTTGTCTCAAAAAGGTCATAGCCTTAGGCGGGCATGGTGGCTCAGACATGTAATCCCAGGACTTTGGGAGGCCAAGACATGAGGATTGCTTGAGGCCAGGAGTTTGAGACTAGCCTGGACAACATGGCAAAACCCCATCTCTACAAAAAATACAAAAAAATTAGGTGTGGGGACGGGGACCTGTAGTCCTGTAGTCTCAGCTACCCGGGAGGCTGAGGTAGGAGAACTACTTGAACCCCAAAGGTCAAGACTGTAGTGAGCTGTGATCATACCACTGCACTTCAGCCTGAGTGACAGAGACTCTGTCTCAAAAAAAAAAAAAAAAAAAAACCCAAGAGAAAAAGAAAAACATCATAGCCTAATATGAGTTCCCTGAATAGTCTCTCATCATACCACTGCATTCCAGCCTGAGTGACAGAGACCCTGTCTCAAAAAAAGAAAGAAAGAAAGAAAGAAAGAAAAACATCATAGCCTAATAAGAGAGTTCCCTGAATAGTCTCTCTCTCTCAAGACAGTTTCACTCTGTCACCCAGGCTGGAGTGCAGTGGCATGATGTTGGCTCACTGCAACTCCCAACTGCTGGGCTCAGGAGATCCTCCCACCTCAGCCTCCCAAGTAGCTGGGACTACGGCATGTGCCAAAGTGCCCGGCTAATTTTTTGTATTTGTTGTAGAGATGGGGTTTGGTCTTGAACTCTTAGACTCAAGTGATCCACCCACATTGGTCTCCCAAAGTGCTGGGATTACAGGTGTGAGCCACCATGCTTGGCTGGAATTTCCTTCTTTTTAAAGGCTGAATAGTATTCCACTGTGTATATATACCACATTTTCTTTTTTCTTCATTGACACATAATAATTGTACATATTTATGGGGTACCTGTGCTATTTTGACTCATGCATACAATGTACAATGATAAAACCAAGATAATTGGGATATCCACTATCTCAAACATTTATCATTTCTTTGTCTTGGAAACATATCAAATCTCTTCTAGCTATTTTGAAATACACAATAAATTATTAACTATAGTAACACTACTGTGGAACTGAACACTAGAACTTATTCATTCAATCTGACTGGATTTTTGTATTCATTAACCAACCTCTTTATGCATTCTGTCCCTCTACCCTTCCTAGCCTTTGGTAACCACCATTCTACTCTCTACTTCCATGAGATCCATGTTTTTAGCTCCCACATGAGTGAGCATACAATATTTGCCTTTCTGTGCTGACTTATTTCACTTAACATAATGTCCTCAGGGTTCATCCATGTTGCTGCAGATGACAGGATTTCATTCTCTTCTGTTGCTGAATACTGTTCCACTGTGTATATATACACATTTTCTTTTTTTTTTAGATTGAGTCTTGCTCTGTCACCCAGTTTGGAGTGCAGTGGCATGACCTCAGCTCACTGCAACCTCTGCGTCTTAGGCAGCAATCCTCCCATCTTAGCCTCCCGAGTAGCTAAGACTACAGGTGCATGCCACCATGCCCAGCTAAATTTTGTATTTTGAGCCACTGCACCCAGCCTATATACACATTTTCTTTTTTTTTATTATTAGAGATGAAGTCTCACTCTGTTGCCCATGTTGGAGTGCAGTGGTGTGACCTTGGCTCACTGCAACCTCTGCCTCCGGGGTTCAAATGAGTCTCCTGCTTCAGTCTCCCGAGTAGCTGGGACTACAGGCACCTGCCACCATGCCCAGCTAATTTTTGTATTTTTAGTAGAGACAGGGTTTCACCATGTTGGCCAGGCTGGTCTCAAACTCCTGACCTCATGTGATCCACCCACTTCGGCTTCCCAAAGTGCTGGGATTACAGGCATGAGGCACTGTGCCCGGCCTACATTTTCTTTTCTTTCGTTTTTTTGAGACAGAGTTTCACTCTTGTTGCCCAGGCCAGAGTGCGATGGCACAATCTCAGCTCACTGCAACCTCTGCCTCCTGGGTTCAAGGGATTCTCCTGACTCAGTCTCCTGAGTAGCTGGGATTACAGGCATGCACCACCACACCCGGCTAATTTTGTATTTTTAGTAGAGACGGGGTTTCTCCATGTTGGTCAGGCTGGTCTCAAGCTCCCGATCTCAGGTGATCTGCCTGCCTTGGCCTCCCAAAGTGTTGGGATTAGAGGTGTGAGCCACTGTGCCCGACCCCGGCCTACATTTTCTTTATCCATTCATCTGTTGATGGACATTTAGTTTGATTTCATATCTGCCTATTGTGAACAGTGCTGCAATAGTGTGTGTGTGTTTTTTTTAAGAGACATTGGGGGTGGGGGTTGAGGGATGGGCTATTGCCCAGACTGGGCTCAACTGATCTTCCCATCCTGGCCTCCCATGTAACTGGGACTACAGGTGCTCACTACTATGCTGGGCTAATTTTTTCATTTTTGTGGAGACCAGGTCTCTCTCTGTTGCCCAGGCCAGTCCCTAAATATTTTCAACCTGCAGCTGGTTGAATTCACGGACGCAAACTCGCATACACAGAGGGCTCACTGTAATCAGAGTATGAAAGAAACATGTAGGAAGGCAAATCAAGAAAGAACGCAGGCCGGGCGCAGTGGCTTACGCCTGCAATTCCAGCATTTTGGGAGGCCGAGGCAGGCGGATCACTTGAGGTCGGGAGTTTGTGACCAGCCTGGCCAACATGGTGAAACCCTGTCTCTACTAAACATACAAAAAATTAGCCAGGCATGGTCATGGACAGCTGTAATCCCAGCTACCTGGGAAGCTGAAGGAAGAGAAACCGCCTGGGAGGCGGAGGTTACAGTGAGCCGAGACTGCACCACTGTAATCCAGCCTGAGTGACAGAGGAAAAAAAAGAGAATGCAGAATTGGGGACACAGAGGAGGGAAGAGTTTCTTATACCTGTTGTCTGGAAGCTGCAATGGGAAGGGCCAAGCTCTTGGGGTGGAGTCAACATGAAGGCCTGGGTAGGTTCATCCTCCATGCTCTGGACTGCTGTACAGGAAAAGATGGCCTAAGTTCATCTCCTCCATACTACTGTAGGGTTCCATTCCTGGTCTCCTACCCTACCCATACTAGCCTTTACCCTTCAAGGACCACCAGTCTAATCTCCCAGCTCCCACTGGTACAGGATTCAAATAACACAGAAGTCCTCACCTTCCAGGCCCTGATTCTCCAGAAAGCACTGGGTAGCTTGTAGGTCCAGATCTTCAGAATCTGGTCGGGGAGGAATATAAGACAGTTTAAAACAAAAATCATACCTGACACTAAACTCCTTAAATAATCTCTACCTTTCTCTCCCCAACCCCAGCTGTTAGAACCCTGGTTGATTTCAGAGGTCTAGGAAGGAAGGCCAGCACTTACCACCATAGTTGTCTTCAGAGTCCTTGGTCCCACCCACATGTTGTTCTCTCTCCCTTCCTGTGGGGACCTGGGCTCCCTCTCTCTGTGGCTGGGTGGATTCCCCTAGAGTGTCTGTGTCCACCACCAGATCTGTGAGGTTCTCTCTTGAGATAGGGAGGTCCTGCTCCACTTGTGCCACAGGTGGCCCACCCTGGGCCCCCACCTCATGAGCTCTCTCCTGCTTAAGAACAGCTGCAGCCCACTCTGCCCCAGCATCCCCTTCTGCTGGAAGCTGGCTCTTTCTTACATCTGCAACTACTGAGGCTGTTAGGGAGGTGCCCTCCTCTGCATCTGTTTCACAGTCCCCATGCAGAGGCCAGGCTTCCTCTAGAGATACCACAAGCAGCTTTGCTGGTCCCCCAACTGCTTTCACATCTGTTTGATTTGTCCCCTCCACAGACACCTGATGCTTCTTTATATGTATAATGGCTGACCCTGGCGGGACTTCCTTCTCCACTTGTGTGTTGATGTCCACTGTGGTGGAGGCTTGGCTTCTCTCCAGGTGGATCCCAGGTGAGCTCTTATCTGCTTCCACACTGTCATCACTGTCCCCAAAAGGAGGTTGGTCCTTTTCTGAATGTGCTCTAACAAGGGCTCTAATCTTTGTGTGATCCTTGAGGACAGCTTCTCTATTTTCCACTGGGAGCTCTTCCTCCTCCACGTCTGTGTCACTGTCTCTCTCAGTGGTGGTTTGGCTTCGCTGCAGAAGGACCACACGTTGGGGCATGTCCTCTTCTGCATCTCTGTTCCATATAGCAGGCTGGCTCTCTTTCAGATGTGCCAAAGTCAGCGCTGCTGAGACTTCTTCCTCGTCATCTGTATCGCTGTTGATAACCATGGAAGCTTGGCTTTTCTCCAGAGGGACAGCCTGTGGGGCCTTGCCTTCTTCCACATCTGTATCACTACCAGCCTGGCTCTCCTGCAGATGGGCCAGGCCTGGTGCTCCAGGACCCCTTGTACCTACTCCATGGAAGATCTTCCTCTTCTTCATAGGAATGACAACTGGGGTTGCTGGGATCCTCTCTTCTTCCGCATCAGTGTCGCTGTCGATGAAGCCAAAAGGCTGAGCCCTTTCCAAATGGACCTCAGCTGGCCTTCCAGGAGGCCTGCTGTCATCATCCACATCTGTGTCACTGTCCTCTCCAGGAGGTTGGCTCCTCTCCAGAATCACCCCAGCTGGAACCACCCCATTCCCTGCACCCCTCTTGACTTTTGTATCATTGTCCCTCTCCTTCACTAAAGGCTGATCCTTTTCAAGCTGGATTTCAGTTACAACTTCAGCTTCAGACTGCTTTGCCTCTACAGTGGCACCTCTTCTGGCAGCTGAGGAGGCCTCCTCTGTGGCTGGTTGCTGACCTTCTTCCACATCTGTGTCACTGTTCAAATTGAAGGCAAAAGGCGGCCCAAGGCCGCCCAGGACCGGGGAATGCCCCTCTTCATCACTGTGAAGGGAAGAAAAGAGAGTCTATAGAATTTATTTCCCTGGAAGGGATACCCCAACTCAACTGTGAGCTCCTTGAGGGGAGACACAAGGTAGCATATTTCTTCTTCTGTTTCCAATTTGTTTTCCACTTGGCACATCAGATGTGCTCCATAAAAATTCAGCTGAGTGAATGAATATGTATGGTTCCCCAGCCCCAACTCTCATGATAATCATCTCTTTTAGAGATTGATCCTCCAGCCCCTGGTTCTTCCTCATTTTGAAGACTCAGGTGTCTGACTCTTTGGCACTCACCTCTCTGGAACTATCACAGAGGAAGATGTGGTCCTTGATTTTTTTACCATACGCCTTTCAGAAAGAAAATCTGTCAAGAACAGAAAGGAATGAGTTGACAATTGTACACTCATTATTCCTGTCTCCTCATTCTCCCTGCCAATATACAAACTTACCTACTTCCTCCTCCGAGTCCTCAGCCAACAGAAGCCTCTGGGGTTGAGTTTCTCCCTGTACTCTGGGTGTCTCTTCTACTGTCAGAGGGCCCCGGGAGACAAAGGGCAGAGAGACATCCAGGCGATGGTACTGGCAGAGCAAGTCAGCAAAGAGAATCAATTCCTGGTCCCTCAGACGGTGACTCACCCCAGGGCTCAAAACCTTAGGAGGTCTCAGGATTTGAGTACCATTAAGGCTCCCACAGTCTCGGAGGATAGGTGCCTTGTCCCAGGCTAAGATTTCAATCTCTGCATGTTGTTTGGAGATAGATGGAAAGGGCAGGGCCACAGAGCAGTCAGGCATTCGGCCTACCACATTCTTCCCGAGGTGTAGTGGGAAATCTAAGAATTAGAGAGGTAGATAAGCTCCAAGATCAGAGTCCTGGCCTGTCATTAGGAAAAAGTGCCTATTAGGTACTCTACTACTCACTCAAGGCCTCCATATGCATTAGAAAAATAAAAGGCCCTAGGACATCTAGGCACTGAAAGAGTATATGCGATACCCCATCCATCCACAATGGATGTTTTTTTACTGTTATAAAATACACATAACACAAAATGTATCACCTTAATAATTTTAAGTGTATAGTTCAGTGGCATTAAGTGCATTCACACTGTTGTGCAATCATCACTACCATCCATCTCCAGAGCACACAATTGGATTTTATTTGATTTTTTTTTTTTTTTTGAGACAGGGTCTCATTCTGTCACCCAGGCTAGAATGCAGTGTCATGATCATAGATCAGTGCAATCTTGAACTCTTGGGTTCAAGTGATCATCTGGCTCAGCCTCCCAAGTAGGTGGGACTGCAGATGTGAAATGAACCACCACACCTGGCTAATTTTTAAATTTTTCGTAGAGACAGGGTTTTGCTATGCTACCCAGGCTGGTCTCTAACTCCTAGTCTCAAGTGATCCTTCTGCCTTGGCCTCTCAAAGCACGGGAATTACAGGTGTGAGTCACTGCACCCAGCTTCATTTCAATCTCTTAATTTTCTTTTATCAAAGTAAAATCACTTCCAGTGAGTCCAGGGTAGTAGTCTGCAACTATCAACTCAATCGGCCCCATCTCTTCCATTCATGAAAAAAAAAAATTCACATCTCATTGAAACATACATAAGCTTCTTGCAACCCTCCAAATACCTTACCACAAAAATAAAAGATCTATATCAATACTTGAACATCCAATACCCTCTGACCTTTTTCTGGTCCATGGGCACCACTAAAGATATGTAGCCGCCCTACTGGCTCCACGTTACACCTCAAGGATTCACTGGATTGCTCTGTCTCCTCCTCTTCTTCAACATCCCAGTCAATAGCCTGGGTGTCCTCCATGATCTGGGAAGGATACACATTATCAATTATCCTCATTATTGGTTCACACAAACAGCATCAGAGTTATCAGACTGAAAACTAGGGGGTAAACTGGATCATTATGAACGTTGATGCTTCTCTTTCCACCAATCTTTCTGTTGTTAACCTTCTGAAGCACTTAAAACATTTTTTTCTTTTTTGTGATGGAGTCTCGTTCTGCTCCCCAGGCTGGCATGCAGTGGTAAGATCTTGGGCCCACGGCAACCTCTGCCTCCCGGGTTTCAAGCAATTCTCTCACCTCAGCCTCCCAAGTAGCTGAGATTACAGGCACCTGCCACCATGCCTGGCTAATTTTTGTATTTTTAGAAGAGATGGGGTTTTGCCATATTGGCCAGGGTGGACTCGAACTCTTGACCTTGGGTGATCCGCCCACCTTGGCCTCCCAAAGTGCTGGGATTACAGGCGTGAGCCACTGCGCCCCGTTGTTTTTCTTTCTTTTTTAGCCCATGCTTTTTATACTTTTACCAGACCACCTCAGTTTGATCAGATGCAACTGCAAAAAATGATAATAAAAGATGACATATATAGAAGCTTCCTATGTGTCAAGCACTGTTCTAATTACTTTATATCGACTCTGACTCATTTAATCTTCACAAGAACCTTGTAAAGTAGTATTACTATCTTCCATTTCTTCAGATAAAGAAACTGCAACATAGCTGGGTTAAGATTTTCAGATCTCCTTGAAACATACATAAGCATATATAAGGTTAAGACTTGCCCCAAATCACTCAGATGTCTCTCCTCTAAAATCTTGATGGTTTTTCGTGCACACAGAATAAAATCTAAACTCCTTAGCGAGACCCTCCATGATCTGAACTTCACATCTTGTAACGCCTACCCCTCGCCCGCAAAAGCCTATGGTTCAGCCAGACATTTTCCCCAGTCTTCGAACACACTGTTCTTGTCTTCCCACATCTTCATGCCTTAGCCCAATTCCTTGGCTTTTTCCCACCTAGTTTTCTGGTCCAACTTCTACCATCCTTTAAGATTCAGTTCAAATGTCACTTTCTTTCTTTTTTTTTTTTTTGAGATGGAATCTCGCTCTGTCGTCCAGGCTGGACTGCAGTGGTGCTATCTTGGCTCACTGCAACCTCTGCCTCCAGGCTTCAAGCGATTCTCCTGCCTCAGCCTCCCGAGCAGCTGGGATTACAGGCGCCCGGCATCACGCCTGGCTAATTTTTGTATTTTTAGTAGAGACGGGGTTTCACCACGGTCTCGAGCTCCTGACCTCAGGTGATCCGCCCACCTTGGCCACCCAAAGTGTTGGGATTACAGCAGTGAGCAACCGCGCCCGGCCTCAAATGTCACTTTCTCAGCAAACCCTTTCCTGGCGTGTTCCCTGCCTTCTCGTGTTCCTGGTGTATCCTGCCTGTTCCACAGTGGTCAATGGATTTGTGCTTACTCTAAGATCTCTCGCTATATTGTAACCATTACTTTCCATTTCTGCCTTCACACTCACCCACCTCCAGGACTGGATTAGGGGAACCGTGTCTTTCCCCTAGGGTCCATCATATTCATTCAATGGTTATGGTATACCTGTTTGAAGTATTTGGTATACATCTGTGAACCAAACATGAAATCGACCCTGCCCTCGGGAAGGCTCATCACCGAGCCTACTGATGAAGGAACAAATGAGATGGAAAGAAAATAGCATAAATGGAATTCACCTGAAAATATGCCACTCTAGAGGGAAACTGTTGACAGGTAGGGAAAGTAGGATGCCCCATGGATAAAGTGTCAACTCCGTCTTTATGACAGGCCAACTCAGCGGGTGCCCACCACGCTTGGCTCCAATTCAAAGAGCCACCATCTTTGGTCCCCACCTCAGTGGGTTCCCTTGTGGCCCGACGTCTCCCTGTGTCTTCATACCTAAACTCGGAGCGGGGCGCCAGGTAAGGATGAGTATTACAGTCCGAGAAGCGAACTTCCAAGTCACCTCCGCCCAGTCGCACCCAAGGTACGCCCCTCCCGCCTTCTGGGGGAACCAAGATGGCTCCCGGGGAGCCGTGGGCCAGGCCCCTAGAACTCACCTACTTTAAGTCCCCGCGCGCGCCACCAGTAACGGTCGCGACCCAGGTGGAGCGACTGCGTGTGCCGAAAAAGAGCTTATTTGCTGATTGGCTTCTGCCGCTGTCTTTCACAACCGCAGCCAGTCGAGCGGAGGCACACCCAAAGCCCCGCCCCCTTAGAGTTCAAATAGGTGGTGTCTCCCAGGCTGCTGAGATCAGTTAATGAGACGGTAATTGAAGGCCGCCGTGCGCCAACAGAATAATGCACGTCGATTGGGCAGCTCCAAGGGACAACCCACTACCGCTTGCCCGCCCACCACCCACTTCCCGCGCAGTTCCAAACCGCGACCAGAGAGTCTGGCGCCAGCTGCCGGCAACGGATAGAGGGGCTGTGTCATAGACGTCCGACGTGTCTGGTAAGGCCAGAGCGCCTTTCCTCGGTCCTCCTAGACATGGTGTCCGCTGACTCATGAGAAATGAAAGTGGGTTGCGCGTTGCAGTCGTGGCTGGAGGCTGCAGTTTGGAGAACAGCCCGTAGGCGTGGCAGTTCACTCCTGTTGCATTGGAATTTCATTTCCTTTTGATTTGGTTTGTAGTAGAAGTAATATCTTTCTTCCTGGGAATACGTCTCTGACGGACATTTTGAGGTCATTTTCTTAAATCCAAGATCCTAAAGATCTGTAGTCGAACAGAGAAAACTGGTTTGCTCTCTGTCTTAAAGGCTGTCCCCACCTTTCGAGGGGCGAGGGAAGGATCATAAAATCATTTATTTTTATTTTTTAATTAACTAATTTATCTATTTTTTGAGATGGAGTTTTGCTCTTGTTGCCCAGGCTGGAGTGCAATGGCGCGATCTCGACTCACCGCAACCTCTGCCTCCCAGGTTCAAGCGATTCTCCTGCCTCAACCTCCCAAGTAGCTGGGATTACAGGCATGCGCCACCACGCCCAGCTTATTTTTGTATTTTTAGTAGAGACGTGGTTTCTCCATGTTGGTCAGGCTGGTCTCGAACTTCTGACCTCAGGTGATCCGCCCGCCTCGGCCTCTCAAAGTGGTGGGATTACAGGCGTAAACCACCGCATGCGGCCATCTATATTTTATTTTTTGAGACGGACTTTCGCTCTTGTTGCCTAGGCTGGAGTGCAATGGCGCGATCTCGACTCACCGCAACCTCCGCCTTCTGGGTTCAAGCAATTCTCCTGTCTCAGCCTCCCGAGTAGCTGGGATTACAGGCATGCGCTACCACGCCCGGCTAATTTTGTATTTTTAGTAGAGACGGGGTTTCTCCATGTTGGTCAGTCTGGTCTCAAACTCCGGACCTCAGGTGATTCTCCCGCCTGGGCCTCCCAATGTGCTGGGATTACAGGCGTAAGCCACTGCGCCCGGCCTATTTTATCTCACAATAAGACATGAAGAAAATGGTAACTATAACACTTGCATAATTCATAAAGTCCTTTCTGTTGGTTATCTCAATTCTGTGCACAACAGTCAAATAAGCAGATTTTACAAACGAGGAGCTGGAGCCCTGCAAAGTTAAAGGACTTTCCTAGGATCCTACAGCTAATATAGAGACAAATTGAAACAAGTTATCTGATTGTGTATTTTGAGTTATTTCTACTCCCACAAAATGACTGTGTTCATTTCCCTAAAACGTAAAGCATTATATTTTAAGTGGGTAGAGAGGGCTTACACAAGTTGATGTTCCCTCATTTAGAAGGCAACTTAGAAATACATTGATCTGCCCAGCGCGGTGGCTCACGCCTGTAATCCCAGCACTTTGGGAGGCAAAGGCGGGCGAATCACGAGGTGAGGAGATCGAGACCATCCTGGCTAACACAGTGAAACCCTGTCTCTACTAAAAATACAAAAAAAAAAAAAAGAAATACATTGATCTGTGTGATCGAATGTGAATTAACAATGACGTTGACTTGATACTACATTTCTGAGTGGTTACCACATTTTATTGATTGTATGCTTCTCACCAGACTGCAACATCCTGGAGGACAGGGAGCTAATTCTTAATCATTTTGTAACCATAGCTCCTAATTTGGTGGATACATAGTAACTATCAAATAAGTGAATAATAAATCTATGGGAAGAAGCAGATGGACTCCGTCTTGAACCCACTCAATTTTTCCCCCATCAATTACCCCTCTCTCGTTTTTCAATACTGGGTCTCTTGCAGAGTTGCAGTGGCGGCCACCTGGTCAGTGAAATCAGCGAATTGAAAAACCACTGACTTCATTAACATGTCTAAAGAGGCAGGCTGAAAAAACTGAAAATCTATCAGGCATCTCATTCCATAGTTCCCTGTTTGACAAGAAGACCAAGGTGTCTTCAAAGTCTGCCCTAAGGTCCAGATCTCCTACCCACGTAGGAGACTTCTAGTTTCACAAATCCCCGATGTCGGTTTCTCTAAACTATTTTATTCTTTGAACATACTCTCCAGACAACATCGCTATCCTGAAAAGCCCTTGCTGCAATTTTGTTTCTCTTTCAAAACAATGGCTCGAAAATTTCCAAGGAAATAGCAAGAGGGCGATTCCCTTCTTGAAGTATTTGAGGGAGCAGAAGCTTACTGAAGTTCATGCCTTGGGTCACCAAAGGCCAGGGGAGGCAGAGCACGGTGCCAGACTTCTCCCCATTTTTCGCTGAACTAAGCAATCCTTTCTCCCCTAGAGGTACTGCAGCTGGGAGCTTTCAGGGCGTGTCTTCCCCACCACCCAACTTCTGGAACCCCAGACTTCTCAATTCCTGTACCCCCAAGAACTGCTCACTTTTTGTACAAAAACCTCAGGCATAGAGGAAAGGAATCTTGCGCAAGGTCGTTTTTCATTTACAAAACAAAAACCCCATGAAAACCAAACCGGTACCCACCCATTCGTCACTTCATTTTGCAGCATGGACAACAATAGGGGACTACAACTCCCAAAGAGGACTGCGCTCGTCCACTGGCTCAGAGGCCAATGGACGCCTGGTACATGACCGGCATCGACTAATCAGGGCCAGGCTCGATGAGGCTTTGTCTCCCTACCGCGCGCGGGGCCGATTCTCCCGCCTCCCAGCCCCGGCGCACGCGCGCCCCGCCCAGCCTGCTTTCCCTCCGCGCCCTCCCCTCTCCTTTCTCCCTCTCAGAACCTTCCTGCCGTCGCGTTTGCACCTCGCTGCTCCAGCCTCTGGGGCGCATTCCAACCTTCCAGCCTGCGACCTGCGGAGAAAAAAAATTACTTATTTTCTTGCCCCATACATACCTTGAGGCGAGCAAAAAAATTAAATTTTAACCATGAGGGAAATCGTGCACATCCAGGCTGGTCAGTGTGGCAACCAGATCGGTGCCAAGGTAAGAATTTTACACCTCTTTTATTTCTTTTTACAAGGAAAAATCCAGGTAAGTTATGAAAAAATGGTTGTGGGGCATTTGCACCCGCTATCCTTAATCAAGATTTGCCCCTCTCAAGTTTGTTACATTTATATATATAACAATTGTAGCTAGCATTTGCCTTTGGAAAGCTGGGAATCATTTTTCTTGGCAGGCACATTTTGGAGAAACTAGTAAAAGGGCTCTTCGGGTTTGGGGGCGGGAAGACCGAGGACTTATAAGATGTTACTTAAAAGGGCTTCTAACGGTCCGAGAACCGGGCAGGGAGAGAGATGCGGAAACGGTCGCAGACAAAGCGGGGCGAGGTTTTGCCCATGTGCATCCCGCCCAACCCCCCTGCGGGGTACTTAGGGCCAAACCGGAGCGGGAAGGGGTGAGGCCATCGGGCGGCTGCAGAGAGCTCCAGCGCAAGGGTGGGGGGCGATGCGCCAGGGTGGGCTGCGCTGGGCGCTACCTTTCACAAAAGACCAGGGACCCCAACGCGCCCGCGACCCCAGAGGGCCGGTCCTGTATTTGTTCCTGGGTGGAAGGAGAATAAGAACGGGATTAATTTTACTTGCTTTCATGGCCCCTAAGAGAGACTTTTTTAGGGCGTGAACAGATATGTCGAGAAAATGGGGGTGTGTGGTTTTCTTTAATGAGTCCCTCAGGACTTAATGGGAGAGAAAGAATCCTTTAAATCAAGGGGTAGAAATGTAGCGAAGGAATAAAAATTCCGAGGCCAAGGGGGATTTTTTTTTTTTGCGCGCGGTTACAGTGTAGCGGGGGAGGGGCGGGAGGAAGTGCGGCTGCTACGTTGTAGCAGAAGGGCGGGGCCCTGCGGGGCGGGGCCGGGGCGCCGTGGGCGCGCGGGGACAATGCGGCGTTGCCCGCCGGCAGGGGCGCGCTACCTTGGGCCCCGCCCCTCGCGCGCGGAATTTTTGTCCCTGGCCCCGCCCACGCGCGAAGTCTTTTGTCGGCGGCTCGACCTGCGCGTGCGCCGCAGTCACGTGGAGGGCGGGGGGGGTGGTCGACTGCGGCGGCAGCTCTTTCCTCAGACCCCCAGCCTTTTGTGCGCCGCGCGGTGGGGCGGTGCCCAGCTTGGGGGAAGGAGAGCGGCGCTTATCGAAGTGTGGTCGACCTCCATCCGCCCACCGAGCACTTGGGACCCGCTGCACATATCCAGAGCAGGGAAAGCTGTGGCTTTCTCGGGGGAGCGAGTGTCTAGGGGAAGGGTGTGGCAGGCCCACGGGATGCCATGCCCTAGAACAACGGCCTGAGCGCTTGTGGAATTAAAATGGGAGATGTGGGGCCGAGGTGGGCGAATTGGGATCCCTCCAGGTCAGGGGTTCGAGACCATCCTGGGCAACAAAGCGAGACCCTCCCCCATGCCACGTTTCTACAAAAAATAAAAGTAAAAAATTAGCTGGGCGTGGTGGCGCGCGTCTGTGGTCCCAGCTACTCGAGAGGCTGAGATGGGAGGATCGGTTGAGCCTGGGAGTTCCACGCTGTAGTCATCCGTGATTGCACCACTGCACTGCAGGCTGGGCAACAGGAAGACCCTGTCTTAAAAATTAGAAGAAGCTGGGCGCGGTGGCTCACCCTTGTAATCCCAGCACTTTGGGAGGCCAAGGTGGGCGGATCACGAGGTCAAGAGATCTAGACCATCCTGGCCAACATGGTGAAACCCGTCTCTACTAAAAATACAAAAAGTAGCTGGGCGTGTTGGTGCGCGCCTATAGTCCCAGCTACTCCGGGGGCTGAGGCAGGAGAATCGCTTGAACCCGGGAAGCAGAGGTTGCAGTGAGCCGAGATAGCGCCACTGCACTCCAGCCTGGTGACAGAGCGAGACTCCGTCTCAAAAAAAATTAAGAAAAAGATGAAATAAAATGGTAGTTGGGGACATAGTTGGCTGGGACTTGACCTGTTGTGGTCTCGTTGCTCCCCCTCGGCAGTTCTGGGAGGTGATCAGTGATGAACATGGCATCGACCCCACCGGCACCTACCACGGGGACAGCGACCTGCAGCTGGACCGCATCTCTGTGTACTACAATGAAGCCACAGGTAAGGGCAGGAGCCCGGGCAGCTCAGGTTCCCTTCCCTGTCTCCCACTTATCTGGGATCTCTTTCCATTTCTGGGCACGCCTTATCCCCTTTGGGTGAATCTGTCATTTTGTCCCTTTCGTGAACCACCGTCGGGGCCAAAGACGTCTGCTGCCACCTGGTGGCGGGACCTGGAATGACAAGTCTCTGATCCCTGCTGTCTCCCATTTCCAGTATATCTATAAACCTTCCCTTCTGCCAGATTTCACAGCTCTTAACTTTATTCTCTGTAGGTGGCAAATATGTTCCTCGTGCCATCCTGGTGGATCTAGAACCTGGGACCATGGACTCTGTTCGCTCAGGTCCTTTTGGCCAGATCTTTAGACCAGACAACTTTGTATTTGGTGAGTTATACAGATGATATTAGCAGATGATATACCATCGTGTTCAACTTATTTGGGTGCAAGGACACAGCAAAAGTTAGGAGATGATTGTTGTATTGGAGTGCTAATACAGAAATGTGTTCTGAAATCTAACGGAGGGTAGAGGTAGTGCCTACTATTGCTGGTAAATTATGGGGCAGTAGGGGGAGAATATATCACAGTGAAGGAGAAAGAAGATACATCCGAGGGAATTATTTGAAAAGTTGAAAGATGGAAACATCATGTATCTTCCATACCCTGTTAATTGAGCTTTTCTCCTGACTGCATTCCAGGTCAGTCTGGGGCAGGTAACAACTGGGCCAAAGGCCACTACACAGAGGGCGCCGAGCTGGTTGATTCTGTCCTGGATGTGGTACGGAAGGAGGCAGAGAGCTGTGACTGCCTGCAGGGCTTCCAGCTGACCCACTCACTGGGCGGGGGCACAGGCTCTGGAATGGGCACTCTCCTTATCAGCAAGATCCGAGAAGAATACCCTGATCGCATCATGAATACCTTCAGTGTGGTGCCTTCACCCAAAGTGTCTGACACCGTGGTCGAGCCCTACAATGCCACCCTCTCCGTCCATCAGTTGGTAGAGAATACTGATGAGACCTATTGCATTGACAACGAGGCCCTCTATGATATCTGCTTCCGCACTCTGAAGCTGACCACACCAACCTACGGGGATCTGAACCACCTTGTCTCAGCCACCATGAGTGGTGTCACCACCTGCCTCCGTTTCCCTGGCCAGCTCAATGCTGACCTCCGCAAGTTGGCAGTCAACATGGTCCCCTTCCCACGTCTCCATTTCTTTATGCCTGGCTTTGCCCCTCTCACCAGCCGTGGAAGCCAGCAGTATCGAGCTCTCACAGTGCCGGAACTCACCCAGCAGGTCTTCGATGCCAAGAACATGATGGCTGCCTGTGACCCCCGCCACGGCCGATACCTCACCGTGGCTGCTGTCTTCCGTGGTCGGATGTCCATGAAGGAGGTCGATGAGCAGATGCTTAACGTGCAGAACAAGAACAGCAGCTACTTTGTGGAATGGATCCCCAACAATGTCAAGACAGCCGTCTGTGACATCCCACCTCGTGGCCTCAAGATGGCAGTCACCTTCATTGGCAATAGCACAGCCATCCAGGAGCTCTTCAAGCGCATCTCGGAGCAGTTCACTGCCATGTTCCGCCGGAAGGCCTTCCTCCACTGGTACACAGGCGAGGGCATGGACGAGATGGAGTTCACCGAGGCTGAGAGCAACATGAACGACCTCGTCTCTGAGTATCAGCAGTACCAGGATGCCACCGCAGAAGAGGAGGAGGATTTCGGTGAGGAGGCCGAAGAGGAGGCCTAAGGCAGAGCCCCCATCACCTCAGGCTTCTCAGTTCCCTTAGCCGTCTTACTCAACTGCCCCTTTCCTCTCCCTCAGAATTTGTGTTTGCTGCCTCTATCTTGTTTTTTGTTTTTTCTTCTGGGGGGGGTCTAGAACAGTGCCTGGCACATAGTAGGCGCTCAATAAATACTTGTTTGTTGAATGTCTCCTCTCTCTTTCCACTCTGGGAAACCTAGGTTTCTGCCATTCTGGGTGACCCTGTATTTCTTTCTGGTGCCCATTCCATTTGTCCAGTTAATACTTCCTCTTAAAAATCTCCAAGAAGCTGGGTCTCCAGATCCCATTTAGAACCAACCAGGTGCTGAAAACACATGTAGATAATGGCCATCATCCTAAGCCCAAAGTAGAAAATGGTAGAAGGTAGTGGGTAGAAGTCACTATATAAGGAAGGGGATGGGATTTTCCATTCTAAAAGTTTTGGAGAGGGAAATCCAGGCTATTAAAGTCACTAAATTTCTAAGTATGTCCATTTCCCATCTCAGCTTCAAGGGAGGTGTCAGCAGTATTATCTCCACTTTCAATCTCCCTCCAAGCTCTACTCTGGAGGAGTCTGTCCCACTCTGTCAAGTGGAATCCTTCCCTTTCCAACTCTACCTCCCTCACTCAGCTCCTTTCCCCTGATCAGAGAAAGGGATCAAGGGGGTTGGGAGGGGGGAAAGAGACCAGCCTTGGTCCCTAAGCCTCCAGAAACGTCTTCTTAATCCCCACCTTTTCTTACTCCCAAAAAAGAATGAACACCCCTGACTCTGGAGTGGTGTATACTGCCACATCAGTGTTTGAGTCAGTCCCCAGAGGAGAGGGGAACCCTCCTCCATCTTTTTTGCAACATCTCATTTCTTCCTTTTGCTGTTGCTTCCCCCCTCACACACTTGGTTTTGTTCTATCCTACATTTGAGATTTCTATTTTATGTTGAACTTGCTGCTTTTTTTCATATTGAAAAGATGACATCGCCCCAAGAGCCAAAAATAAATGGGAATTGAAAAAAGCTGCGAGATGTGTGCTTATTTAGGGAAACACGGCTGGCTGATGGAGGCATGGGGCCTGAGTTCAGTTGCACTGCTCTCCTTAAATTGACACTTAATATTGAGTCCCTGTCCTACGGATTCAACCAACTGGATATTGGGAAAAGAGTTGTACTGGACATGTATAGACTTCTCATTATTCCCTAAACAATAATAGTATAAATTATTTACATAATATTTGCATTAGATTAGGTATTACAAGTAACGTAGAGATGATTTGAAGTACACAGGTTATATGCAAGTACTACATTTTATATGAGGGACTTGGGTGTCTGCCGATTTGGTATCTCAGGGAGGTACTGGTAAGGACACTGACTGCTTTATAGACCCTCACATCATTGTTTCTGGTACCCAAACTGCTCTGAGCACCAGTCAGTCTTTACTGTAGTCTCTGACAGCTCACTACAGCCTTGATGTCCTGGGCTCAAACAATCCATCTCATTCTCCCAAGCAGCTGGGACTGTAGGCATAAGCCAGGTGAGCCAGTGCACCAGGCCCACCAATGAGTCTTAACTGGGGAAGGCATAGGCTTAGATGCAGGATCCAGGGATGGAAAATGGAAGCTGAGAAGAATGACAAATCACGTGTAACTGGTTTCCAGACCAGCATCCACATCCTCTGGGAACTTGCAGAAATAAATGCAAGTTTTTCATCCCACCCAGATGTACTGAACCATAAATGGTTGAACTGGCCTTGGCCACCCAGCCCAGGATTCCTTTGGGTTATGTGTACCCATGGCCATTTCCTGTGATCCTGTGGGCTTAGTCAACCTATGACACCAAGATAACTAGTGAAGCCCTGGTATGGTGGCTCCCACTTGTAATCCCAGCACTCTGGGGGGCCGAGGCAGGAGGATGGCTTGAGCCCAGGAGTTCCACACCAGCCTGGGCAGCAGTGAACCATCTAACAAAAAAAAAAGCTGGGCATGGTGGTGCATGCCTGTAGTCCCAGCTGCTGGGGTAGAGGGGGGTGGTGGTTGTTGGGGGTAGGGGGGTGGGGATTGGATGGGAGGATTGCCTGAGCCTGGGAGGTAGAGGCTGCAATGAGCCCTGACCCTACCCCTGCACCCCAGCCTGGGTGACAGAGCAAGACCTTGTCTTTTTTTTTCTTTTTTCTTGAGATGGAGTCTTGCTATGTTGCCCAGGTTGGAGCACATTGGCGCGATCTTGGCTCGCTACAACCTCTGCCTCCCGGGTTCAAGGAATTCTGCCTCAGCTTCCCAAGTAGCTGGGATTACAGGCACCCACCATCACGCCGGGCTAATTTTTGTATTTTAGTAGAGATGGGGTTTCACCACGTTGGCCAGGACTGGTCTCAAACTCCTGACCTCAAGTGATCCACCCGTCTCAGCCTCCCAAAAAGTTCTGGGACTACAAGCATGAGCCACCGTGCCCGGCCCAAGCCCAAGACCTTGTCTTTAAAAAAAAAAAAGGATAACTAGGCGGGATTGCTACCTTATGGTCCCATTCTAAAACAATCTGTACCATCTACTACCTCATACTTTTAAGTTCACAATGCAAGTCTCAAAGCTACCCTGAAAACAATAATTCCTTTTGCCATGTTTTCAGGAATTCTAGGAACTAGTATTATTCCCAACATTCCTTCTATTTTAGCATGCTTTTCTGACTATAATACACTGTTGGGGGGAAAAATTAACTCTAAAACTCTTGACAGTATATAAGTAACTTGCTTTTCTCCCATTCTAGAAAGCCTATTGTATGCAAGAAAGCCTATTGTATGCAAGGGAAGAAGCTACATTCTAGCATTCATTTTCTTTCTAATAGAGCCAGGATCTTGCTTTGTCACCCAGGCTGGAATGCAGTGGTGTGATCATGGCTCACTACAGCCTTAGACTCCTGAGCTCAAGTGATCCTCCCACCTTAGCCTCCCAAGTAGCTAGGACTATAGGCAAGAGTCACCATACCTGAGTCTAGCATTCATTTTTTTTCTCTTTTTTTTTGAAACAGTCTCACTCTGTCACCTAGGCTAGAGTGCAGTGGTGCGATCTTGGCTCACTGCAACCTCTGCTTCCCAGGTTCAAGTAATTCTCCTGCCTCAGCCTCCCAAGTAGCTGGGACTACTACTTGGCATGTTTCACCCTGCCTGGCTAATTTTTGTATTTTTGGTAGAGACAAGGTTTCGTCATGTTGGCCAGGCTGGTCTTGAACTCCTGACCTCAGATGATCTGCCTGCCTTGGCCTCCCAAAGTGCTGGGATTACAGGCATGAGCCACTGTGCCGGGCCAAGCATTAATTTCCAGTTGCTTCTGTTTTATTAGTACTTACTTACAGCAATTTATTTGGGTAGCAAAGTTGAAAACCTCCAGCCCATCCCTCAGTCTTGGTCAGGAAAATATTCTAGACAACAGGCTCAAACAGTCTGATTTAATTAGGAAGTTAAATAAGTTGAGGTGGGGTGGAGTGGGATCATCAGAAGGCTGACATGGGACCGCTGGAGTTGGCAATCATAGCAGTGTGAGGTTGGCAAGGGGAGCAACCCCCTTCAAGACAAGGCACAAACTATTTGGCAAGGAGAGATGAGGGGTGGGACCTCACTGTCAATGGACATGCTCAGGGAGGCCAGTGGGTTACATGCAACAGGAGGATCATTCAGGCAACTTCAGCTATGAGGCTGGGCATCTGTGAGGGCTGAAGGCTCAGGCTGTTCTCAAAGGCTTGTGATTCACCTGGCAAAAAGACAACAGTAGATGACACTTGGGAACATTCGGGAGGCTGAGGCCCCTACTCTCCCGGGCCCCAGTTTAGACGAATGGGCTATAGGCAGAACACACACGGCCAGGGTTCTTTCTGGTGCCCTACCACCTGTTTCCCCAAACAAAGACATCAGGACCCACATACAATAAATCACTGAAGAGAGGAGAGGGGGCAGAGCCTTGTTTGCACACTCTCCTTAGCTCTGAATATTCTACTGCAGGCCTCCAGGAGGCTCCAAGGAACCCAGCTTGAAGGTCATTGGTATGATCCAGTGCTTTTATTTACATACGCTTTTTTTTTTTCTTTTTTTTTTTGAGACGGAATCTCACTCTATCACCCAGGCTAGAATGCAGTGGTGCGATCTTGGCTTACTGCAGCCTCCGCCTCCTGAGTTCAAGTGATTCTCCTGCCTCAGCCTCCCGAGTAGCTGGGATTACAGGTATGCGCCACCATACCCAGCTAATTTTTGTATTTTTGGTAGAGATGGGGTATCACCATGTTGGCCAGGGTGATCTCAAACTTCTGACCTCAGCTGATCGTCCACCCTGGCCTCCCAAAGTTCTGGGATTACAAGTGTGAGCCACAGCACCCAGCCCGAATATGCATTTCTTTCTCTTTTTTTTTTTGAGACAGAGTCTTGCTCTGTTGCCTAGGATGGAGTGCAGTGGTGCTATCTCGGCTCACTGCAAGCTCTGCCTCCCAGGTTCACACCATTCTCCTGCCTCAGCCTCCCCAGCAGCTGGGACTACAGGCACACACCGCCACGCCCGGCTGTTTTGTATTTTTAGTAGAGACGGGGTTTCACTGTGTTAGCCAGGATGGTCTCAATCTCCTGACCTCGTGATCCGCCCGCCTCAGCCTCCCAAAGTGCTGGGATTACAGGCATGAGCTACCGCGCCTGGAATTTTTTTTTTTTTTTGAGATAGAGTCTTATTCTGTCACCCAGGCTGGAGTGCAGTGGTGTGATCTCAGCTCACTGCAACCTTCGGCTCCTGGGTTCCAGCAATTCTCCTGCCTCAGCTTCCCGAGTAGCTGAGATTACAGGCATGCACCACCAAGCCTGGCTAATTTTTTTTTGTATTTTTAGTAAAGATGGTGTTTCACCATGTTGGCCAGGCTGGTCTCCAACTCCTAACCTCAGGTGATCTGCCTGCCTCAGCCTCCCAAAGTGCTGGGATTACAGGCGTAAGCCACTGCACCTGGCCCCATTTCTTTAACATACACATAATGCTTACTATATACCAGGCACTATTCTAAACACTGCAAATATTTGCTCGAGCCCCTCAACAATTCAACAGGGTAGTTTCTAATTATTAACCCAATTTTAAGATGAGGAAACAGGTATAGAGAGGTTGATTACTTGTCCAAGATTACAGCTAGCAGGCATTGTAGCTAGGATTCGCAACAAAACAGTGGTTCCAGAGCCTGTTTGCTGACTTCTACCATGATCTACAGGTGAATTAACTGGGGCGCTGAGAAAAGCAGTGATATGCCCTAGAATTAATTAACTGTCAATAGGCTGCAACTAGTTCCCTATACTAGTGGGGTGACCACAAGCACAGGTTGCAGAGACAGTCGACCTGGATTTCACTCCAGCTGCACTAGCAGAATGAGTAGGAACATGCTGGATGTTGAGTTTCTGGACTTTGTAAAATCCTATATACCCTAATGGTAGTTTGATTTAAAACAACTCATTTATGTAGAAGCTTAGCACTGTGTCTGGCACACAGAAAGTGATTAATAAACATCAATGACTCCCAGGCCTGGATGCTGGTTAAATGCTAGGCATACTGTGTCACACAACACAGGAACCTAGCAATTCTCCTCAGCTCCAACCTGAGACCTCACCTGGGAGATGCTCACGCCTGTGAGTCTTTCCACACTCTCTGGCAGGCGAGTTAGAATGTCCAGTACTTCCCCAGTCACTTTGGCTGCCCCCATGGTCCCACTGCCGCTGGACACCAGTGTGATCTTATTGGCTGAAGTCAAGGGACCACTGATCTCCTCTGCCACCTGGCAGGAGAGAGACACCCACTCAGTGCCCATGATCTGACCACATTCCTCATAAAACAACTTACTCTGGGTTTTAAGGTCCTCGTTCCACTGATCATCCTTCCTCACTTTGGTCACTAATAATTCCCACCCCTAATTTAGAGTCCCCCTAGGCTGTTTCTCCCTAAGCCCCTCACTACACCCCACCCCTTAGTCCCTGGTTCTATTTCCTCCTTTCTTGGTGCCCACATGACCTCCAGACCTGGGGCAGCTTCTCTAGCAGCATGTCCAGCTGAGCAGCCTCTTGGTACAGCTGGAAGGCTTCTGCCTTCTTGGCCATCTGCTCAGCCTCGGCTCGGGCTCGGGCCCCTATGGCAAAGGCCTCAGCTTCCCCACGCATCTGAGGGTTAAGGATGCTTGTGAGATTGACGGAAATCATTAAGAACAAGAAATCCCCGATCAAGCAGCAACCCCCACCCTCTCCACAAGCCAGCATGGAACTGCCTCTTAACTCACCCGCACAGACGCGGCTTCTGCCTCCGCCTGCATAATTAGTTGGGACCTGTGGACAGAAGGGAAGTGGAGGGTGGAGCCCAGCAGCCCTTACTCCCAGGAGAAAGGCCCAGTGCTGCAGAGGCAGACGCTCCTGAAACCTGAAATCCATAGGAGTCCAGGTGGTGAAGGCTTCAGCACTCCATCTTGGGGTGCCTAGGTGGCAAGTGAGCTAGGCAGGGTCAGGGAGGGGACATTTACTTCTCTGCCTCGGCTAGGCGCTCCAGCTTGTAGCGCTCCGCTTCCGCTGGCTTCCGCACCCGGGCCTCCAGCTCCTTCTCCCGCCGGGCGATCTCCTGCTCCTGCACTGCCACCTGCTGGGCCCGCTCCACCACCTGCACCTGCACCCGCTGCTCCTCAATCTGCTGCTTAGTCTTGGCCACCTGGGTAGGAGGGTGAAGTCAGGTTCACGCTCTGAGTCAGAGGTGAAGAGCAAGTGCCCGGGAACCAGAGCTCCAGAGTGGGATATAAAAATAGGAGCCGGTGGCCGGGCGCGGTGGCTCACGCCTGTAATCCTAGCGCTTTGGGAGGCCAAGGAGGGTGGATTGCCTGAGTTCAGGAGCTCGAGACCAGCCTGGCCAACATGGTGAAACCCTGTCTCTACTAAAATACAAAAAATTAGCCAGGTGTGGTGGCGAATGCCTGTAGTCCCAGCCACCCGGGAGGCTGAGGCAGGAGAATTGCTTGAACCTGGGAGGCGAAGGTTGCAGTGAGCTGGGATCACGCCACTGCACTCCACCCTGGGCAACAGAGTAAGACTCCATCTCCAAAAAAAAAAAAAAAAAAAAAGGAGCAGGTGCATGAAGGTGGGTTCCCTCCTGTCTGCTTGGCCAGTCCAGTGGAGTCCAGTGTTTCTCTGATGAGCCCCCGTTTAATCTATTTTTCCCACGTGTGCCCCCTTCTAGAGTATAAATACCTTGAGGGCACTGAGCACATGTTGGCTTTCTGCTATCTCCAGTCTTGCTCAAATCCCCCCACTGTTGCTGCGATAACCTTAGTGCTAGCCTAGGCTACTGCAATAGCTGACTTATTTTTTGTGGGGGTGGGGACAGGTGATCTTTTTTGTCTTTTGCACATGGTGCAGATTTAACAGAAAAAAAAGTGAACCACGAGGCTTCTTCCTCATTCTCCAAACCACCTGGGTCCCTTTCCCAGAGAAACCACCAAGACCAGCTTCTTGTGTATCCTTCCAGGGATACTCTGAACATCTACAAGAATGTGTGTATTCATAGAATTCCTCTTATTTAGGCAGATTTCTTTCTTTTTTTTTGAGGCAGTTTCGCTCTATTGCCCAGGCTGGAGTGCAGTGGCACGATCAGCTCAGTGCAACCTTCACCTCCCAGGTTCAAGCTAATCTCTTGCCTCAGCCTCTCAAGTAGCTGGGACTACAGGCATGTGCTACCATGTCTGGCTAATTTTTGTATTTTTTTTAGTAGAGACGGGGTTTCACCATGTTGGCCAGGCTGGTCTCAAACTCCTGATCTCAAGTGATCCATCCGCCTCAGTTTCCCAAAGTGCTGGGATTACAGGCATGAGCCATCGCACCCAGCCTAGATTTCATCTTCTTATTCCTTGCAGTGTGAGGGAATCAGAAGGCTCTTATCAAGATGCTAGTGAGGAGAGGTGCCAGGCAAGGAACACATTTTTTTTTTCTTTTTGAGACATCATCTTACTCTGTCACCCAGGTTCAATGGCGTAATCATGGCTCACTGCAGCCTTGACCTGCCTGGGCTCAGATGATCCTCCCGCCTCCCCCTCTAGAGTAGCTGGGACTACAGGTGTGAACCAGCACACCCGGCTATTTTTTGTACTTTTTGTAGAGACAGGGTTTTCTATGTTGCCCAGGCTGATCTCAAACTCCTGGGCTCACGTGATCCACCTGCCTCGGCTTCCCAAAGTGTTGGGGTTACAGGCATGTGCCATCACACCCAGCCAGAACACATGCCTTCGTTGTCCCATTGCTCAGGCTCAGCCATGCACCATCATCATTGTAGGTCTCATCAATACATGTGATGCTTCCCCTGCCTCCTACCTTCCCCCGGGCCCATCTGTTCACTCCAGAGAGAAGCATAGCTCTGGAGACGGCACTCTGTACTGTCTTTCACCCTAAATTTTCAAACCCGTTCCAAACTGGCCTCGTTGCCCTCTACACCGGTGTGCAGGATCACCTCTCTCCTGTGTCCCTTAGGCAACCATTTGTCTGTTTCTTTTTCCTTCCTGTCTATGCCCACCTTTTGGTGAAACTCAACCTCCAGAAGCTTCCTCAGAAAGAATATAAAGACAATATTTTTTCTGAGGTCTTGCTTTCTCTGAGATTTTTATTCTACCTTTTTTTGAGATGGAATTTCGCTCTTGGCACCCAGGCTGGAGTGCAGTGACGCAGTCTTGGCTCACTGCAATCTCCATCTCCCAGGTTCAAGCAATTCTCCTGCCTCAGCCTCCCATGTATCTGGGATTATAGGTGCCTGCCACCACGCTCAGCTAATTTTTGTGTTTTTAATAGAGATGGGGTTCCACCACATTGGCCAGGCTGGTCTTGAACTCCTTATCTCAGGTGATCCACCTGCTTCGGCTTCCCAAAGTGCTGGGATTACAGGCGTTAGCCACTGCACCCGGCCTCTACCCTTCTATTTTAATACCAGTTAGGCTGAAAGCAGGCTGCTATGTTGGGATTAACTTTCCATCAGAATTCTGAAGGCATTCCTCCATGGTTTTCTAGCTTTTTAAGAAATCTGGGCTTGGGCCAGTCATGGTGGCTCATGCCTGTCATCCCAGCACTTTGGGAGGCTGAGGTGGGCAGATCACCTGAGGTCAGGAGTTCATGACCAGCCTGGTCAACGTGGTGAAACCCCGTCTCTACTAAAAATACAAAAATTAGCCAGCAATGGTGGCACATACCTGTAGTCCCAGCTACTTGGGAAGCTGAGGTAGGAGAATCGCTTGAACCCAGGAGGCAGAGGTTGCAGTAGCTGAGATCACGCCATTGCACTCCAGCCTGGGTGACAAGAGCAAAAATCCATCTCAAAAAAAAAAAAAAAGAAAAGAAAGCTGGGCTTGATGCAGTGGCTCATGCCTATAATCCCAGCACTTTGGGAGGCTAAGGTGGGAGGATAACTTGAACCCAGGAGTTCAAGACCAGCCTGTGCAATATGGCAAGATCTCACCTCTAGAAAAAAATTTAAAAATTAGCTGGGCGTGGTGGTGTGCCCCTGTGGTCCCAACTACTGGGGAGGCTGAGGTGGGAGAATCACTTGAGCCTGGGAGGTTGAGGTTACAGTGAGCCTTGTTTATGCCACTGTATTGGACAACAGAGCAAGACCCTGTCTCTGAAAAAAAAAAAAAAAAAAAAAAAAAAGGAATCTGAAGTCATTTTGAAGCCTGCCTCTTTGAGATCTCTCTCTCTCTAGAAGCTTTCATATTTTTTGTCCTCAGCATTCTTAAGTTTCACAGTGTTATGTTTCAATGTATATATTTTTCATTCATTGCATTGGGCACTTAGTAGACCATTTCAATCTAAAACCTCATTTTTATATAATTTTTCTCAGAATGTTTCTGCTCCCAATAAGTCATGCCACATTTGCATGTGCTTGACTTTTTTTTTTTTTTTTGGAGATGGAGTCTCGCTCTGTCACCCAGGCTGGAGTGCAGTGGCATGATCTCATCTCACTGCAACCTCTGCCTCCCAGGTTCAAGTGATTCTCCTGCCTCAGCCTCCCGAGTAGCTGGGACTGCAGGCGCGTACCACCACGCCTGGCTAATTTTTTGTATTTTTATAGAGTTGGGGTTTCACCGTGTTAGCCAGGATGGTCTCGATCTCCTGACCTCGTGAGCCACCCACCTTGGCCTCCCAAAGTGCTGGGATTACAGGCATGAGCCAACACCCCTGGCCCTGCTTGACTCTTATTAGTCCCTTTCCCTTACTTCCCTGCTTCTTTCTGTGGGGTTTTATTTTTCCCCTTTGTCAGCTCTTGCCAGGTTACCAAGCATACCCTGTCCCTGGCTTTCTTGGTTGCTCCCAAATCTGTGATGGCTTGCTCTGTTGCCCAGGCTGGAATGAAATGGCACGATCTCAGCTCACTGCAACCTCTGCCTCCCGGATTCAAGTGATTCTCCTGCCTCAGCCTCCTGAGTAGCTGGGATTACAGTCACCATTTCAGCTAATTTTTGTGTTTTTAGTAGAGACGGGGTTTCACCATGTTGGCCAGGCTGGTTTCAAACTCCTTTGTCATCTGCTCAGAGGGAAGAAGGTCTCAACACTGAAAGGAAGCTCTGAGTATGTGGGTGAGGCTTGCTGACTTTGAGCTTCACCCTACGGTGATCTGGATAGGCCATGTACGGAGAAACATCTGATTCAGGATTTTAAGTTATTTCTTTTTGGATTGGTCATGTTCCCCAGAGCAGTCTTCTGATCTCTTTTTTGGAAGATGGAAGTTCTGGGAGCTGAGTGGGGTTGAGGGGGTTGGGGTTGGGGTTGGCTCTCAGTATTTAGCATTCATGAAAGTTATAGTCATTTCATGCCCCTGTTACTGGTAAACTATCTAGGTCCTCACCTGTGCTGGGCCAGCCCCCATCACATCCTCTAGTCTACTCTCTTCAGATAATAGACTTCCAATGGCAGGTATGGTAACTCACACCTGTAATCCCAGCACATTGTGAGGCTGAGGTGGATGGATCACTTGAGGCTAGCAGTTCGAGACCAGCCTGGCCGACATGGTGAAACCCCTCTCTACTAAAAAAAAAAAAAAAAATACAAAAATTACCTGGGCGTGGTGGTGGGCACTTGTAATCCCAGTTGAGGATTACTTGGGAGGGTGAGGCACGAGAATCATTTGAACCCAGGAGGCAGAGGTTGCAGTGAGCCGAGACTGCGCCACTGCACCTGCACTCCAGCCTGGACAACAGAGTGAGAGACCCTGTCTCAAAAAAAACATAAATAAAATAGATAAATAAGATAATAAACCTCCAGATGTCTGTTGGAGCAGGGCAGGAACCATTACCCAGAGGCAGTGAGGGGCTCTGAGAAGGTGCTTTTCACATGTTCCTCTTATTTAACCAGTCTACCACAGCTGGAGAAGCACTGGGTGCTGCCAGCTCCTGAGCCTCAGATCATTTCATTGTTTTCCCTTTTGCAGGTTTCAAGCTCAGCTGTGTCATACCTGCTTAGTCAATTACTACTGACTTCCAGTTTCCAAAATGATGCTCTGGTTTCCGTTCCTATTTTCTCCATCTTTTTTTTTTTTAAAGCCTAGTCAGCTGGGCATGGTGGCTCACGCCTGTAATCCTAGCATTTTGGGAGGCTGAGGCGGGAAGGATCCTTTGAGCCCAGGAGTTTGAGACCAGCCTGGGCAACATGGTGAAATTCCGTCTCTACAAAACATACAAAAATTAGCCAGGCGTGGTGGCATATGTTTGTAGACCAAGCTACTCAGGAAGCTGAGGTGGGAGTATTGCTTGAGCCCAGGCAGTTGAAGCTGTAGTGAGCTGAGATTGTACCGCTGCACTCTAGCCTGGGGGACCGAGTAAGACCCGGTCTCAAAGAGGAGAGGAGAGAAGAAAGAAGAGAAGAGAAGGAAAGAAAGGAAGAAAGAAAGACTAATCAAGTGCAATAGTGAGAAGTAGGTAAAGAGTAGAACAAGGAGTTCAATCTGTAACTGACTGAACAATCAATTGAGATAACTCACTACCTTTGGACAAGCCTCTATCTTTACCTTAAAAAAAATCATTTTAGATCGCGCCACTGCACTCCAGCCTGGGCGACAGAGCGAGACTCCATCTCAAAAAAAAAAAAAATCATTTTGGCTTTAGTGAGGTTTTAGGAGAGAGTAAAATTAGCTACATTTGTTTAATCCATCATCTCTGAAAAAGAGCCCAACTCATCTTTTGCTTTTTTTTTTGAGACAGAGTCTCACTCTGTCATCCAGGCTGGAGTGCAGTGGCGCGATCTCGGCTCACTGCAAGCTCCGCCTCCCGGGTTTATGCCATTCTTCTGCCTCAGCCTCCCGAGTAGCTGGGACTACAGGTGCCTGCCACCACGCCCAGCTAATTTTTTGTATTTTTAGTAGAGACGGGGTTTCACCATGTTAGCCAGGATGGTCTCGATCTCCTGACCTCGTGATCTGCCCACCTCGGCCTCCCAAAGTGTTGGGATTACAGGTGTGAACCACCGCACCCGGCCTTGCTTCCTCTCTTTGCCCGTTCTCCACAAGGCAACCAGACTGATCCCTATACAAATATAAATAAGACCATGGCACCTTTCTGCTTGAAGTTCTCCAATAGCTTTCCACTGTGCTTTCAGTTCTCTTCTGTGTCTCCATCGTGACCACACAAACCCTTTGTGATCTGGCCCTGCCTGCCTTTCCTCCTCACTCACAGCACACCAGCGCCCCCAGATCAGAAACCTCCTTTCTGACTCCACCTCACAGCCTTTGCACTTACTGGTCCCCTGCCTAGCCACAAGCCACGTATGACTGACTGACTGACTGACTGTCTGTCGTCCGTCCGTCCGTCCGTCCGTCCGTCCGTCCGTCCGTCCATCCGTCCATCCATCCATCCATATATCTATCTTAGAAGGAGTCTCGCTCTGTCGCCCAGGCTGGAGTGCGGTGGCGCAATCTCGGCTCACTGTGCCTTCTGGATTCAAGCGATTCTCACGCCTCAGCCTCCCAAGTAGCTGGAACTGCAGGCTCAAACCACCACACCCGGCTAATATTTTTTGTATTTTTGGTAGAGACAGGGTTTCACTGTTGGCCAGACTGGTCTCAAACTCCCGGCCTCAAGTGATCTTCCTGTCTCAGCCTCTCAAAGTGTTGGGATTACAGGCATGAACCACCGCGCCCAGCCACTTTTTAAGTATGACTACTTAAAAAGCACAGGCTAGAATATTCTTGGCTCAGAACTGTACATTGTTCCTTCTTATCTCCAAGTCTGATCTCAAACACCACTTCCTCATAGAAACTTTCTCTACCACCCGCTAACCTAATATACTAACTCCCCTCCCACAGTTTTTCACATCACCCTGTTTATTTCCTTCACAGCACCTAAACAAGAATTATAGCCTGGGAAGGTCATTTACTTGCTTACTAGCTGTTTCCTGTGTCATAATGTAAGCTGCATAAGGGCAGGAATCTTTTCTGCCTCACCTCCATATTTATAGCCTCACCTCCAAAATGGTGTCTAGCACATAGAAGGCACTTAACAGATATTTGTTGAATAAATCCTTCTTTCCTGAACACCTAGCACACTGCCTGGTGCATAACGAGAAACTGATAAAAGTTGAAAAGAGTCCAACCAGTCCAATCCCTTAATCTGCAGACAAGTAAGGTCATGTTTAGAAGGTTAAGAACCTTATCCATAGCTTCACTGCAAGCTAGCAGTTTCCATCATGGTAACCCTTTTCAAACTCAAACTCCAATGTGCATACAAATCACCTAGGAATTCACCTTGAGATTTTGTTAAAATGCAGGTTCTGATTCAGCTGGTCAGGGCCAGGGCCTGCAATTTTGTATTTCTAACAAGCTTCGCAGTGATGCTGCAGCTGCTGCTGGGTAGAACACAGTTTGAGTTGCAAAGCTGTATGCCATGTTCAACCTGTCAAGTCACCCAGGAATTTAACATAATAACAAAAGATGTTTTTACCTTCATTATGCTTTCAGCCTGTACCAACTCTTGGCAAAAACAAAATGCATAATATTGCTATCCTTTGGGTAAAGGTCTCAAAGTACAGTTGATTTTCATTGTTCTTGGTAGTTCTGTTCTATAAAGTAGCCATGAATGCTGAATTAGTTAATACCTAATTTGTTCCTAGAAGAAATACAGGCTAGGTTCCCGTGAGCCTCTGGTCAAAACATTTTCATCAACTGATCAACATAGAGCCTTGCTTTATATGTGTTTCTGTTTAAAGACACCTTATGTAAAATATATTGTTGATTCATTAACACTGAACTCACAGCTAACAGCAGTATAACTTATGCATGAACGAAGCTTACCTAACACATGTATTTCTCCCATAAGGCACATCATAGCCCGCTTGCACTAAAGGACACTAGACAGCACTACAGCACTGATGCTTGGGGGCCATTTTAAAGAGTGAATTCACCAATAAAAAGCACAAAAATGCAAAAAACACGGCAGTAAATATACTGTGAAAATAACACGGCTTACGGTATGAGAGCTGAAACAAGGCAGCAGAGCATCTCCTTGATCAACCTCACCTGGGTACTGTGCGTGTCTGCAAAAGATCCTGAAAGTGCTGCGACTTTATTGGTAACCTTTTGAGGTTACCAATACATTTTAGTGAATAGGCAAATTCTCAGATACGAATAATGAAGAATGAAGATCAACTATACTTCCTGGCAATATCAAGGGCTGCCCATATCTCACTTTGCAGGATTCAATGTCCAAGTCCATGTTTTCCTTCTTCATACCCTTTTTTAATTAACCAGGGCTGCCGCTAGCCCATAGCATGCCTCTGTGCAAATCAGAAATTCCTCTGTGTAGATGCAGACCCATGTCAGAATGCACTGCTTGATTAGAGGGGCATGGGCCGGATCTGAGCTCGGATCCACTTTCTCAGTCAGATGCCTTTGCACGGGCACAGCCTGCTCCAAACATATGATCAGCCTTATTGATCATATCCCTTCTTGGCCTTCTCTTTTTTTTTTTTCTTTTTTTGAGATGGAGTCTCACTCTGTCACCCAGGCTGGAGTGCAATGGCGTGGTCTCAGCTCACTGCAACCTCTGTCTCCCGGGTTCAAGCAATTCTCCGGCCTCAGCCTCCCAAGTAGCTGGGACTACAGGTGCGTGCCACCATACCTGGCTAATTTTTGTATTTTTAGTAGAAACAGGGTTTCACTATGTTGGCCAGGCTAGTCTCGAACTCTTGACCTTGTGATCCACCTGCCTTGGCCTACCAAAGTGCTGGGATTACAGGCATGAGCCACCGCGCGTGGCCTTTTTTTTCTCTTTTTTGGACAGGATTTCACTGTCACCCAGGCTGGAGTGCAGTAGTGTGATCTCGACTCACTGCAACCTGCGCATCCTGGCTCAAGCAATCCTCCTGCCTCATACCCCAAGTAGCTGTGACTACAGGCCCGAGCTGCCATGCCTGGCTAATGTTTGTATTTTTCGCATAGACACGGTTTCACCATGTTGCCCAGGCTGGCCTTGAACTCCTGAGGTCAAGCAATCAGCCCGCCTTGGCCTCCCAAAGTGCTGGGATTACAGGCATGAGTCACCACACCCGGCTGGCCTTTTCTTTAAAGCTTTTCAGCTGTAACGTCTGAGTCTTTTAAATCTCTCCTCATATGGGGGAGTTGGTCCAGAGATGGAGAGCCAGAATAAGACCAAAGTTAAAGTATGAGAAATAGTGTAGTGGTGTCCTGAGATGGACAGCCTGAGAGGAATGGGGAAGGGGCAGAGAGTGGCCTGGCAGTGGCTCTGACCTGAAGCTGATAGGCCAGGTCAGCCTGTGCTCGGCGGGTGTTGACCTCGATGTCATAGGCGGCCTTCTTCAGTTCGTAATCTCTCTGTGCCTTGGCCATCTCGATCTCACTCAGGTACTGAGCAGACACCTTTTCCTGCTTGGCTTTAGCTTCCTGTCCAAGCAGAGATCAGGTAGGAAATGTCAGGGCAGGGGGAGAAAGGCCACGGTGACAGCCTGCTTCCCACCAAGGTTCTCTTTCTGCCTCATGTATTTTCCCTGCTCACCCAGCACCCCTGCTTCTTCTCAGTTGTGCCACTTCTATCCCCTTTCCCACTAAGCAACCCCCATCTCTCTCACCCGGATCCCAGCATCTCTCTTGGCCTCTGCTTCTCCAATCCGTGCATCTTTTTGGACTTGAGCTGTTCGAGCCTTCCCCAAAGAGTGCAAATAGTCCTGTGGGAGAGATGTAGAAATTAGTCCTTTGGAGGGCTTAAGAGATGGGAGCAAGGAAGTGGGGAAGGATCAATTGCCTAGTTTTACCTGGTCATCGTGAATGTCCTTCAGAGTGTAGCTAACCACACTGATGCCCATGTTGACCAGGTCTGAGGAGGCCACTTTGAAAACCTGTTCTGAGAATTTCTGCCTGTCCTTATAGATCTCCTGTGATAACAGGATGGTGGGGAGAAGGGATGTAAGTTTTTTTTTTTTTTTTTTTTTTGCTCACTGCAACCTCTGCCTCCTGGGTTCAAGTGATTCTCCTGCCTCAGCCTCCCAAGTAGCTGGGATTACCGACACCCATCACCATACCCAGCTAATTTTTGTATTTGTAGTAGAGAAGGGGTTTCACCAGGTTGGCTAGGCTGGTCTCGAACTCCTGACCTCAAGTGATCTGCCCACCTTGGCATCCCAAAGTGCTGGGATTACAGGCATGAACCACCCTGCCCGGCCGGGATGTATGCTCTTGGATCCACTGTCTCTCACAGACTAGTGTGGGCCTTGGGCCCCCCTCATTTTGACATCCTTCCAGATGGTTCCCTGCCCCTAGGCCAACCTCCACAGTCATGTGGGCCATGATGGCCCTCTGGTGGCCCTCTAACGTCTCCAGGGCAATGTGGGCAATCTCAGCCTCCGTCTTCCCCAGGAACATCTGACAGGCGGCCGCCAACATCTCCTTGTTCTGCCCCTGGATTTTTACCTGTAGCCAGAGTAGGGGTAGGAAAGGTGTGGTGGGGGTCTCATGAAGTCAGAGAAAAAGCAGAGAGAGAAGGGAGAGCCCTCTAAGAAATGCTTCTTCCATTTCAGGGAAAGAAAGGAGGAGGAGGCAAGTGCCTTGGGGTGCCTGGAAAAGATGAGACTAGCAGAGGAACTTCTCTGCAGGCAAGGGTTGAGAAGACTGTGGCCAGAAGATGTCTTAATGTCTGGGAGAGAGGGTGATGGGGAAGTGGACTGTGGGGAAAAGGCTCTGAAAGCTTCACCTGGGCAATGCCAGTGACTGAGATGGGGACCCCATGGCGAGTGTAAACCTTTTCACTCTTGACATTGAGGGTCAGTGTGTTGAGAGAGATCCTAGGGGAAAAAGAAGGGACAGACAGTAAGAAGAGGAGGAAAAAGAGAAAACGGAGGTCCCCCTTCCCTGGTTCCCTTCTTGCCTACCTCTGGATCTGTTGGATGCAGGGCAGGACAAAGACACGCCCTCCAGCCACCATGACTGGGGGGCTTCGGCAGAACCCTGCAAGGTGTGGGGCAGTGAGGAACGGTGGCAGAGCTTGAATGTGGAAGACTGAGGAACTGGCGGGGGTGAGGGGACAGCAACCCACAGGAGAGAATCTGGGAGCTGGAGGGGAAGCAGTCTGGGCCTTGGAATGGTGGGAATCAAACTGGGCAGTTCGTGGCCATCAAGGGGCAGAAGTCTGGTGCTGGGAAGTTGGTAGGGAGAGGGAGAAGGGGCAGAGGCCAGACTCACAGGGGTTCTGGGGTCACTGGCTGGGAAGGGAACAACAGTACTTACCGGAGACCACCATGGCCTCATTTGGGCCACAAGTGAAAAACATGGTTCAGGCTGGAGCTGGAGGAGAGGGAGGGAAAGCCTTTGCGGATGGGGAAGGCGCGCTGTGGCGTCCACAGGGGCCCATCCTTTCCCTTTCCCGTCAGGCCCTCCCAGTCTGCATCCGCCACGGCCCGTCCCTTCTACACCCATGGGTCCGCTAAGGCTTTTCCCTACAAAATCCTTAAGATCCCCAGCTACCTCTTCTCCGCCTGCGTATGGTCCCTCCCTTCCCCTCGCCGCTCCCTTTGATAAAGGTCCCCCGCGCCCAGAGGCCTGCAGACCTTTCCCCTCTCTCCCTGCTTCTCGGCAGCCCCAGGCTCCATCTCCCCTCCCCCACTCACCTTCCGGGACGCGGGCGGCAGCCCGGCTGGGGTCTCGGGAAGGGCGGGGTCGCGCAGGGACCTGGGAGCCGGGCAGGGGCCGCTCGCAGACCAGCTTTCCTGGGAGCTGGCCCCGCTCCCGCGTTCCCCACCCTGCCGCACCCCGTTGCTGCGGCAGACGCGACCCCGCCCCCCGCAACGGACTAAGCACCCCCACTTCGCCCCGCCTCGGCCCAGTGCGCTCGGCCCGCCCCTTTCCCGGCAGGCCCCGCTAGAGTCCGCAGCCCGCCCGCCCGCTGGCTCTCGGGCCCAGCCGGGCTGCCTGGTTAGCCCGGGGAGGGCCACATCCCTGCCGCCCCAGTCACCGCCCTTCTTGAGCCGGGAATCCCGCCCACGCCGCGCCACGCTCCGCCCCCGGGTGAGGGACTTGACCTCCGCCTGGCACCCTGGCGTAAGGGTGATTGCCACATCTCGGATTCGCCGCGGGGCAACTACCTGGGAAAACCGCAGACTGGGCAATGAAAGACTACATCCGGCAACCGGATGCTGGGTTCTGTGACTCCAGGAAAAGGGGCTCCTGGGCCCAGGGAGGTGCGCGGGCTGGGGACTCGGCCACGGCGCCTCCCGCCGGTCCTTGCCATCTGAAGGCCGGGAGGAGTGGGGAGTCGGCGCTTGCAAAGATACACTCAAGACTGCAGACAGTAAATCAATTTTATTTGTGTTCACAGAACATACTAGGCGATCTCGACAGTCGCTCCGTGACAGCCCACCAACCCCCAACCCTCTACCTCGCAGCCACCCTAAAGGCGACTTCAAGAAGATGGAAGGATCTCACGGATCTCATTCCTAATGGTCCGCCGAAGTCTCACACAGTAGACAGACGGAGTTGAGATGCTGGAGGATGCAGTCACCTCCTAAACTTACGACCCACCACCAGACTTCATCCCAGCCGGGACGTCCTCCCCCACCCGAGTCCTCCCCATTTCTTCTCCTACTTTGCCGCAGTTCCAGGTGTCCTGCTTCCACCAGTCCCACAAAGCTCAATAAATACCAAGAGACCTGCATTTACAGCAGGGGGAACATCTCACACCCTTGCATAAGTTAAAATAAATATTACGTACACATCTCCATCACCTAGGAGGACGTACATAAATACATATAAATATTAATTAGGAGCAATAAGAAATAAATTAACGACGCTCTCCTTCCCACCGGGCCTAGCCCCAGCTGGGCTGTGCCTCGGTCTCTATGCGCCTCGGTCTCTGTGCGCCTCGGTCCCGCCTCAAGCACCGGGTGGCGTCTCCGCTGTAGTGTTCTGAGTTCAAGTTGCCTCGGAAGTCCCAGTTGGGGATACGCTCTCGCGCACCAGGTACGCCTGGTGTTTCTTTGTGGTTTTTCGGATTCTTTTTGGGGAGTGCGGGGAGTCACAGTTAGAAGGCGGCCGGGTGTTGCTGGAGGAAAGTGCTGAGGTCCAGAGCGTAGTCCGAGGGCTCCGAAGTCAGATTAAAGGGCTCGAGGACGGCGGACACAGGGGTGGGCGCCAGGGATGCGGCGTTAGGGGCGTCCTCTGGAGGCAGGGGCGCCGGCACACCCTCTTCAGCCATCAGGATCTGGCAGAAGACGATGGTGAGCAGCAGAAAGAGAAGCCTTTTGGCTGGGTTCGGTTCCTCGACTGGCAGCTGGCGCCGGACCTAAGGGGAGACAAAACAGGAGACAGGTCAGGTCGAGGCCTCTGGAGTCGGGTCGTTCCCCAGTGACTCCAGGGCAGCGCACCCCGCGAATGCCCACTTCGGCGATACTCACCACTCGAGGGTAGAGAACCCTGCGGCTGCGCTTTCGGTGCCCGCGAGAGGCGCTGGGGCGCCCGGCAGGGGCCGCTGCGGGCTCCGGGAGAGGGTCGAAGGTGAAGATCTCAGGACCGGAGCCCCGCCGGGGTCCCGGGATGGTGGAGGGGGCCGGGGTCGGGGCCTGCAGGATGGTCATGGTCGGGTGGCAGCTGCGAGAGTGACACATGGTGAGCCGAGCGGAGTGTAAGGCCAAGTGAGGGTCGGCTGCCGGCAGAGGTAATTTATGTGCTCCTGAAAATTGGGCGGGTCCTTCTAACTCCTCCTCCCGCAGCTGGGGAGCGGTTGGCAGCAGCGGGCTGGAAATTCCGACGATTAAACAAAGGGAGTGGGTGGAGACTTGACATGCACAATCCTAGGCGCCCAACTGCACGTTGTGAGTGTGTGAGTCGTGAGTGGGGGTGGGTGAGATCCCGGGCTGCAGGCACATGTCGAGGCATGTGGCACCTGGAGAGGGGCTCACTTTAGCCACAGGATCCCTCACAGGCCTTTTTTTTTTTTTTTTTTTGGAGATGGAGCAGTCTCGTTCGGTCGCCAGGCTGGAATGCAGAGGCGCGATCTCGGCTCACTGCAACCCCTGACTCCCTGGTTCAAGCGATTTTCCTGCCTCAGCTTCCTGAGTAGCTGGGAATACAGGCACGCGCCACCACGCCCAGCTAATTTTTGTATTTTTAGTAGAGACGGGGTTTCACCCTGTTGGCCAGGGTGGTCTCGATTTCCTGACCTCGTGATCTGCCTCGCTCCCTCCGTCCTTCTTCTAGTAGTCTCAAGTTGCTATTGTTGCCATCTTTACGTCCACGAGTTCCCAATGTTTGGTTCCCACTTATAAGTGAGAATGTATGGTATTTGGTTTGCCCGCCTCGGCCTCCCAAAGTGCTGGGATTACAGGCGTGAGCCACCGTGCCCTGCCAAGAGGGCTTTTTATTGGAGATCAGGCCATCCTGCTGCAATACTGACCCAGTTATATGCACGCATTCATGCACTTGTAGGTATCCTTAGAATATAAACTCCCCAAGAAGGAAATTGTTACAGAAATAGTCAAGATTAAGGGAGAAATGAACACACTAGCACACACAGACACAAACCTGCCTGCCTGAGCACACATGAAGACACACACCGCGTAGCCATACAAAAGAACAAAATTATGTGCTTTGCAGCAACATGGATGCGGCTGGTGGCCATTATCCTAAGCGGATTAACTCAGGAACAGAAAACCAAATACCACACATTCTCACTTATAAGTGGGAACCAAACATTGGGAACTCATGGACATAAAGATGGCAACAATAGCAACTTGAGACCAGTAGAAGAAGGACGGAGGGAGTAAGGCAAAGGTTGAAACACTAACTATTGGGTACTATGCTCAGTACCTGGGTGACAGGATCATTCATACCCCAAACCTCAGCATCATGCAGTATACCTAGGTAACAAACCTGCACATATACCCCAGAATTTAAAATAAAAGTTGGGGAGGGAGGGAAGGATAGAAAGATTAAAAAAGTAATACACAATGGTGGGGCATGGTGGCTCTTGCCTGTAATCCTAGCATTTTGGGGGGCTAAGGTGGGAGGATCACTTGAGCTCAGGAGCCTGGGCAACATAGTGAGACCTTGTCACTATAAAATAACAACAACAACAACAACAATACACAATTAAATATTATTCAGCCATAAAAAGAATGCAATCCTGGAAAAAAAGGAAAACATACCACGTACACCTACCAACACACATGTACACAGTAAAGGTGCAAAGACTGTATAGGGACAGTTCAGCAAAACTACTCTCTTAGGAGCGTGCAGAAATATTCACATAAAGGCTGGTGCAGAGGGCCACAAATACAAAGGCAATAGGTTAGCAGCCACCCAGATTTGCCCCTTGCTGTAAGTCAAACAACCAAATTTATGGGACAAACATTCTAAATTGTGAGACATTATACAAATGTTACAGTAATGGTAATTACTCAACTTAAAGCAGATTCACATTTCCATAACTTCCTTACAGACAGCTGCTCATGGACACAGAATTTAACTTTTTTTTTTTGTTTTGAGACAGGATCTGGCTTTGTCGCCCAGGTTGAAGTGCAGTGGCATGATCTCGGCTGACTGCAACCTCTGCCTCTTGGCTCAAGCCATACTCCTACCTCAGCCTCCTGAGTAGCTGGGACCACAGGTGAGCACCACCATGCCTGGCTAATATATATATATATATATATATATATATATATATATATATATATATATATATAAAATTTTTTGTAGAGCCAGGGTTTTGCCATGTTGCCCAGGCTGGTCTTGAACTCCTGAGCTCAACCAATCTGCCTGCCTCGGCCTCCCAAAGTGCTGGCAGCCACCGTGCAGAATTTAACATCTTTTGAGCATTCACCTGTTTCAGGCGCCCTCTGTTGAGGGTACTACTGTTGAGAGTCCTGAGGCTAGTTTCAGTATAAGTGCTGTGCCATGCAGCTGCCTGAGGAAAGCCAGATAAAGCTGATACTCCAGCCATGAGGGCCTTACCCTCCGGCATGAGGAGGGAACCATGGCCAGGAGAGCTCTCTATCTGTCTGTCTCTGTTGCTCTCTCTCTCTCTCTTTTTTTGTTATATTGAGTTTCTGCCTGAAGGAAAGGCAAGCTTTCTTGAAGATCCTAAGAAAGGCCAGGCACGGTGGTTCACACCTGTAATCCCAACACTTTGGCAGGCCGAGGCGGGTGGATCATTTGAGGTCAGGAGTTCGAGACCAGCCTGGTCAACATGGTGAAACCCTGTTTCTACTAAAAATACAAAAATTAGCCAAGCATGGTGGCGCATGTCTGTAATCCCAGCTACTCGGGAGGCTGAGGCAGGAGAATCGCTTGAACTCAGGAGGCAGAGGTTGCAGCAAGCTGAGAGCGTGCCACTGCACTCCAGCCTGGGTGACAGAGTGAGACCCTGTCTCAAAAAAACAAGAACAAAACAAAAAACAAAAACAAAAACAAAAAAACCTAAGAAAACTGAAGACTAAGTGTTAAGGGGGGGACCCAAAAGAGCTAGTGTTCACATCTGTCCAATCAATCAGGGGAGGCTTCATGGAAGAGTGGCACTGAAGGTGACCTTGAACAGTGGGTGGGATATGACAAATTCAGATGTGGAGGATGACTGTAAGAATGGAATTAGCAAAGACCTTGAGCTGGAAAAGTACAGGATGTGTTTGGGGAATCACAAGAAAAACAATCTCAGAGTAAGTTTCCTGTAACGGAGTAGTGGGAAGTAATAATGGCTGGAAAGGAGTGGAATTGGGCAGAGTGGGGAGAGCAGAGCTGCCAGGTCAGGAGCCTGGGTTTCACTCTAGACTGTAGAGCTTGTGGGTTGCTGGATGAGATAAAGGGAGGAAAATTCAAGCAGGAAACTGATTGGGATGAGGAGTGATGCTCTGGACGGGTAGAGACTAAGGCAGTAGACAGGAGGCTATTGGAGGGGCTCAGGTAGATGATAACAAGAGCCTGAGAAGGTGGCCCTAAGAGACATTCCTAGCATAAGATAATCAGAATTGGGCAATGAGATGGATATCATTAGGGGAAGGGAGCATGGGAGAGGGAGAGTTGCCGACAGCAAGAGGATGAAAAGATCTGAGATGACTCCAGAGATTTGAAATACATCTGGCTCAGATCTTTCTACCATCATTTTAAGCCTGGTGCACAAAGTGAATACATATATGATCTCTTCCACTGGAGGCTGTGTCATACACATCTTTGTGTCCTCCAGAGAACCCAGCATGGTACCTTGTAGGCAGCAGTTGCTCAATAATCTTGTTAAATGCCAGGTGAAATGTACAACTGTAAGTGTGCATGTAGTATTCCCACCTTGGCTGGGTCACACCAAGCTTCTGAGATGTGGCTACACTCCTCCAAACCACTCATACAAATGTACAACATCTTTAGAAAAGCTGGGACAATTCTTACACAGACACCAAACAGGAAACACTTTTCTCCCCTCCCACTTAGGAAACACTTAAAAGGATTTTTCAATCAAGAACATGTAGGAACACAAATAAGAGGACAGGCCACAACCGGCTAGAAATACACTACTGCTCTGTGTACAATTCCTGGGCCTACAAGTCACTTTATTTTATACTCACTACTCTTATCTAAATACACAAGATCCCTTCCACATTACACACTTCTTCCTGGCTGGCATAAAACACACCTCCTCTGTAAACAAAGGCGCATTGCTTTCCCACGCCTGTCTTCACACCTGCCATCATTCTTACATTTACACCCAAGCACAGGGAGCCCACCACCCCCAACATCCTTATTCCAAGGCAACTCGCACGCTACACAATGACCAACATAAACCCATGACTACTTACACATGTGGACAGACCCTCACACTCACATAAACATAAATTGGGAGTAGGGGGAGATAGTGATGATGGAAGAAAACTAGTGGGTGGGAGAGAGAGAGAAGCACCAAAGGTTAGGAATGCATTACTTGTTTATGATGGAAAATTTCTCTAGGGCATTAGGCAGAGGAGGGGAAATGAAGGGGATGCCAGGATCTTGTTTTGCCACTACCTCCCACATCTGGAATCTGGGCCTCCAGCTGGGTCTAGTTATCCTCGCTGTCCTCCCGGCACAGAGAGACCTTTCTTTGTGGCAAGACCAGAATGGGACAAAGAGAAGACCTGAGAACCCGGACTGCTCACCATTCCCAACCAATCCCATCCCCATTCCTGCTACCCTCAGAGCCCTAGGGCTCTGCTCCTGCTCCTTCCTGCCACACAGGAAGCTAGGGAAATGTTGGGGGTGAATCATTAAGCCAATAAGGGGGTGGGGGAGTGCAGGCTGGGGAATGAGTTAAGGCCAGAAAGTGCCAGGGGCTGAGACGAGCAACTGGACTGGCTCCCACTGCCCTGATACTGGAGAAACAGGCCCTTAGCCTCCTCCATTTCCAGCTCTCCTCCTCATTTCCTTCCCATCTTCCCCCAGATCACCATGTTCCTTCATTTCCCTCGTTTGACCTTTGCCTTGATCCATCACCACTGCTAGCCTCCTTCTCAGCCCCTTGTTTTTCTTCATGACACATATCACGTTGGGGAATCATTTTATGTATTTGCTTTTTGCTGTTGTTTGTCCCGCCTACTGGAATATAATCTCCACGAGTGTACAGGGCCACATCTGACCTTTTTCTCATTAGATCTCTGTAGTATCTCCAGTACTTGGCTGTCACCTAGTAGGAACTTAATAAATATTCTTAAATCTGTCTCCTCCGAGGAGCTAAACCTCATCTGCAGAGAGGTCTGTTTATCTAGCCATGTTCCTTTAGAGGCCCCCATGTTTGCTCTTCAAAGAGGAGGTTGGGGGCACTCAGGTGTGGCTCAGGTGATCCGCCGCTGAATCAGGAACAATTGTGCAGTGACGACAGCGACAGCAAAGCCCTGGCCCGCGCCCTTTACAATCCCTGACATAGGAGTGAGTCAGGCCTGCTGCCTCACCTGGGTACTGCTGCACTGCTGACCACAGGCCCAGAACGGGGGACGGCAAGAATGGGCACTGGCGGAGGCAGAATGGGCAGGGGAAAGGGAGGCAGAGATTTGGAAATGGGAGCATCTGAGAAAGGAAAGCAGGGTGAAGGGACTGCACCAGGGTCCTGGGGGTAGGGAATGACAAAGTGAAAGCTTTTTAGCTGCACCTGGTATTCAGTAGATCCTCAATAACTACTTGGTGACTTGAGATGGGTTTGAGATAGAAAGGAAACACGGAATAGCAAAAAGAACATATTGTAATCTAGTGGTGTTAGACGAAATTGGGTTTAAGTGCCAGCTCTGCTACTTATTAACTAGGCAATATTGGGCCAGTTACTTAATGTTGCTGAAAATCTGTTTCCTCAATTGATAAATGGGCAAATTGACCTCTAGGTAACTGCAAAGGTTAAGAATATAAATTTACTCCTTCTGGGCACATAGTAGGTGCTTCTTGCATGGAGCAGGGGCATTATTATAATTATGAGAAGAGGGACTGCTTTGGAACAGGGATGGGCAGCAGTGAGCCAACCCAGGAGTAGGGAACTGGAATGAGAAAATAACCTCTAACTGCTAACATCACCAGGAGATACAAGTTCTTTCTCTTTTTACTCTGCCCTCCCTCCCTCTCCATATCAGGCAGGTTTTGTGGCTCTTTATTTTCCAGAGAAGCAAAGACTTCTGCATTCCTAGTTCCTGTTCAACTAATGTGAGTGATTTTATTTTTTTATGTATGTATTTATTTATTTTTTGAGACAAGATCTCACTCTCTCACCCAGGCTGGAGTGCAGTGGCATAAACATGGCTCACTGCAACCTCAACCTCCTGGGCTCAAGTGATCCTCCCACCTCAGCCTCTTGAGTAGCTGGGACTCCAGGAACGTGCCACCATGCCCAGCTAATTTTTATTTATTTTGGTAGAGACAGGGTCTTGCCATGTTGCCCAGGCAGGTCTCAAAATTCTGGGCTCAAGCGATCCTCCCGCCTCAACCTCCCAAAGTGTTGGGATTACAGGCGTGAGCCACAAAGTCTGGCCTTTATTTATTTAAAAAATTTAGTTTGGCTGGGCGTGGTGGCTCACGCCCATAATCCCAGCACTTTGGGAGGTTGAGGTGGGTGGATCACGAGGTCAGGAGTTCGAGACCAGCCTGGCCAACATGGCAAAACCCCGTCTCTACCAAAAATACAAAAATTAGCTGGGCGTGGTGGCGTGTGCCTGTAATCCCAGCTACTCGGGAGGCTGAAGCAGGAGAATTGCCTGAACCAGGGAGGCAGAGGTTGCAGTGAGCTGAGATTGCACCACTGCACTCCAGCCTGGGCGACGAGAGTGAAACTCCGTCTTAAAAAAAAAGAAAGTCTTACTCTGTCGTCCAGGCTGGAGTGCAGTGGCACAATCTCGGCTCACTGCAACCTCTGCCTCCCGGGTTCAGGCGATTCTCCTGCTTCAGCCTCCCGAGTAGCGCATGCCACCATGCCCGGCTAATTTTTGTATTTTTGGTAGAGATAAGGTTTCACCATGTTGGCCAGGCTGGTCTGGAAAACTCCTGACCTCACGTGATCCGCCCCCTCGGCCTCCCAAAGTGCTGGGATTACGGGCGTGAGCCACCACACCCAGCAAAAAAAAAAATTTGTTTTTACTCACCACTATACTGACAAGGAACAGGTGATTTTAAACATCCCCTCCCACCTACATTTTAGCTGGAACAATTCTCCAGAGGCATGGGGGTAGAGTGGGGTGGTGAGTTCTAGGCAGCAAGTTAACAAATGACCCCTAAAGATATTCATCTAGGCTCTAGGAGGCCCAAAATCAGGCCCTGGCAGTTCCCCTGACGCAAAACCATGGCAAGAGTTCCGGGAGCACCAAGGCAAGGTCACAAAAGTGGCACGATGACCCTACCCTGGGATGCAGCTCAGCCTGACCCAGCCCAACTCAACCCAGCTACCCTGGAGGCTGCTATGAGCTGAGCCGGGAGCTGGGAAAGGGCCCAGCATTCCTGTCCTTCTGCCAAAGCCGGCTTCTTAGGACCCCAGTGTTGTGGCTCCTCCTTTGGTCTTGGTTTCTTTCCCACCAGATTATAACTCCACCAGAGTAGGACTTTATCTATCTTGTGTACTGCTCTATTTTCAGTGCCTAGAACTGTGCCTGTCAATCAATACAGGCTGCTGAAAAGGCTAGAAATACAGGATCGTTGATGTCATTACTGTTACAGTGCTGTTCCCGTGGGAAGCAGCCTGCATCTCTCTGTAGACAGCTCCAATGTCAGCCATTGGAGAATTTGATGGAGATTGAAGTCAAAACATAATCATAGGGGAAAAATGCACAACAAATAAAATATTTCCCCTTTTGTCCAGACTTTTCAGACACCCCGTATTTACTGGATGAGTTGATCTACAAAGTGAAAGGCATAAATTAAAGGCTCTCTAATGTTTCTCCTCCTCTGAAACCCCATGATTCAGCAGCGTCTCCCATGTGTGCTCAAAAGTTGGACGTGCCTCCAGCCTACCCTCCAAAGCAGTTGCCATAGGCTCTTTTCTTCCAAGGTTGGGAGGGACAGTTCATTCCCCAAGAGGCCTCTCCAGGGGCGGAGGCGGGTGCTGGGGCTGGCCTGTCTGCAGCTCCCTGGCCCTACCCAGTGGGGATCGCGTGTCAGTACTGGGGTTTGGTGGGCTGCCAAGGGGTGAGCCCTGAGGCGGTTTTCTGGGAAGGATAGATGCCATGTGTGACTCAGAACCAAGTTAGGGAAAAAACAAGCTCACTCAATCTCTAGCACCCTCTGCCTGGCCTGGCTTTGCCCATGAGCTCATAAAAGAGGAAGCTGGGCCGGCCAGACAGTAGCTCTGCTTTCCCTCATGTTTTCTCTCCACGTCTCACGGATTCCCTAGAGTGTCTGGGCCTCAGGCCACCGTCATCCTAGCTCCTGGGCCCTGGCTCTTTTATGACACTTTCCCTTCCCAGACACTTGGTCATTTCTTTCCCCAGGTTGGGAATCCCACCTACCATAGAAGGGGAATTGCACACAAGGGGAGGTTGCAAATCTCTGTGTTCCTTGGCCCTGCTGAGGCCTCCACTGTCAGCCATGACCATTTGGGTTTGTGCGTGTGACTGCTGTGTCTCTGACACAGACCAAGTGGTGCTGACCCTGGGAGCCTGAATTAATAGATTTCTTGAGAGCTGAGATTCTCTGGTTCAGGAAAGAAAAAGGGGGTACCAAATGACTGGGCAGCCGAGCCACCCTCAGGGCTGCAATATTCCAGTTGGGACCAACTTACCTAGTACTTTTGGCATTCAGAACAGTTCACTACCAAAAAGGCACATTTTATTTTAGTGAAAATGGGACAATCATGGGCCATAAAGAACCTTCCTAACTATTGTTCCTCCGGTTCACCTCCTATACCCCCCAGGGCTTTCTTGTTCAAAGACAGACTTGACCATGTCCATGCCTGCTTCAGTAAGTTCAGTGGCTCCAAACTCTCTGAGTTCCCAACCCAAATCCAGGCACCTTGCAGGCTTTCTCTTTCAACACCCCCATTGCTTCTTGATGTTGTGCATCTCTAATTTTGTCCTTTTTCTCACACATGCCAAACTCTTACCCATTGGACCCTATAACCGTTCTATTTCTTTTCCTTTTTCCTCCCTATTCTCCTGGGAAAAAACCACTCCTGAACCTGCCATCCAGAATTAGTTCATCTACATTGTATACAAATCTCTCAAAGCATCACACACACGATATTATAGTCATTTGTCTATCTTTTTGATTGCCAGGAGAGGCACGTGCCATTGAGATGCAGCCGTCTTAATACTGGTAACCTCTTGACAAGGCCTAAAATTATTATTAAATTGTCACCATTAAAAAAAAAATCAGTGGCCAGGCACGGTGTCTCATTCCTGTAATCCCAGCACTTTGGGAGGCCGAGGTGGGCAAATCACCTGAGGTCAGGAGTTCGAGACCAGCCTGGCCAACATGGTGAAACCCCGTCTCTACTAAAAATACAAAAATTAGCCTGGCGTGGTGGCAGGCGCCTGTAATCCCAGCTACTTGGAAGGCTAAGGCAGGAGAATCGCTTGAACCCGGGAGGCAGAGGTTGCAGTGAGCCGAGATCACGCTATCGCACTCCAGCCTGGGGGACAAGAGCAAGACTTCTCAAAAAAAAAAAAAATCAGTAAGAAATGTATAAACCAGATATTCTCAACCTATCCCTGTGGGTTGAACTCATCCTATCTCTGACCCTGAGCCTTTCACATAAAATTTGGTAGTATTTGGTGATACTGCATTTTGTTTTAAAAAGTCAGGTAGATTGAAGTATAATTTAAATACAGTAAAATTCATCCTTCTTAGGAGTAGTTTTTGATGAGTTTTGATAAATGCATATAGTTTGTGTAAAGGCCTCCACCATGATGATATAGAGTTTTCCATCACCCCCAAAAGTTCCCTGCATCCCTTTGTAGTCAGTCCTGTCCCCATCCCCTATAGCAACCACTGATCAGACTTCTAACCTTACAGTTTTGCCTGTTCTAGAATGTCATATAGATGAAACTACAGGCTGGGCAAGGTGGCTCATGCCTGTAATCCCAGCACTTTGGGAGGCCGAGGCGGGAGGATCATCTGAGGTCAGGAGTTCAAGACCAGCCTGACCAACATGGTGAAACCCCGTCTCTACTAAAAATTAGCCAGGTGTGGTGGCAGGTGGCTATAATCCCAGCTACTTGGGAGGTTGAGGCAGGAGAATCACTTGACCCCAGGAGGCAGAGGTTGCAGTGAGCTGAGATCACGCCATTTCACTTCAGCCTGGGCAACAAGAGCAAAACTCCGTCTCAAAAAAAAAAAGAAAGAAAGAAAGAACGAAACTACAGTAGACACTCTTTTGTGTCCAGATTCTTTTGCTCAGTATAATATTTTTGTGATTCATCCATGTCATGGCATGATTCAGTAGTTCTTTCCTTTTGACTTCTGCATAGCATTCCATTGTATAAATATATGACAGTTGGCTTATTAATTCACCATTGATGGACATTGTGGTTTTTTTCTTATTTTTGGAAATGATGAATAAAGCTACTATGAACATTCATAGACAACTCTTTTTTAAGACATGTATTCTTATTTCTCTTGAGCAGATGTCTAGGAGTAGTATAACTAGGTGCATGTTTAGCTTAGTAAGAAATCGCTGCTGTGCCCAGTGGCTCACACCTGTGATCCCAGCACTTGCACCACGACGCCCAGCTAATTTTTGTATTTTTAGTAGAGACAGGTTTCACCATGTTGATCAGGCTGGTCTCAAACTCCTGACCTCAAGTGATCAGCCCACCTTGGTCTCCCAAAGTGCTGGGATTACAGGTGTGTGCCACCATGCCCAGCCTAAAGGCAGAAGGATTTCTTGAGCCCAGGAGTTTGAGATCAGCCTGGGCAGCATGGAGAGACCTCGTCTCTACAAAATTAAAAAATTAGCCAGGTGTTGTGGTGCGCGCCTGTGGTCCCAGCTACTCTGGGAGGCTCAGGTCGAAGGATCACTTGAATCCAGGGGTCGAGGCTGTGGTAAGTCACATTCACACCACTGCACTCCAGCCTGGGAGACAGAGCGAGACCCCATTCTAAAAAAAGAAAAAATAAGGGCTGGGCTCGGTGGCTCATGCCTGTAATCCCAGCACTTTGGGAAGCTGAGGCGGGCAGTTCATGAGGTCAGAAGATCGAGACCAGCCTGGCTAACATGGTGAAACCCCGTTTCTACTAAAAATTCAAAAATTAGCTGAGCGTGGTGGTGCGTGCCTGTAATCCCAGCTACTCAGGAGGCTGAGCCAGGAGAATCGCTTGAACCAGGGAGTCGGAGATTGCACAGTGAGCCAAGATTGCACCACTGCACTCCAGCCTGGCGAGACTCCGTCTCAAAAAAAAAAAAAAGAAAAAAAAGAATTTGCTATGCTATTTTCCAAAGTGGTTCATACTGACAGAACTGTTTTAAGGAAGCTGCATCAAAATGTTCCTCTTGTAAATTCTTGCTTAAAATATGCCAAAACTAAGTGTTTTTTTTGTTATAGAACAGGTTGCCACTCAGATTACCTCAAGGGACAGAGATGGGCTGGAATAGAGCCACCTCAGTGGCCAGTAACCTGCCCCTTGAAGAACCAGCATGTCTTCCAGAAGCCACAGTGGCTTCCAGTGCCCAGCGGCAGCCCCAGGAGCACACCCTGCCTCCCTGCCCAGACTCCTTGTGGCTCAGCATCTCTGTCTGCAGTGACTGGCTCTGCCCAGGTCTTGTGGGGTAGTGTGAAGTGACACTAGCCCACACACCTGAGCATGTATGATGCCTCAGAGGCACTGTGTGTTTTTTTTTGTTTGTTTGTTTGTTTGAGATGGAGTCTTGCTCTGTCTGTAGCCCAGGCTGGAGTGCAGTGGCGCGATCTTGGCTCACTGCAAGCTCCAACTCCCGGGTTCATGCCATTCTCTCCCTCAGTCTCCCGAGTAGCTGGGACTACAGGCGCTCACCACCACTCCTGGCTAATTTTTCGTATTTTTAGTAGAGATGGGGTTTCCCCGTGTTAGCCAAGATGGTCTCGATCTCCTGATCTCGTGATCTGCCCACCTCGGCCTCCCAAAGTGCTAGGATTACAGGCGTGAGCCACCACGCCCGGCATAGGCACTGTTTTAAGAGCTATACTCAAATCAATTCATTAAGCCTTCATAACCCCAACTGTTATTTTATCTATACACCCATTTTACAGATGAGAAAAATGAGGTTCAATGAGGCAATTCACTTTCTTAAGGTTGTGTAACCAAGAAGTAATGGGAGTTAGATGTGAACCTAGGTCTATTTCATTCCAAAGCCTAGTGGCATACCTATTTGTCAGAGCATAGATGCTAGAGCCCATCTACCTGGGTTCAACTCCATGTTTGTTTGTTTGTTTTTTGTTTTTGATTTTGAGATGGAGTCTCACTATGTTGCCCAGGCTGGAGTGCAATGGCATGGTCTTGGCTCACTGCAACCTTTGCCTCCCAGGTTCAAGCAATTCTCCTGCCTCAGCCTCCTGATTAGCTGGGATTACAGGCATGTGCCACCATACCTGGCTAATTTTTGTTTTTTTAGTACAGATGGGGTTTCACTATGTTGGCCAGACTGGTCTTGAACTCCTGACCTCGTGATCTGCCTGCCTCGGCCTCCCAAAGTGCTGGGATTACAGGCATGAGCCACCATGCCTGGCTTGTTTGTTTTTAGAGTCAAGATCTTCCACTACAGCTCAGGCTGTAGTGCAGTGGCGCCATCATAGCTCACTATAGCCCCAAACTCCTGGGCTCAAGCAATCCTGCCACTTCAGCTTCCTGAGTTTCTAGGACTACAGGCGTGTGCCACCATGCCCAACTAATTAAAAAAAATTTTTTTTTTTTTTTGGTAGAGATAGGGTCTCACTTTGTTGCCCAGGCTGGTCTCAAACTCTTGGCTTCAAATGATCTTCCTGCCTCAGCCTCCCAAAATGGTGGGATTACAGGTATGAAACACCATGCCTGGACAACTGTATGTTTTAATTCACTTAATTTTCATGGTACACCTCTGAGAGGAGGGCATGACAACACTCATTATACAGGTGCAGTGACAGCACAGAACTCTGTGAAGCAGGGGAATGACAGAGTTGAGTTTGGCATCCAGGAAGTTTGTCTCCAGAGACAAAGCTATTGACCTCAACACCTTCCTGCCTCTCAACAATCCTCATTATTAATGTTATTATTCAACCCACTGACCTAGCTCTTTTTGTCTTTGGGGTTTTACACTGCTCTGATGTTCATGTCCTTGCTTATGTCTTAAATTGAGACTCTGAATGGGTTGTGTACACACTCCCCAGGATACAGTAACCTTTTTGGGTATTCTCACCTCTGGCTGCATCACTGGCCTCTTGCCAGCCCTTGAGAACTGCCCCTAGCTCAAGCAAGGATCCTAATTTAGTAGATGAGGTCAGGGCCGGAAGATTATCTGCAGGGTGACCTATGCCCAAGGACTTACTCCCAAATACTTTTCTCAAGAGAAGGTGGTGTAACCAGAAGACACTTTAAGGTCTTGAGGCCATCCCCAAAGATCATTTGTTTCCTCAAACAGATTTTGGGCTTTTTCAGGTGAGAGACTAATCACTGAACCCACTGTCAGTATTCAGCAGTGTGCCTGATTGATATATACTAGGTACTCAATGGTTTTGACTGAATGATGAATAAATAAATGAATAAATAAAGAAGCCCAGATTCTCTTAATTTAGGTCTATGCTGTCTAATACAGTAGCATGTGGCTATTTATTTTATTTTATTTTTTGAGATGGAGTCTCACTCTGTCGCCCAGGCTGGAATGTAGTGGCATGATCTTGGCTCACTGCAACCTCTGCCTCCCAGGTTCAAGCAGTTCTCCTGCCTCAGCCTCCTAGGTTGCTGGGATTACAGGCTTGTGCCACTATGCCCAGCTAATTTTTGTATTTTTATTATTTATTTATTTATTTATTTTGAGTCAAAGTCTCACTCTGTCACCCAGGCTGGAGTGTAGTGGCGTGATCTCAGCTCACTGCAGGCTCTGCCTCCCGGGTTCACACCATTCTCCTGCCTCAGCCTCCTGAGTAGCTGGGACTACAGGCTCCCGCCACCACACTCAGCTAATTTTTTGTATTTTTAGTAGAGACGGGGTTTCTCCTTGTTAGCCAGGATGGTCTCGATCTCCTGACCTCGTGATCCGCCCGCCTTGGCCTCCCAAAGTGCTGGGATTACAGGCGTGAGCCACCGCGCCCAGCATTTTTGTATTTTTAATGGAGACGGGGTTTCACCATGTTGGCCGGGCTGGTCTCGAACTCCTGACATCAGGTCATCTGCCCACCTTGGCCTCCCAAAGTGCTAGGATTACAGGCGTGAGCCACTGCGCCCAGCTGCATGTGGCTATTTGAATGTAAATTCTAATGAGTCAAAATTTAAAATTCAGTTTCTCAGTTTCATTAGCCACATTTCAAGAGCACGATAATCCCATGTGGCCAGTGATTACCATATTTGAAAACACGGAAATAGAACATTTCCATCATTACAGAAAGATTTGTTGGACAGCACTAGGCTAGATGACAGATAGGGTGGGGGAAGAGAAAATGCTGCATTGGGAAAATGCTTGGTATAGGCTGATGGCTTTAATCTGCTTTTGACACTTTTAAAAGAGTCAAGATCACTTGTCTCTCATTAGATTGTATCGCACACTGCCCATTCAGAGGTCCAGAAACCACTTCTTCTTCAGAAATCTTGTACTGAGAAATGGAAGCCCATTTCTGATCACATACATGACCCATGCTTCTTCAGAAAGGAAGGCATGAAGTTGAAGGGGGAACTAAGACTGCTGAGTTCTTCTGTCTTCGGCCACAGGAAACTAACTGATTCATGGCACTTTGTACCCATGAGCTCATCTAGTCCTCCCAGGGCACAGGAAAGTGGTGAAAATAAGTGGCCATGGTTCACAGATTTTTCAGCTGGTAGAGGCTAGTTCCTACACTTAAAACATCAGTAGATTGTCAAATGTGTTCCAACTAAGAGCAGTGGAAGGCAGAAAGGTGTATAAAATATGGGTCTTAAGAGGTTTATAACCAAGTTAAGGGAAATTAAGAGATCAGCACATAAATATAAGTATACAAAACTGTAACTGTATCTGTAGCTATATGTGTGTGTGCATCTATTTATTATCTATCTACCTACTTATCTAATAACATAATTAACTAACATTTATTTGATATCTTAGAGCTTAACAAGTACTTTTCCTCATATGAAGACTCAGCAGATCCCCATGATGAATGTCAAACAAATGGAATGTTGGTACAGAGAGCAAGCATTCTAGGCATTCGCAGCCGGGTGAGATCACTGTGGATGGAGTGATGGGGGAAAGCTTTTGTTGAGGCAGAACCAGCAGGAATGTGGGGTAGTCACACAAACACAGATACAATTCCTGGTTTCCCTACTAGACACTTCCCAGGCTCTCAATTGCTTGTAGTTTTTGTTTGCTTTTTTTTTTTAAGACATGGTCTCACTCTGTGGCCCAGGCTGGAGTGCAGTGCCATGGTGTAATCATGGCTCGGTGCAGTGGTACTATCATGGCTCAGTGCAGTGGTGCGATCATGTCTCAGTGCAGTGGTGCGATTATGGCTCAGTGCAGTGGTGCGATCATGGCTCAGTGCAGTGGTGCGATCATGGCTCAGTGCAGTGGTGCAATTATGTCTCAGTGCAGTTGTGCGATCATGTTTCAGTGCAGTGGTGCGATCATGGCTCAGTGCAGTGGTGTGATCATGGCTCAGTGCAGTGGTGTGATCATGGCTCAGTGTAGTCGTGTGATCATGGCTCAGTGCAGTGGTGCAGTCATGGCTCAGTGCAGCCTCAACTGCCAGAGCTCAAGCAGTTCTCCCTCCTCAGCCTCCTGATTTGTTGGGACCATGGGTGTGTGCCACCACATCTGGCTAATTTTTTGACTATTTGTAGACACAGGGCCTCGCTATGTTGTTCAGGCCGGTCTCAAACTCCTGGGCTCAAGTAATCCTCCTCGGCTTCCCAAAGTGCTGGGATTACAGGCGGGAGCCACTGCGCTGGGCCCACTGCTAGTAGTTCATTTTACTTTCTAAAAGATAAAATGTTGATGAAGAGTTCTTAGTGATCCATGTTTTCTCTCCAGTCCTCCACCAAAATAACGCATTTTAAAAAAACAAACTCCCACATATTTTATAGTGATTCTACAAATGTAGAATAATTTGGATACTCTTAATACAAAATGGTTTGAGTTACCTTTATTTAATAATCCTGTGATGAGCATACAATGACATACGTCAAATAACTTACAACTCAGGCTTATATAACATCGGCTCTGCCCCAAATTCCTGCCGTGTAGAACACATAAAAATCCAACCCTGCAGTCTGACCAGTCTTGCCTAGGTTCTCCTTACATAATCATAACCACTTCCCTGCCAGGAGCAATTTTAAAATGTTCTTCTAAAGCCCTGTGCACTTCGCCTTGGCTTCCTTTAACTTTTCTTTTCTCTTTTTTTTTTTGAGAGGGAGTTTCGCTCTTGTTGCCCAGGCTGGAGTGCAATGGCTTGATTTCGGCTCACCGCAACCTCCGCCTCCCAGGTTCAAGCGATTCTCCTGCCTCAGCCTCCCAAGTAGCTGGGATTACAGTGTGTGCCACCATGCCCGGCTAATTCTGTATTTTTATTAGAGATGGGGTTTCTCCATGTTGGTTAGGCTGGTCTTGAACTCCCGACCTCGGGTGATCCGCCCACCTTGGCCTCCCAAAGTGCTGGGATTACAGGTGTGAGCAACCGCGCCTGGCCGGTTTCCTTTAACTTTTCTAAAGAGCTTCTACTTTTCTTCCTTGGCATTTGAATTTCTTTGGCTTCAAGCCACAAAAATGATTGTCCTTAACTTGAACAGAATAGATGAGTCTTGGGAGGATATTGAATAGCTCACAGAATCAAAGGAAGGCCAGAGAATCAGGCTCAGGAGACAAAGAACCAGGGTAGCTCCAGCGGATGAGGTAGCAGGAATCGACGGTGTTGTCCTGGCTACCTGCTGAAATGAGTAAGTGACAAAGGGTTTTTTCCATCCTTTCCATTTTGTTCATCATTCAAAGCCCTAGCAGAGAGAATCTGATCAGCCTAGTCTAGGTAAAGGCTAGGGGAAAAAGCACACCTTAACCATAGCTCATTAGGAATGCACACAGGTAATTCTCCAAGGAATCCAGTGACTGTTCTCAGGAGAAGAGAATGCATGCAGGATGGTCAAACCTCAGAAAATATCCACCACATTCGCATTTTCTCTTACCTCCATTTTCTACTTTTTCTAATTATCCACAACAGGGGTGACTAACATATCTTCCAAGGTTGTGAAAAATATATAGAAAAATAAATCTACCTGTATTGGAATTTTTCCCAGAAAGGATTAATGGTTGGGAAAGTTTGGCCCTACTTACCCCTCAGTGTTAAATATAAGGATTAAAGAAAATATATGCAAAATGCCTATTACCTTACTTGGCATGTAGCAAGGTTCATTAAATGTCAGTCCCATTTCACCCCTTCCCATTCACCCACTGTTGTGCTGAAGCCAGCTCACACCAGTTCATGAGAAGAATCATTATAGTTTCAGGAACTTTATGAGCCAACTGGCATAACATTGGTAGCTTGAAGTTGGCCTTTGTAGAGACAGAAAGATGTGATTGCTTTCTGCACCCATCCTGAGTCATGACCAATACTCCCATAACAAAAGACAGGCGAACAAAACAAAAGCATAACAAATTTATTTTATTTTATGTATCTATTTTTAGAAACGGAGTTTCACTCTTGCCCAGGCTGTAGTGAAGTGGCATGATCATGGCTCACCATAGCCTTAACCTCCTGGGCTCAAGCAATCCTCCTGACTCAGCCTACAGAGTAGCTGGAACTACAGGTGCAGACCACCACACACAGGTAATTTTTTGTAGAGATGGGGTTTCACCATGTTACTCAGGCTGGCCTCGAACTCCTGGGCTCAAACCATCTGCTTGTCTCATCTTCCCAAAGTGCTGGGATTACAGGTGTGAGCCCCTGTGCCCGACCAACAAATTTATTTCATCAAAGTTTTACATGACATGGGAGCCTTCAGAAATGAAGACCCCAGAAATGCTCAGAGAAAACAATTTTTTTGATTAGTTTCGATGAAGAATGGACAGCCAAGGCTGGGTGCAGTGGCTCACACCTGTAATCCCAGTACTTTGGGAGGCTGAGGTGGGAGGATCACATGAGGCCAGGAGTTTGAGACCAGCCTGGCCAATATAATGAAACCCCGTCTGTACTAAAAATACAAAAATTAGCCGGGCGTGGTGGTGTGTGCCTGTAATCCCAGCTACTCAGGAGGCTGAGGCAGGAGAATCACTTGAACCTGGGAGACAGAAGTTGCAGTGAGTTGAGATCGTGCCACTGCACTCCAGCCTAGGCCACAGAATGAAACTCTGTCTCAGAAAAAAAAAAAAAAAAGAACAGACAGTCATGTAGAAATGTGACTGAACACAGGCTGGGCACGGTGGCTTATGCCTGTAATCCTAGCACTTAGGGAGGCCAAGGCGGGCGGATCACCTGAGGTCGGGAGTTCAAGACCAGCCTGACCAACATGGAGAAACCCCATCTCTACTAAAAATACAAAATTAGCTGGGCATGGTGGTGCGTGCCTGTAATCCCAGCTACTTGGGAGGCTGAGGCAGGAGAATCGCTTGAACCCAGGAGGAGGAGGTTGCAGTGAGCCAAGATAGTGCCATTGCACTCCAGCCTGGGCAACAAGAGCGAAACTCCATCTCAAAAAAAAAAAAAAGAAAAGAAAAGAAATGTGATTGAACACAAAGTGAATGGTCGCATGGGAATAGGCTGAGGGAGAAAGCCAGCAGAGCCTGTCTGTTGGGATTCTGCTTGGTCTCTCTGTGCAGCATTCCTTCCTTCTGGATATAGGCAGGGACTCTCCAAAATAAGGGTTTTATGACCTACTATTAGAAAAGGTAGCTCAGTTTTTTTTTTTTTTTTTAATGAGCTGTGCTTATACAGAAAGGCAAAGGAAGGCTAGAGTAATAGTTCTAAGTTTTATGATTGGCTTTGGGGGAAAGACATTCTGGTTTCTTTGACCTGCCTTGGAGGAGAGAGGGGAGCAGGAGAAGGTCAGAGGCAGACTTTACTTCTCAGGTCCTTCCCATGTTCTTCTCAACTTGCCAAAACACCAAACTCTGGGGTATCATTTTCTGAGCCCCAACACCTTGATGGAAGTATTTACACCACAGAAATCGGAAATGTTGCAAGTCAGAACTTTCACCTACCCCCAGCCCTCCACTGCCTCTGAGAGTTAAACATTTACAGGCCACTGCCACATCTGCTCCTTTCTTTCCTTCACAAGTTGTGAGAAGAACCAAGTTAGCATTAGGTTGACCTGTGAGTGACAAAAACCGAATAGAACAATGGCTTCCTAGATGGAAGTCCATTTCTCTCTGACAGAAACAAAGTCCAGAGCCAGGCAGGCAGCTCGGGGCTGGGACAGCTCCGCCTTGCTGCCTCACTGTCTTTGATGCATGGCTCTTTGTGATTTAGGATGACTGCTCAGGCTCCATGTTCAGGCCAAGGGGAAAGAGAAGGACAAAGAAATACACACCCCATCCTAGTAGGTCCACAGACAGAAGTAACCCGTAACATTTCTGCTCATTTCAAATAGGTTGGAAGGAAGTCTCTCTGCCACATCTGGCTGCCAGGGAGGCTTAGAGCCCTGTTGCTTCCTGCAGGCAGCCATGTGCCCTGCTGGGGGCTGAGAAGGGGAGGACAGGGGCCGGGGGGCAGCTGAGAAGCCAGGTGGGATTCGAGAACATGTAGGGGAGAGGGAGAACTGGTGTTGGTGTGATGGGAATGAGCATAGTTTGTGGAACTCTGGGGGAGCTGACTGGAATAGAAAATTAAAAATACTGACAAATGAGGTTAAATAAACAAGGTGGAAGCCAGAGCTCAGTGAGGGACCAGGAAAGCAGACAAAAGAATCTTTATCTGCTGCCACTAGACACCGGAGGCACTGAACTTTCCAGCAGGGGAGCTACATGATCAGAGGCATTTCAGAAATGTTAATCTCACACTTAAGTGCTAGACAGATTGGAGGCAGGAGGAAAAACAGGAAGCAGCAGGGAGGTTGGAAAGGAGAATTATTTCATAAGCCAGGTGTGAGGTGATTATCGGGGAACCTGCCCCATTAGTCACGTAGGTTCTTTTCTATTTTCCTAAGCATCGGCCAGTTTGAGAAATAAAGGGACAGAGTACAAAAGAGAGAAATTTTAAAGCTGGGCATCCGGGGGAGACATCACATGTTGGTAGGTTCCGTGATGCCCCGCAAGCCGCAAAACCAGCAAGTTTTTATTAGGGATTTTCAAAAGGGGAGGGAGTGTGTGAATAGGTGTGGGTCACAGACATCAAGTACTTCACAAGGTAATAGAATATCGAAAGGCAAATGGAGGCAGGGCGGGATCACAGGACCACAGGACCGGGGCGAGATTAAAATTGCTAATGAAGTTTCTGGCACAATTGTCATTGATAACATTTTATCAGGAGACAGGGTTTTGAGAGAAACTGGTCTGACCAAAATTTATTAGGCAGGAATTTCCTCTTCCTAATAAGCCTGGGAGCGCTATGGGACACTGGGGTCTATTTCACCCCTACAGCCTCGACCATAGAAGATGGCCACGCCCAGGGGGGCCAGTTCAGAGACCCACCCCCAGGCGTGTATTCTCTTTCCCAGGGATGTTCCTTGCTGAGAAAAAGAATTCAGCAATATTTCTCCCATTTGCTTTTGAAAGAAGAGAAATATGGCTCTGTTCCGCCCAGCTCACCGGCGGTCAGAGTTTAAGGTTATCTCTCTTGTTCCCTAAACATTGCTGTTATCCTGCTCTTTTTTCAAGGTGCCCAGATTTCATATTGTTCAAACACATATGCTCTACAATTTGTGCAGTTAATGCAATTATCACAGGGTCCTGAGGCGACATACATCCTCCTTGGCTTACGAGATGACAGGATTAAGAGATTAAAGTAAAGACAGTCATAGGAAATCACAAGGGTATTGACTGGGGAAGTGATAAGTGTCCATGAAATCTTCACAATTTATGTTTAGAGATTGCAGTAAAGACAGGCATAAGAAATTATAAAAGTATTAATTTGGGGAACTAATAAATGTCCATGAAATCTTCACAATCCACATTCTTCTGCCATGGCTTCAGCTGGTCCCTCCGTTTGGGGTCCCTGACTTCCTGAACAGTGATTACATGGGGACAATGGGAATGAGGAGGAAGAATGAGAGGCATTTGCTAGAAAATGTATTCAAACTGATGGCTGGTCTGAAAGGGAGTTGTAGGCTGGGGTGATGAGAGACAGGTCTCATAGCAACAGGGTAAACAAAGTAAACTTGGCTTGGTTGGTGTTTTATTTATTATTATTATTTTTTTGAGATGGAGTTTTGCTCTTGTTGCCCAGACTGGAGTGCAATGGTGCAATCTCAGCTCACTGCAACCTCTGCCTCCCAGATTCAAGTGATTCTCCTGCCTCAGCCTCCCGAGTAGCTGGGGTAACAGGTATGTGCCACCATGGCCAGCTAATTTCTTTATTTTTACTAGAGACGGGGTTTCACCATGTTGGCCAGGCTGATCTCCAACTCCTGACCTCAAGTGATCCGCCCACCTTGGCCTCCCAAAGTGCTGGAATTACAGGCATGAGCCACGGCACCCGGCCTATTATTATTATTATTTTATTTCGAGACAGGGTCTTCCTCTGTCACTCAGGCTGAAGTGCAGTGGTGCAATCTCAGCTTTCTGCAACCTCTGCCTCCTGGGCTCAAGCGATCGATCCTCCTGTCTCAGCCTCCCAAGTAGCTGGGACTACAGGCGCATGCCACAAAGCTAGGCTAATTTTTTTTTTGTATCTTTTGAAGAGGCAAGATTTTGCTGTGTCCAGCCTGTCTCCAGGCTGGTCTTGAACTCATGAGCTCAAAGCAATCTGCCCACCTTGGCCTCCCAAAGTGCTGGGATTGCAGGTGTGAGCCACTGCACTCGGCAGCAGGTGTTTTAGATTGGGCTACCTTGAAGCAGAACCTGGGGTGGGGACTTTTGTTCAAGAGATACACTGCGGGAGGCTCTCAGGAGAAAGACTGAAGAAAACAGGATAGGGAAGGGAAAAAGGCTAAGCAAGGATGTGAGCTTCAGCCTGAGCTCATGGGGAAGCTCAGGGCAGCAAATTGCACCAGTCAATTGCACTTGGAGGCATGGGGGCTGGCGTTTTGTAGATCTGCTTTAAGGTCAGGCAGCCACTGGGAGTCTGTCCAGAGTGTGTGCAAGGGAGGAGGGCTTGGCTCCTGTTTGGCCCAGGGCAATTCTCCAGAAAAGGGGACAATTGTGTGTGGTTATCAGCTGATATTCCCAAAAGCTGGAAAGTGAGTGGACTCACTGGTGAAAAGGACCTGAGCCCAAACAGTGTCCATGATAGTGAATCCATTTTGGTTGTGTTGGATTTGAGGTGGCAAAGAAATAAGGAACTGGCATGTGACTGCGGGAAATTGGAGCTACAAGACAGGAGTTCAGGTGAAAAGATAGGACTAGGTATGTAGCTATTGGAGTGGGGGACTTCGGCGCACAGATGATAGGGTTTTTTGTTTGTTTGTTTGTGAGGGTTTTTTTGTTTGTTTGTTTGTTTGTTTGTTTGGAGAGAGGGTCTTGCTCTGTAACCCTGGCTGGAGTATAGTGGCATGATCATAGCTCTCTGCAGCCTTGACCTCCCAGGCTCAAGAGATCGTCTCACCTCAGCTTCTTGAGTAGCTGATACTACAGGTGTATGTCACCACTCCCAGCCAATTTTTTAAACATTTTTTTAGAGACTGGGGGTCTCACTGTGTTGCCCAGGCTGGTCTCAAATTCCTGGGCTCAAATGATCCTGCTGCCTCAGCCTCCCAAAGTTTTGGGATTATAGGTGTGAGCCATGGCGCAGGCCTAGATGATAGTTTAAACAAGAGGGAATTTGTATATTTGTCACTTTGGGGGTTGCTGGTGGCCTTTGAAGGAAGAGTTTCACAGCAGGACAGAGTACAAAACCATATGGTGACGTGAGGTCTAGTAATGCTTTCCACAGTTAATGTCCTTCCATTCTGACTAACTCTTAACACCTCTAGGGTACTTTCTCCTTCGACTTATGTGCTGCTCATTCTGGCTTGTCCTCTGTGTTCTGGTTATTTTTTGTTGTCCAACAAATTGCCTCAAAATTTTGTGGCATGAGACAACCCTTTATTACGTTCACGGATTCTGTGGGCCAGGAATTTGGACACACCGCAGTGGGGATGGCTTGTCTCTGCTCCATGTTATCTGGGGCTGCAGCTGGAAGACTCGAAAGCTGGGGGACTGAAATCGTCTGCAGACACTTTGCAGTGGATGCTGGCAGTTAGCTCAGGGACCTCAGGGTTTCTACCTGTGGTCTAGTTAGAGTTTCTCTTGCATAGTGGCTGGGTTGCTGTGAGGGAACCAGGCATGAACTGCTTTTTTTTTTTTTGAGGCGGAGTTTCACTCTTGTTGCCCAGGCTGGAGTGCAGTGGTGCAGTCATGGTTCACTGCAGCCTTGACTACCCAGGCTTAAGTGATCCTCCTGCCTCAGTCTCCCTGGTAGCTGGGGCTACTGCCAACATGCCTGGCTGATTTTTGTATTATTATTATCATTATTTTGTAGAGACAGGGTCTCACTATGTTGCCCAGGCTGGTCTCCAACTCCTGGGCTCAAGCAATCTGTCCATCTCAGCCTCCTAAAGTATTGGGATTACAGGTGTGAGCCACTGTGCCCAGCTGCATTCTTTTTATAACCTCATCTTTTTTTGATCTGCATCACCTCCCTCCTACCCTATTGGTCAGAGTAGTCACAGCCCCGCTCCCATTCAAAGAGAGGGAACATGGCCCCTACCTGGAGTGTCAGTCATGGGACAAGGAGAGCAAGTGGAAAGGGGCACCCAACTTTGGAAAATACCATCGGCCACACTCTATCGGAGCCTCCATTTGCTTTTTATGAGTGGCCTTCATTTATTTAGCTGTCATTGGGTCAACAATAACAGCAACTTGAGGAACCTCTTGAGGGCAGGGATCAGGCCTGTTACGTTTGTTTACTTTATCTTTATATCCTGAGCATTGGCCCAGGAATAAGTATCTGTGGAAGGACGGGATCCTTCTAAGTCTCTCATCTATTTTTCATACACGGCATCATTTAATTCTAAACTAGCTGTCATTACCATTTCACAATTGAAGAAACTGAGGCTTAGAGGCGCAAATGGTCTCTCTCAGATGACTCAGGTCTTCTGGGTTGATGTGGCTTTTATTAAGAACTTGTTGTCTCCAACAGCAAATAGCATTCCTAGGGGCTGGGGCTGTTTCTTCAAGGCCCCTGCCTCTGCACCCTGGTAGCAGCACAGGCCTAGCTGTAGGGCTGTGGACAGCGTGCCCTCGGCTGCTTACTGACTGGTTGGCATTTGATACATATGATGATTTAACATGAAGATTTAGTGTGATTTTGCATCTCTTCATGGGAGCAGGGTCAGGACCAGGTCCTGTTGCGGAATTCAGCTTTGGGGCTGGGTAGAAGACTGGGATGAAGTTGCTCCTCATCTCTGTGCCCTGGCTATGAGCAGGCAGCACCTGGGTCAGGAGTGTGAGGTGAGTGGGTGATGCTAAGGAGGGTTCAGGTGGAGCAGTCAGACTGTGCTGAGTAACTCCCCTGGAGGGGAAGGGGGACGTGGTGGAGGCAGTTCCTGGAGGCCCAGCTCAGAGCGGAGAAAGGAGCCAATTACCACCTCCTCCCAAGTCACATCCCAGCCCTGGGAATACTTCACAGGCTCCGGGGAAATCCCGGCCAAGTGGCAGAGTGGGTGGTGGGGTGCTTATCACTCATGATCAGGAGTGGGTGGGGGCGGATCTTAGAGCTTGCATCAGGCCTCAATTTTCCAACTCCTGCCTGTGATCCACCCCCGCGCCCACTGCACACCACCAACCAACCTTTGACTTTATCTCTTTAGTTGATTTCTCAGAGATTGCAGATCAGGAAGGGCCTTTGGAAACCACAGCTTCCACTTCCGCTGTGGGGGCAGAAAGCACGGGACAATCTAACCCTTTCGTGCCTGGAAAGTAACAAGGAGGACTCTGCCCTTACCAGGTTCCCAAGGTCCTGTACCAGCCCCACAGGGACTGCTGAGGGGAGCTTTTTCTCTCTGGTTCCTCATCCTCTCCTCTACTCAGGTGTAGGCTGTCCCTGCCTAGTTGGTCTGACAGTAGCTCCCTGCGACTTCTCATATCACCTCCGACTCCCCAGCCTCACCTCCACGGGCCCTGATGCACTGGCTTCGGCTGTGTCTTTTGTGAGTCATCCTTGCTGCTTTGTTCCAGCCCCACTGATGGGCCTCCTGCCCTCCCCCATGCAGGACTTAGTCACCGCTCGTGTCATCAATCCCTCTGGAATGCACCCCTCCTCCAGACACCCATGCTCCCCACATCCTTTATTATTTTGTTAAAACTAGCAATGCCCCCCCCAACCCCCATGATTAAAATAGTACATGTTTGTTGTGGGAAATCTGTAATATGCAAAATATACACAAAAGAGAATAAAAAGCACCAATAATTCCATAACCCAAATTAGCTAACATTACATTCCGGTGGATTTCCATCTGGCATTCTCCTCGCCAGAACTCCGTCCAGCTTCAGGCCTTCATGTGTGCTTATTGCTTCTTTTACCTGCAGTCATGCTCTCTGTCTCTCCCCTCCTTCAATCTGTGAGCAAATCTACTCATCCTTATTATTTTAAGGGTCATTCTTTCAGAGAAACCTTCCCTCTACCCCCAAGCTAGTCTCTTTATTACACACTCACAATACCCAGTACTTTTCCTTGTAGCACTCACCACAACTAGAAATAAATCATCATTTTTGTCCTCTTGTGTTTAATGTCTGCCTAGCTACCTGACGTAAGGTCTGTGACTGGTTTTCTTGTTTACTCTGATGGCCCTAGCACCCATCACAGTGCCCTGTACTCAGAAAACATACATCATACCCAGATGCCTTCCCGGAATAACCATGTGCCTGTCTTCCCAGCACTTACAATAATCAATTTAACAAATATAATTAATCAATTACTATGTGCCTGGCTTGGTTTCAGGTACAGGATACCAAGCAAAATGACCCAGTTCTTACCCTCGAGGAGGTCTCAGTCTTTTGAGGGAGACAGATCAGTAATGGAAGCTTTCTAATGTACAGCTAAGTAAACGGTGATCAATAGTGTTAGGTAAAGTGTGGAGGAGAGGTCCGTGAACAATCCTGGGGAGATGACACCATTGTTTTATCTTGTTAATGCATTTACTTCACAGAATCACAGGATAATGGAATTGGACGGCACCATGAGATCAGCAGGCCCATCTCTTCCTGTACAGATGAGGAAACTAAAGTGGTGAAGGGTAGTGAAGCCACTTAGCCAAAGCCATTGGGTGACAGATCTGGGAATAGAACTTGGATCTTTAGATTCCCAGCCCAGGGCTCTTTCCACTGTACCTGGGGGCCTTTGGACTCCCCCTCCCCTCTCCTCTTATTCTGTTAATCCCCAAGTCCTTTGATTTTCCCCATGAAGGTCTCTCCAATCTCTCCACTTTTCCTCATCCCCACATCACCAGGCTCTAAGCCTCCAACATCATCTCCAGCCTGAGCACCTACCCTCACCTCCTACCTCATCTCTCTGCTTCTAGTCTTGCCCTGCTCAGATGCCTTCTCCACTCTGCCGCCAAAATGAGCCTCACAGATGTACGCATGTCTGTCCCTGGCTTAGAACTCCAGTGGCTTCCCACCAGGCTTTTAGAAATATACTCAAAATTCTTATATGGTGTATTAGTCAGCTCAGGCTGCCATAACAAAATATCCTAGACGGGGTGGCTTAAACAACAGAAGTTTATTTCTCACAGTTCTGGAAGCTGAGAAGTCCAAGACCAAAGTGCTGGCAAGGTCAGCTTTATTCAGACTTTCAGAGTCCTCTTTTCTTTCTTTCTTTTATTTTATTTTATTTTATTTTTTTATTTTTTTTGAGACAGCATCCTGCTCTGTTGCCCAGGCTGGAGTGCAATGGCGTGATCTCGGGTTCAAGTGATTCTCCTGCCTCAGCCTCCCGAGTAGCTGTGACTGCAGGTGCCCGCCACCACACCCAGCTAATTTGATACTTTTAATAGAGACGGGGTTTCACCATGTTGGCCAGGATGGTCTCGATCTCTTGACCTTGTGATCTGCCTGCCTCGGCCTCCCAAAGTGCTGGGATTACAGGCGTAAGCCACCACGCCTGGCCTCTTTCTTTCTCTTTTTTTTTTTTTTTTTGAGACAGAGAGAGTCTTGCTCTGTCACCCAGGCTAGAGTGCAATGGCATGATCTCGGCTCACTGCAAACTCTGCCTCCCAGGTTCAAGTGATTCTCCTGTCTCAGCTTCCTGAGTAGCTGGGATTACAGGCGCCCACCACCATGCCTGGCTAATTTTTGATTTTTAGTAGAGACGGGGTTTCACCATGTTGGCCAGGCTGTTCTCAAACTCTTGATCTCAGGTGATCCACCCTCCTCAGCCTCCCAAAGTGCTGGGATTACAGGTGTGAGCCACCGCACCTGGCCCAGAGTCCTCTTTACTTCGTTGTAGGTGGCCGCCATTTTGCTCTGTACTCACATGGCCTCTTCGTGCATGTGGGGAGAGAGAGCTCTCTTGTGCATCCTGTTCCTTTTATAAGAACACCAGTCCCATCAGATTAGGGCCTCACCCTTAGGACCTCATTTAACCTGAATCACCTAAAAACCCTATCTCCAAATATAGTCGCATTGAGAGTTAGGGGTTCAACATACGAATTTGGGGGGACACAATTCATTCCATAGTGTAGGGTCCACTGGGCCTTTTTTGGTTGAGCCCACCTTACCAGCCTCTTCTAAACCCAACTCACCTCTCTGTCTGTACGCTTTTATATCTTGGAATTTTTTTGGTTCCTCCGACTTGTCTGGATCTCTTGTAGCTCAGGTTCCCCCTCCCCCTGCTCTGATGTTTTTATATTTTCATCATTTTCAAGTCTCAGTTTGAACATTAGCTTCTAGGAGAGGCCTTCCCTGATCTGCATCCTGTGTTAGGTCCTCTGGCTATACATGCCTATGGTACCCTGAACTCCACCTTGTGTAAGAGTCACCACCTCAGTCCTGTGTGTTTCATATCTGTCCTTCTGAGCTCCACAAGGCAGGAAGATCTCTGTCTGGTTGGTTGCAGTATCCCCAGGGCTAGCACAGTGCCTGGTGCCTACTAAGCAGTCAAGATTAACTTTTACTGGTAGATGCTCAATACATTTCCATTGACCTGAGCTGTCCTCAGAGAGTATATGTATTTTGTTGTCTAATTTGGGTTGAAATCTCTCAGAAGGGTCCTATCTGTTCCTTACTTGAAATCTCCTATCCCGTGCCCATCCTGGGCTCCTTCATTCAGGAAACATTCCCATAAATGATTATTAACTGATCTCCCTACAACTTTCCCAACATGTATCACATTTGAAGGAACAATCATATTTAAAAGAATATGTTACATAGCAGGACAGTTTATTATGAATGTCATGTAACAACAATCTACTGAGAATTAAAAAGAAACTAAAGTGTTCCTCTCCTCTCCCACCTCTGGGCAACCAGGACTTCATTTCTTTGAAATTGTGGATTTCCTGACCCCTGAGGTGTTTGGCTTTTTGTGTATGTTTTAGAAGGAACAGAAAGAATCAGGCTGGGTGGGGCTGTAAAGGAAACCCACCCTAAGCAGGCCTCGTTTTGGAAGAGCTGGAAAGATACCTGTGGTGCCAGATGGTATGAGAGTACAGGGTGTGAGGGCAGGAGCCTACTTCTTGGTTGACTCTTAGACTTCCATGGACTCATGGAAAAGAGAAGGGGTGCAGGCTGGGCACAATAGCTCATACCTGTAATCCCAGCACTCTGGGAGGCCGAGGTGGGCAGATCACTTGAGGTCAGGAGTTTGAGACTAGCCTAGCCAACATGGTGAAACCCCGTCTCTACTAAAAATACAAAAATTAGCTGGGCGTGGTGGTGGGTGCCTGTAATCTCAGCTACTCGGGAGGCTGAGGCAAGAGAATCGCTTGAACCTGGGAGGCGGAGGTTGCAGTGAGCTGAAGTCATTCCACTGCACTCCAGCCTGGGCAACAAGAGCAAGACTCTGTCTCAAAAAAAAAAAAAATCAGAATGGTGGTTAGTTTGGAGTGAGGTGGGCAGGAAAGAGGGTGCTACATATTGACTGCAAGGGAAACAAGGGAGACTCCTGGGTTGAAGCTATCTTGTCTAGATGGTGGTTAAATGGGTAAATATAAATGTAAAAGCTCATCGGTTTGTTTCCTGCTGATAGCCAATTAGTTAATTAATTTAATTTAAAAAAACTAATTGGGGCCAGGTACACCGGCTCATTCCTGTAATCCCAGCACTTTAGGAGACTGAGGCAGGAGGATTGCTTGAGCCCAGATGTTCAAGACCAGTCTGGGCAACATGGTGAAACCCTGTCTCTGCAAAAAATACAAAAATTATCTGGGCATAGTGGTGCACGCCTGTAATCCTAGCTGCTCAGGCTGAGGCAGAAGGATCACTTGAGCCCAGGAGGTTGAAGCTGCAGTGAACCATTATCATGCCACTACTCCAGCCTGGGCAACACAGTGAAACCTTGCTTAAAAAAAGAAAAGAAAAGGAAAAGGAGAAAAACATCAAACTGCATACATTTTTAAAATGAAAAAAGGAAACAAATTACTGACACATGCAATGACTTGGATGAATCTCAAAGGCATTACGCTGAGTGAAAAAAGTTCTCAAAAGTTACAGACTGTATGATTCCATTTATGTGACACTTTTGAAAAGATAAAACGATAGCAACAGAGACTAGATCAAAATAGCAAAATAGCAGGGAGTTTGTCGGGGGCAGGAAAGAGGATGGGACTACAAAGGGGTAGCCCGAGGGAGTGTTTTAGGCAGTGGAGCTATTCTGTTTCAGTGGTGGTGATTACATGATCGATTGTGGTGATTACATGAATCTTTACACATGTGAAACTCATAGGACTGTCCACTGAAAAAAATCAATTTTACTTTATGTTAATTTTTAAAATAAAATTATTTTTAATTAAGAAGAGACCTTCTAGCCCCTCAATAGCGCAGAGGAGTTCCTGAAAGGAGGCGCTAAGGAACTGGCTACCCTGGAAAAGGCATACCACCTTCCCCGCCTTGCCCTGTACCAGGCCTGGGGATCTTCCTGGGCCCTCTGTGGTTCTCACTCTCCTTCCTTGTCCTCCTGCTGGGCCAGAGTGACCCACACATCCCCTCCTTTAGCATCTAAGTCTCGGGGTCTAGGAAGCCAGTGTGCTTTGCTCACTCCTACGTCCCCGGTCCCTGAGACACAGGTACGAGGTGGTTGCTCATTGACAGAGTGAAGGAATGTTCTAGCACCAGGCCTGATCCGTCTTGGCACACTCCACAGGCTTTTCTATGTTTAGCCTCCTTTCCAGCTGCCCAGAGGACACGCCATAGCTGGGAGACATCACTGTCGAGGTGTGGGTCACAAGCTTACCCCTCCCATGAGGCAGGGTTACCAGCTTTCCTATCGTTTGAAGAATTTAGCAATCTGAGTTTATTATTGCTGTCATTCTAATTTTGAAATACATTTTTATTATACAAGAAAATCTGTTCAATTAAAAAAAAAACAGTTAAAAAAAAAGGGAGATCCGGTCCCACTTCCCAGACTCATAACTGTTACTAGATCCTTCTCTATCTATCTAGAAACATTTATGTGAAGGTAGGCATGTATGTCCACATATATGCAACAGATATGATTGCCCCACAGCTCCTGGGCTACAAGTAATGTCTTGTTTCTTTGTGGACTCACTCAAATAGACTCTGGGTCCAGCCCTGCCCACCACTGACTGGAACTCCAGTGTCAGACAGTTTTCAGGCTCCCTCCCTCAGGTCATACAAGATGCCCAGACTGATGCAGTACTGATGAAACGGAAGAGTCTGTTCCTCTGGCCACATGGTCAGCACTTGCCAGCTGCTTGCCCAGGTCAGTGGGGACCATTATGAGTCAGGCTGCTGGTGGGGTGTGGTGGCTCACGCCTGTAATCCCAGCACTTTGGGAGGCCAAGGTGGGTGGATCACCTGAGGACAGGAACTCCTGACCTAAGTGATCTGCTCTCCTTGGCCTCCCAAAGTGTTGAGATTACAGGCGTGAGCCACTGCGCCTGGCCTATTCTGACTTCTGTTACCATAAATTGGTTTTGTCTGGAAGGTTTCTAACAATTGTGGTGCAAGTTTTATAACCCACCTGGTTTTGTCTTGGGAATTAGAAGTCTCTCAATGTTTTGGAGAGAGATTCTGATGCCCCTCACCAGAAGTCATGCTCTGGGGCCAGTGAGCAAAGATGAGCTTCTTATCCTTTTTCTTCCTGGGTTCCAGCAAGCCAAGCCTCACAGCAGTGTCCAAAAAGTTGGTAGAAAAGGCCTAATTTTTTTTTTTTTTTTTCAGGCAGAGTCTGGCTCTGTCGCCCAGGCTGGAGTGCAGTGGCGCGATCTCGGTTCACTGCAAGCTCCGCCTCCCGTGTTCCCGCCATTCTCCTGCCTCAGCCTCCCTAGTAGCTGGGACTACAGGCGTCTGCCACCGCGCCCGGCTAATTTTTTTTGTATTTTTTAGTAGAGACGGGGTTTCACTGTGTTAGCCAGGATGGTCTCGATCTCCTGATCTCGTGATCCTCCCGCCTTGGCCTCCCAAAGTGCTGGGATTACAGGCGTGAGACACCGTGCTCGGCCTTTTTTTTTTTTTTTTTTTGAGACAGAGTCTTGGTCTGTTGCCGAGGCTGGAGTGCAGTGGCACCATCTCAGCTCACTGCAACCTCTGCCTCCTGGGTTCAAGTGATTCTCCGGCCTCAGTCTCCCAAGTAGCTGGGATTACAGGCACACACCACCTCGCCAGCTAATTTTTTGTAGTTTTAGTAGAGATAGGGTTTAGCCATGTTGGCCAGGCTGGTCTCGAACTCCTGGCCTCAAGTGATCCGCCCACCTCAGCCTCCTAAAGTGCTGGTATTACAGGCATGAGCCACTGTGCCTGGCCAGGCCTAGCATCTTAAAAACCCAGTGGAGGGGAAGGTCACAGTCCTAGGAATCAAAAGGCATGGGTTCACTTCCTCTCTCTGATATTTGCTGCATGTTCTTGAACAAACTATGTAAACTTCTTGAGCCTCAGCTATTTCATCAGTAAAGTGGGAACAGTAACATCCACTGTGATTATCAGACCTATTTTTAAATACTTGAGGCCCTCTTTCCTTCAAAGGGTGTAAGAAAATTGAACTTTGCCACTCCATTTAACTCCTACCCACTAATCCAGGCGTGGCTACGTGACTTACTGAGGCCAATTAAAATGGTGCCTTCTAGGTGGAAGTTTTAAAAGCTAGTGTATGCTTTTCCACATTTTTTTTTCTCCTTCAACTATAGTAATTGGTGATATTCCACATAGTGGCTGCTCTGTCAACCTGGGTCCTGGAGTTAGGACAATGACAGCTCAGAGCAGAGCCTCGGCCAACCCACCATGGATATGTGGCAGGAGAGTCAATGAAGCTTTGCTGCATAAAAGCCATTGAGATTTGGGGGTTGTTTGTTACTGAAGCATAACCTAGCCTGCTTGGTTGATATACCACATTACACATTTATTACTAAGATTATGTGAAGTAAAATGTTTGGAACTTCTTGGTACATAATAAAGCTGATTTTCTTCCTTTCAGACTCTCCTTTTTTCTTTCTAAGAGTCATGAACCCAGGGATACTTTTTTTTTTGAGACAGAATCTTGCTCTGTTACCCAGGCTGGCGTGCAGTGGCGTGATCATAGCTCACTGCAGGCTTCCCCTCCTGATCTTAAGTAATCCTCTCCCACCTCAGCCTTCCGAGTAGCTGGGATTGCAGACATACCCTGCCATACCCAGCTGATTTTTTTATTTTTTGCAGAGACAGGGTCCCACTATGTTGCCCAGGCTGGTCTTGAACTACTGGGCTCAAGTGATCCCCCTGCCTTGGCCTGCCAGAGTGCTGGATTACAGGCATGAGCCACCGCACCTGGCCCCCAGGAATGTTCTTACCAGCTTCTAACCCTGGCTAAAGGGCAATAGAACAGAGAGCCACTCAACCACAAAAGAAAAAGGAAGAAGAAAGGATATAAAGCAACAAAGGTACAGAAATGTAATACAGAGGAAAGGAAAAGAAACAAAGTGATAAAGAAGGCGAGACAAAGTATAAAAACAGGGAAGAAAGAGGTACAGAGGGCCAGGCAGGGTGGCTCACGCCTATAATCCCAGCAATTTGGGAGGCCCAGTCAGATGGATCACCTGAGGTCAGGAGTGCAAGACCAGCCTGGCCAACATGCTGAAACCCCGTCTCTACTAAAAATACAAAAATTAGTTGGCCTTAGTGGTGCAGGCCTGTAATCCCAGCTACTTGGGTGGCTGAGGCATGAGGATCGCTTGGAACTGGGAAGCAGAGGTTGCAGTGAGGTGAGAGTGCGCCACTGCACTCCAGCCTGGGCCACAGAGTGAGATTCTGTCTCAAAAAATAAAAAATAAATAAATAAATAAAAATAAAAAAAAACAAAACAAAACAAAACAAAAAAACAGGTATAAGGGATGTCTGAGGCATAGACAGAGGTGATTCTCAGAAAAACAAAAGAAAACAAAAGGAAAAACCACTGAGGCAAAGGGAAACTGTATTTCTTGGAATTGTTGGCCCCAACCCCAGGCAAACAACATTTTCCCTTAAGACAAATGAACAAACAAACTTTGGCAAATAGAGCTTCTGGGTGTGCATTTATCAGTCTTTCCACTCGGTTTACTGGGCGCCTACTCTGTGCCTGACATTGTGCTTGGGCTGGCTTTACAGGGGCAACCAAGACCTAGTGCTGGCCTCTGCCTTCAAGGAGCCCCTAGACTGGTGTGAAACAGACACAAGAACAGTTGGGATTCAATCTGGCTTGTGCAATGATGGAAGTGCCAGGAGGAATTAAGGGAAGAGAAGGGGAAGCAGGCCCTGCAAAGGGGCTTTCTGGAAAATTTGAGCCTGAGTGTCTTGAAGGATAACTAGGAGTTAGCAATGGCAAGGTTTCTGAGGAGAAAGAGGGACCACGATGGGCAGAGGGGCAATAGGAGCCAGGTAGCTGCAGGTAGTCTGGGGTTGCTGGACCCTTGATGAGAGGCTGTGGGCAGCAGGAGATGAGGCTGGAGAGGGATTCAGGGTCCTATCACAGAGACTCAAATGTTAAGATGTTGGTCTTTAAGTGGATGGGCTCGGGGATATTTGGGCTGTTATGTGGGGAAGTGACATGGTCAGATTTTTAGCTAAATTGCTCTGCCTGCCATGTGGACAGTGTGTTGGGGCAGCATTTCTTTGCATGAGGTCTCTGGGGATTGGGCTGAATACCCACCCAGCCCAGGGCCTGCAAGTGGACAGGATGGCCTCTGGAAGAATCATCCTAGCCGCTGCTTCATCAGTGTCTCAGGGGAGTGATGGCTATCTGCGGTGGTGGCGTTGGGGTAAAAGAATTTACCAGCCGGGCGTAGTGGCTCACGCCCATAATCCCAGCACTTTGGGAGGCCGAGGCGGGTGGATCACCTAAGGTCAGGAGTTTGAGACCAGCCTGGCCAACATGGTAAAACTCTGTCTCTACTAAAAATACAAAAGTTAGCCGGGCGCGGTGGTGGGTGCTTGTAATCTAATCTCAGCTACTCGAGAGGCTGAGGCAGGAGAATTGCTTGAACCTGGGAGGCGGAGCTTGCAGTGAGCCGAGATTGCGCCACGGCACTCCAGCCTGGGTGACAGAGTGAGACTCCATCTCAAAAAAAGAAAAAAAAAATTTACCAAGGCAGTTGTAGGTAGAGAAAGGCAGATTTATTACAGTAATTAGGAAAACGCCAGGGTTGCAGGGAGGTAACTTGCATTTTTTTGTCAGCTGGGATGTCTGGAAAGTTGAAGTGTTTGATGGTAAGCAGGAAGTTTGTGAGTTCTGCTATCTGAGTAGGAGCTGGGGCTTGTAAAGCAGCCAACAGTTGAGCCTGCCTTTTGGCTCCGTGTTTGTTTTTTTCTTAGTCTTGTCCTCCTTATTTTGTTCTTGGTTATAAAGACTGAGGAGGCTAATTTGGTAATTTTCTGCATAGGGGTCATGCTGTGTTATACAAGAAAATTAGATGTTTCTTTTTGAGAGTTTGGCGGTAGAATTTGTCACAATTCTTTACAGCCTAGAGGCAAGTTTGCAGGAACGGACGGGGTTTGCTCCATGGTGGGACTGGAAAACATGCCGCTCTGGGGCAATGTCAATCAGGGACATGAACTGCACTTTTCTGCGGGGGGCATCTCACTGAGATGAACAGAGGGTTCCACTTACATCCACAGAGGGACTTGGATGCACTTTCCAAAGGGGGCATCCCACCAATTAGAAAAGACCTCCTGGCCGCTCAGGGGCCTCATGCTGGATGGCCAGTCCAGGCACTCACTTATGCTGGGTGATCAGCCCAGGCACGAGGAAAAAGAAGGGTAAAGGAAGATCTCTACCTGGTCTTGGCCCAGGAGGTGGGGTGGGTAAGAGAAGACTCACCGTTCTGAGGCTGTCTGACATCACCTGATTTAGCAAGGCCCAGGACAGGATGGCTGGCTGACTCCATAGGTGAATTTAGAGTGAGAAAGAGAGCGTCTGAGTTACCTAAAACGTGTGTGAGTTTGCCCCGAACAAGCTTCTGCTGTCAATTGTGTCACATATAGGGATGAGGGACTTGCAATTAGAGAAGATGGGCAACAGCCTTTCTCCCTTCCAGGCAGGGCAGCTAGCCCTGTTCACTCTGGGCCTTCAGGCAACACTGGAGAGTGGCCCTGGCCAGTTACCTTTGATTGCCAGAGAGATACTAGAAGCTGGTTGCTGAAAGACTGAAAAAAGAAAAAAAGTCAGGTCACTCACCCAAACCAGGCAATGATGATCAGATGCTTCCACATGGACAGACACCTTTCAGTCTCACTGGAGTGTAGCTCTGGCCAGAGACCTGCAATTGTCTTTGTGCTTAGATGCTGTCCTTCGAGGGTCCCGAGTTGGGAAAGGGAAAGGAGAGAGAGTCCCTGTATGGAGAGGGAGAGTTCCCTGTATGGGCCACCAAAATGTTTCAGGGGAGCAACGGCTATCTGGGCTGGCGGCTCAGGGGTAAGAGAATTTACCAAGACAGTTGTAGGTAGAGAAAGGCAAATTTATTAGAGAAAGTAGAAAAACAGGAGAGCAATGGGCAGGAGAGCAACGGGCAGGCCAGCAGAAGAGGAGCTGACTGCAAGGAAACAAAGGCTTGTTGGGGATTTTGTAGGATGGCTCTTAGGCTGTAGAGTGTTATGTGCAGTACTGATTATGCCAGGGTAGCAGGGAGGTAACTTGCATTTTTTTTTTTTTTTTTTTGTCAGCCAGGGTGTTTGATAAATTGAGGTGTTTGATGGTAAGCAGAAGTTTTTGAGTTATGTACATTATCTGAGCAGGAGGGCCATATGTCTTGGGCCATTTGCCTCATTTCTTTGCTTTCCCCTGGTCCCACCAGCCTGATTTGTTTTTTAATTATTACTCAACAGTGAGTGCTGTCACATGCTGGGCATTGTGCTATGTGCTCTATGTGGAGTAACTCACTTACTGTCCCCCTATCCCCCAAGACCATCCTGTGACATGGGCATTCTTTTTTTTTTGAGATGGAGTCTTGCTCTGTCACCAGGCTGGAGTGCAGAGGTGTGATCTTGGCTCACTGCAACCTCCGCCTTACGGGTTCAAGCGATTCTTCTGCCTCAGCCTCCTGAGTAGCTGGGACTACAGGTGCGTGCCACCACGCCCAATTAATTTTTGTGTTTTTAGTAGAGACGGGTTTTCACCACGTTGGCCAGGATGGTCTCAATCTCTTGACCTGGTGATCCACCTACCTCAGCCTCCCAAAGTCCTGGGATTACAGGCGTGAGCCACCACACCCGACCAGACATGGGCATTCTTATCCTCATTTTGACTGAGTAACTGGGCACAGAGAGGCTGTTATGCATCCCAATTGCAGAGCTAGGCAGCGGCAAGCCCACTTTCACACAGCGCCAGCTGCCTGGCTCTGGGATCAGCCTGTAGTCACTCTCCATTCTGCCCCTCAGGATCTGCTTCTCCCAGGAAGCCTCTCACAGAGGCAGAATTTTGCATTGGCATCCTGCTTCAAGCTTATGAAATCTTCTATACAGATGACCTCATTCCAGCCTTGCAATAATAGCTTCTGTGAGGTATTATTATTCATAGCTTTAAAAAAGCCAGTTGAAGGAAATCCAGTGATTTGTCAAAGGTCAGAAGTTAGGTGGCCGCTCTCCTGCTCAGACTTACGTTTTCTGACTTGGAGTACAGTGCTCCGCTCTCACGTTATCTGTCAGCTGACGCTGCAGCCAGCCTCATACTCAACACATCACATGGTTCGAAGGCTAGGCCACTTTCCACTACTATTGAGCTGCCTCCTCTCTATGAAAATGCTTTTCTGGATTGAGGGAGACAGTCATAGAGAAATGTGTTGTTGGCATCGATTTCCTATGGTTGGGCAATGGCTTCCGCCATCTGGACCAGGTGACGTCAGCTATCTGGATTTCTGCCAGCATTCCCCGGCCCAGGAAACAGACTTCCGGCTGTCTGGGCTCTGAGCCATCTTCGGCCTCCTGGGTGAGTGGGTCTTGCAATTCGCAAAGTGAGGAACTGAAAAGTCAGCTCTCAGGGAAGATTTCACTGTATAAAGTCAGGTAAAAATGGGGAAGAGGCATACTGGGTCAGAGAGACAGGGAGCCCTTCTATCTGAGTCTGGGGCCTTTCTCAGATGAGAGGGGAGGATCTAGTGATCAGACAGGGAAATTGAAGATCTTTGTGACTAAGACTCAAGTCAATTGGGGGTAGATGAGGAGTAAGGTAAGCAAAGCTAAAGAAATCTGGGGAAAGATACACATAAAGATACAAACACAGAAGGTCAAATACTGGCCAAGGATAGAATGTTGATCCCAAAACTCATGCACTTTTCTGTGGACACTGAGACTTGAACAAATCAATAACTTGAGAATGTAAGCAGCCCTCTGCCATGTTATACTTTGTTGAGTTATATAACAGTTGGGGGAAAACCTAAACAATGGTACATGTGTTAAGGTAGACAGTTAAATTGTCCCTCCACCACTCCCTGTCTCATTCCCAACCCTGCTCTCCAGGCCAGGCTCATAAAAGTTGTTACTCATTTTAGCCATTCCTTCAGCCAATATTCATCTTATTCATTCTTACAATCACCCTGTGAGGTAAGAGCTATCATTATGCCTTTATTTTGAAAATTGTAGTAAAATAGACATAGAATTTAGCATTTTAACTGTTTGTAAACATACAGTTCAGTGGCATTAGGTACATCCACATTATTGTGCAACCATCACCATCAGCCACATTCAGAACTTTTTCATCTTCCCCCACTGAAACTCCACCCAGCAAACAATACCTTCACATTCCCCACTTTCCTTAGCCCTGGCAACCACCATTCTACTTTCTGTAGAATGTAACCACTTTAGATGCCTTTTATTTTATTTTTTATTTATTTGTTTTTTTGAGACGGAGTCTTTCTCTGTCACCAAGCCAGAGTGCTGTGGCACGATCCTGGCTCACTGCAACCTCTGCCTCCTGGGTTCTAGTGATTCTCCTGCCCCAGCTTCCCGAGTAGCTGGGATTACAGGAACACGCCACCACGCCCAGCTAATTTTTGTATTTTTAGTAGAGACGGGGTTTCACCATGTTGGCCAGGATGTAGGTGCCTTTTATAAGTGGAATAATAGGCTGGGCGCGATGGCTCACACGTGTAATCCCAGCACTTTGGGAGACCAAGTCTGATGGATCACTTGAGGTCAGGAGTTCGAGACCAGCCTGTCCAACATGGCAAAACCCCATCTCTACTAAAAATACAAAAATTAGCTGGGCATGCTGCCGTGTGCCTGTAATCCCAGCTACTTGGGAGACTGAGGCACAAGAATTGCCTGAACGCGGGAGGCAGAGGTTGCAGTGAGCTGAGCTCACGCTACTGCACTCCAGCAAGATTCTGTCTTAAAAAAAGTGGAATCGGCCAGGCATGGTGGCTCACGAGTGTAATCCCAGCACTTTGGGAGGCCGAAGTGGGCGGATCACCTGAGGTCAGGAATTCAAGACCAGCCTGGCCAACATTGCGAAACCCCGTCTCTACTTAAAATACAAAAATTAGCTGGGCGTGGTGGTGGGCGCCTGTAATCCCAGCTACTTGAGAAGCTGAGGCAGAAGAATCGCTTGAACCCAGGAGGCGAGTTTGTGGTGAGCCGAGATCGCTCCAGCCTGGGTGACAGAGCAAAACTCTGTCTAAAAAAAAAAAAAAAGGTGGAATCATAAAATATTTTTCCTCTTGTGATTGGCTTTTTTTTTTTTTTGAGATGGACTTTTGTTCTTGTTGCCCAGGCTGGAGTGCAATGGCACAATCTTGGCTCACCGCAACCTTTGCCTCCCAGGTTCAAGCTATTCTCCTGCCTCAGCCTCCCGAGTAGCTGGGATTATAGGCATGCACCAACACACTGGGCTAATTTTTTGTATTTTTGGTAGAGACAGGGTTTCTCCATGTTGGTCAGGCTGGTCTCAAACTCCTGACCTCAGGTGATCCACCCGCCTCAGCCTCCCAAAGTGCTAGGATTACAGGCATGAGGCACCACGCCCGATCATGATTGGCTTTTATTTCACTTAGCAGGATGTCTTCAAGGTTTATCCACATTGTAGTGCATATCAGAATTTTCTTTTTAAAAAAATATTCCATTATATGTATATATGTATTATACAATTTTTTTTTTTTTTTTGGGTGGAGACAGAGTCTCCTTCTGTTGCCCAGGCTGGAATGCAGTGGTGCGATCTCAGCCCACTGCAACCTCAGTCTCCCTGGCTCAAGTCAACCTCTCACCACCTTAGTCCCCTGAGTAGCTGGGACTACAGGTATGCACCACCATGCCTGGCTAATTTTTGTGTTTTTGGTAGAGATGAGGTCTCATCAAGTTGCCCAGGCTGGTCTCGAACTCCTAGGTTCAAGCAATCCTCCCACCTCAGCCTCCCAAAGTGCTTGGATTACAGGTGTGAGCTACCAGGCCTGGCCACATTTTGCTTATTCATTCATCTATTGATGGACACTTGGATGGCTTCCACCTTTTGGCTATTGTGAATGATGCTGCTGTGAATGTGGGTATACAATTTAATAACATTTATATTGAGATACAATTCACATACTATATAATTCACCTTGTAAGAGGTGGAGGTTGCAGTGTGGTGAGCCGAGATCATGCTCCTGCACTCCAGCCTGGGGGGTACAAAGTGAGACGCCATCTCAAAAAAAAAAAAAATCCACCCTTTAAAAATGTACAATGAAATGTGTTTTTTTTTTTTTTTTTTTTGAGACAGAGTCTCACTCTATTGCCCAGGTTGGAGTGCAGTGGCTCAGTCTTGGCTCACTGCTACCTCTGCCGCCCTGGTTCAAGCGACACTCCTGCTCAGACCAGAGTAGCTAGGATTATAGGCTCCTGCCACCGTGCCCGGCTAATTTTTGTATTTTTAGTAGAGATGGGGTTTCACCATCTTGGCCAGGCTGGTCTTGAACTCCTGACCACGTGATCCACCCACCTCGGCCTCCCAAAGTGCTGGGATTACAGGCGTGAGCCGCCGCACCCGGCAGAAATGGTTTTTAGTATATTCACAGAGTTGTGCAACCATCACCACAATTTTAGAACATTTTCATCACACTCAAAGACGTCCCATGCTCATTAGCAGTCATTTCCGGTTTTACCCCCAATCTCTCCCCTTCCCAGCCTTAAGCAACCACTAATCTACTTTTTGTCTCTATAGATTTGCCTACACTGGACATTTCATATAAACAATCATACAATATGTGGCATTTTATGTCTGGCTTCTTTCACTTAGCATAGTGTTTTCAGTGTTGTAGCATGAATCAGTACTTTCTTTTTATTGTTGAATACTATTTCATTGTATGGATATACCATATTTTATTTATACATTCATCAGTTGATGGACATTTATACTGTTTCCAAATTTTAGCTATTATGAATAATGCTAGTGTGAACATTCATGTATAAGATTTTGTGTGGACATCCATTTTCTCTTTGGTATACACTTAGGAGTGGAATTTCGAGGTCATTAACTTTATGTTCCACTTTTGAGAACTGCTTTCCAATGTTGCTGAGCCATTTGACATTCTCACCAGCAGTGTATGAAGGTTCCAGTTTCTCCAGTCTGTCTTTTTGATTCTAGCCATCTTAGTGGGTATGAAGTGGTATTTCATGGTGGTTTAGATTTGCATTTTCTTGGTGGTTAATGATGTTGAATATCTTTTTTTTTTTTTTTTTGAGATGGAGTCTCGCTCTGTCGCCCAGGCTGGAATGCAGTGGCACGATCTCAGCTCACTGCAACTTCTGCCTCCTGGGTTCAAGCGATTCTCCTGCCTCAGTTTCCTGAGTAGCTGGGACTACAGGTGTGCACCACCACTCCTGGCTATTTTTTTATATTTTTACTAGAGATAGGGTTTCAGCATGTTGGCCAGGCTGGTCTCAAACTCCTGACCTCAAGTGATCCGCCCACCTCGGCCTCCCAAAGTGCTGAGTCACCGCGCCTGGCCTGAACGTCTTCTCATGTGCTTATTGGTCATTTGTATACCTTTGGAGAAATGTTTATTCAGATCCTTTGCGTATTTTTTAATTGAGTTGTCTTTTTATTATTGAGTTGTAAGAGTTTGTTATAAATTCTAAATATAAGTCTCTTAACTGATACATAATTTACAAATATTTTATCCCATTCTATGGGTCTTTTTTACCTGTTTCTTTCTTTCTTTCTTTTCTTTTTTTTTTTTTTTTTTAATAGCGACAGGGTCTCGCTTTGTTGCCTAGGCTGATCTCGAACTCTTGGGCTCAAGCAATCCTCCTGGCTTGGCCTCCCAAAGTGCTTGGGCTACAGGCATGGGCCACCATGCCCAGCCTATTTTCTTAATGTCCTTTGAAGCACAAAAGTTTTAAATTTTGAAGTCCAATTTATCTATTTTTTTTTCCTGCTTGTGCACTGTGTCATAGCTAAGAAACCACTGCCTAGTCTGTGGTCACAAAGATTTACATCTGTCTTTTCTTCTAAGAATTTAATAGTTTTATCTCTTCCATGTAGGTCTTTGATCTATTTTGAATAAATTTTTGTCTATGGTATGAGGTAAGGGTCCAACTTCATTCTTTTGCATGTGCATATCCAGTGGTCTCAGCATTAGTATGCCTTGTTACGGAGGAATAAATTTTCAGCTTCGTAAGAAAAGGACCATGGGCCTGGCAAGGTTGCTTATGCCTGTAATCCCAGCACTTTGGGAGGCCAAGGTGGGAGCATCACTTGAGCCCTGGAGTTCGAGACCAGCCTGGGCATTAGAGTGAGACCCCGTCTCTACTTAAAAAAGAAAAGGAAAGAAAAGAAAAAGGACTGTGCCCGGTTTTGCTCACCATTATCTTCCCAGGATTCTCTTAGCCCCATGCAAGACACATGCTACATGCTCAATAAATATAGCCTGAGTGAGTGAACATATGAGTGACTGAGACTCAGTGTGGTTAAATAACTTGCATAGGTCAGTCAGTTGGAAGGTGGCCAGATATGGCTCAAACCCAGATCTTCTCATCTAATTCTTTTTTTTTTTTTTGAGATGGAGTCTTGTCGTCAGGCTGGAGTGCAGTGGCATGATCTCGGCTCACTGCAACCTCCACCTCCCAGGTTGAAGCGATTCTCCTGCCTCAGCCTCCTGAGTAGCTGGGACTACAGGCGCGCACCACCACGCCCAGCTAACTTTTGTGTTTTTAGTAGAGACAGGGTTTCACCATGTTGGCCAGGATGGTCTCGATATCTTGACCTCATGATCCGCCTGCCTCGGCCTCCCAAAGCGTTGGGATTACAGGCATGAGCCACTGCACCTGGCCTTCTCATCTAATTCTAATTAAGAGTTTTTGTATAATACTTCAAAGTTTCTGAAAATTTCCTGAGTTACCAAAAGCTCTTTGTCACAAGAAACCATATTTCTTAGGCTGGGGGTGGTGCTCACGCCTGTAATCCTAACACTTTGGGAGGCTGAGGTGGGTGGAATACCTGAGGTCAGGAGTTCGAGACCAGCCTGGCCACATGGTGAAACCCTGTCTCTACTAAAAGTACAAAAATTAGCCGGGCGTGGTGGCAAGCACCTGTAATCCCAGCTACTGGGGAGGCTGAGGCAGGGAATCGCTTGAACCCGGGGGCAGAGGTTGCAGTGAGCCGAGATCATGCCACTTCACTCCAGCCTGGGCAAAAGAGTGAGACTCCGTCTCAAAAAAATAAAATAAAATAAAATAAAATAAAATAAAAATAAAAATAAAAATAAAAAATAAAAAGAAACGGTATTTCTCCAAAGTTTCATTTGCTGTCTCTGCTGTATGATCCCAATCATTTCATTGTTTGTGAGCAGCAAAACTCAAATCTAGGGAGCCTCATGTCCCTTCTGCTTCTGACTCCTCCCTCACTCGAGCCACAGAGTCAAAGATTCCACTTCCTTCTAGGGTAGTTTTATAGTTGGAAAGTTCTTCTAAATCTCGGACCACAACCTCCTGCTGCAAAATTGTGCCATAAATCCCCATGAGTGTTCAGTGTAACCATTGACTATAGGACCTGGTTTGATGTGGGAGGCATTTGGGGCTTGCGGAAAGCTTTATGTGCTCTGCCCCGTACAAAGGGCAGCCTTGGGGCAGCCGATGCCCTTGCTCTGGCCCTGACATGCTGCTCCCTTTTTGAAGTGTGGTTTCTGATTCTGGGTGCAGCTTGCCATATCAGAGGAGAATGAAGCTAGGTGGCATGAACCCCAGAAAATTTTGGTGAACTCACCTCTTGGAATGAGGACAAAGGAGAGTCTTGAAGCAGAAAAGAGCTGTGCTCCTTGAAGGGGTCCAAAGTTAAAGCTCACACTGGGGTGGATTGGGTAGACTTACCTGTCCCCTCTTTGACAGTGATGCATTTGAGCTTCTCCTATTGGGTCCTTTGGAAAAGAATTCTTTGAACTACTAGAAAATTAGGACAGGGTGGGGGCAAAAGAAAACGTATATTGAGAGCTTGCTCCATGTATTTGTTAGGCATTTAATCTAGGTATCTAATTTTATCTTCAAAGTAATCCTGTGGGTTGGTTTTATCAATCCTATTTTGCAGAGTTGGATGCTGAAACTTGCAGTCACACAAGGACTTGAACCTAGAGCTTTTCTAAAGCCCGTACTCTTTCCAGTACCCTGAGCCAGGGGAGCCAGCGGGCAGAAATGACGTGTGAGGTACCCTCTCTCTCTTCACTTCCATGTGATCTGTTACTCATTTTGTCAAGACATCCTGGGTCCCAGGTAAGCTCCAGTGATTCCCCTGAACCAGTGGTGTGCTGGAGCCAGCTCAGACCTGCTAGTGAGAGTGTTAAATATTCAGGAAATTTGCAAGCTGGTTGTTAAACTGTCAGTGGTTGGAAATTGGTCATGGGAGGAAGTATCTACACCACGGAATAACTACACACGGATAACTGCTACAAATCAGGGATCCCCATCTCCCCCACAAGCTGGTTTGCTAACACATCACTGTCTTTCTTTTTTTTTTTTTTTTTTTTGAGACAGAGTCTCACTCTGTCGCTCAGGCTGGAATGCTGTGGCGTGATCTTGGCTCAGTGCAGCCTCTGCCTCCCAGGTTTAAGCAATTCTCCTGCCCAAGTAGCTGGGATTACAGGCACGTGCCACCATGCCTGGCAATTTTCGTATTTTTAGTAGAGACAGGGTTTCGCAATGTTGGCCAGGCTAGTCTTGAACTCCTGGCCTCAAGTGATCCACCAGACTCGGCCTCCCAAAGTGCTGGGATTACAGGTGTGAGTCACCGCGCCCGGCCCAGAGCACTAACCTTGGGGTCCAGAGTGAGAGCTGAAGAGAACAGGGCCTGCCCCCAGCAGTCACAGAGTTTCAGCTGCAGACTGAGGGAAGACCGATAGTATCTATGGGAAAGTGTGTGCACAAAAGAGACAGAAAAGAGGCTGGAGAATATTGATTATTCACACATGAACAAAGTAAGTACCAATGTTATTAATCCCAGGGATTTTGCTGGGAGGAGTTCTGGCTTGTTATTAGGGTCCTTTTCTTTCAGATCAAGAAAAGGGAGATCTAATTCATGAAGAAACTAGAAAAGTGCCCTGGATTGGTGGGAGTGTGGTGGGGGTGGTGCTGCACAACACAGAAGAGGGGAACTTTGACTTTGAGCCTGAGGTCTTGGGATGAAAAGCAGTTTGTGGACCGGATTCCTGACCCTGGGGTTACAGTAGGAATCCCTTTGCCTGACAGGTGGTGACCTTCCTCTGGCAAGGTCCCCAGACTCCTAAGGCAGAAGCAATCCTCCCATCTCAGTCTGCCAAGTAGCTGGGACTACAGGTGCTCACCAACACACCTGGCTAATTTTTGTGTTTTTTTGGTAGAGATGGGGTTATTCCAGGCTGGGATCTGTGAAGAGCAGAACAACTCTAAGCCCCAGGGCAAAAATCTGCAGAGCTGAGTCTCATGCCACTTTGGGGCACTCCATCTGAGGCCTGGAATCAGAGGCCTTCCGCAGCTTGTGTAGATGCTGCCAAAAGGCTGAGCTCGGTGGCCCATGCCTGTAATCCCAGCACTGTGGGAGGCTGAGGCAGGCAGATTACTTGAACCTAGGAGTTTGAGACCAGCCTGGGCCACATGGTGTACCCCCATCTCTACAAAAAATATAAAAATTAGCCAGGTGTGTTGGTGAGCACCTGTAGTACCAACTACTTGGGAGGCTGAGGTGGGAGGATTGCCCCAGGGGTTTGAGGCTGCAGTGAGCCATGATCATGCCACTGTACTCCAGCTTGGGCAACAGAATGAGACCCCATCTCAAAAACAACCAAAAAGATGCTGCAAAGAAACAGCAGCCTCCTGTAACAAAATAAGTGGTACATCTTTTGTGATGGGAGCATCTCCCTGGGGAGCGAAGCTGGACGTTGCAGCCCTACCCTGTCCCCAGAGGTTTTTCTGTCCCTTTATGTCTATGAACAAGTACAGCTGAGGCCATCAGCACTGCACACACCTGGAACAGTCTTGTTAAAACAGGACCTCCCTAAAGGCCAAGAGCTAAGGAAAGAGAAAGTGAAGGACTGAGCAGCAGGTAACCAGAATCAGAGTCATTGAAGGCAACTGCAGGAGTTGCCCCTTCCTGGCTCCCTCCCATGGCAACTCCCTGAGTCTGAGTAGAGAAGGTTAGAGACGCATGGAGGTTCCCACCCCTCCTGTGAAAGGCTCCCTTCTGAGTTCCAGGTCCCTATCTGATGACCCACCTCACCTATGCCTGCCTAATACCTGAATGGCCATCTCTTTCAGAGACCACTCTTATTCCCAGGTGTGTGACCTCCTCCTACAGACTACAGTGGGAAAGACACCATCTCCAGGTAACCCCAACACAGTGAGGGGTGGAGCGGGGATGTGGTCATTCGTTCCAGGTATTGTTGATTCTCTTGAGGTTCAATCCAGGGCTAGAGATTGTGATTAAAGAGATACCCAGATTGGGTATGCGTGTAAAGGGCAAGAGCTATGAGACCAATGTGACATTTAGGATTAATTAGTCCCTTCCACAGGGCAGGCTGCCACTCACTGGTACAGCTCCTGGGCTGAGCCTGGCAGAGCTCATTAGCAAGGCAGACACTGGAATGTGTGTGCAATGGAGGGAGGCTTAAACTCAGAGGCTGCTGGTTCCTATTAAGCAGAGAGAGGTTAGAACTTAGTGGCACAGAAACTGATATCAGCTAAATATGGGTTAGTCACCAACCCTGCACCATCTTCCCTAACCTTTGAGAAAGTCTTTTCCTACTGCTTGTTCACATCCATTCATTCAACAAACAATTATGAATTTTCTCTTAGGTGCCAGGTGCTACACAAGATACTGGCTATAGCAGCGAACAGGACAGCCCGTCTCATCCTCATGGAGGTCACAGGACAATGAGAAGAAAGACTTTTTTATTTTTATTTTTTTGAGACGGAGTTTTGCTCTTGTTGCCGAGGCTGGAGTGCAGTGGTGTGATCTCGACTCACTGCAACCTCCGCCTCCCAAGTTCAAGCAATTATCCTGCCTCAGGCCTCTTGAGTAGCTGGGATTACAGGCACCTGCCACCACTCCTGGCTAATTTTTTGTATTTTTAGTAGAGACAGGGGTTTCATCATGTTGGCCAGGCTGGTCTCGAACTCCTGACCTCAGGTGATCCACCCACCTCGGCCTCCCAAAGTGCAGGGATTACAGGCATGAGCCATCGAACCCGGCCCAAGAAGAAAGACATTGAACAAGTAATTACAGGGTATTGGGTGTTATGAAAGAAAAGCATGGTACTGTATAATGAGGTCATCTAATTTAGTCTGGGGTGACAAGGAATGCCTACTAAAGAAGGTATCGTTTAAGACATACCTGGGGAATAGCGGTAGTGAAAATAGAAGCTCCAGAAATGCAGGGACCATGGCTGACATGTTTACCATGCCAGTGTCTGGCATGGAAGAGGCCCAATTCCTTTGGTTGAAAGGATGAAGTAATCTAGCTGAATAAAGGGTGTGTGCGTGCACGCAGGTGTGTTTGTAGTTAACCTTCCTTTAGCTCAGCTTAGGAAACAGCTTTTGTAAAACTGCGTAACTAGTAGTAGGTGAGAGAGGAATACGAATGATATACACACCATTAAAGACAACTTACTAACAGCATGAGTCCGACATAGATTCCTTCCTACTTGGGTTTGAACCCTGAGCCCACCACTTACTAGCTGTGAGAAAGTGAATGAGTTGCCTCCCTTTCCTGTGCCTCTGTTTCTTGTAAATTCTATTTCCAAGCATCATGAGGATAAAAGACAATGTATATACGTTGTTTGGCATATTACAGTCAATGCTTGGTAACTACTATTGTTATTTTTTAAAAAATTATTATTATTATTTTTTGAGACGGACTCTCGCTCTGTCGCCCAGGCTGGAGTGCAGTGGCGCTATCTTGGCTCACTGCAAGCTCTGCCTCTTGGGTTCACACCATTCTCCTGCCTCGGCCTCCTGAGCAGCTGGGACTACAGGCGCCCGCAACCACGCCCGGCTAATTTTTTGTATTTTTAGTAGAGACGGGGTTTCACTGTGTTAGCCAGGATGGTCTCGATCTCCTAACCTCGTGATCCGCCTGCCTCGGCCTCCCAAAGTGCTGGGATTACAGGCGCGAGCCACCGTGCCCGGCCCCACTATTGTTATTTATGTACACCAAATTTATATCCAAAGGGACTTTGATAGTTACAAGAAAAGACATATAAGTCCAGATATCATTGAACAAGAGTAAAATAATAAATCAAGTAGGAATGGAGGGGAGGATATGCATGCAGCACTAGATAATATCTATACAGAGAGAGGATGAGGTCTTGGAAGATGAGTCTGAAGACTTTCCTGTTGGAGAGGGGCTCTATGCTCGGCATGCTGACTGCTTTTACAACCCCACCCCCACATCTCATCTTAACCACAAGACAGTCTTGTTCTGGGGAGTTCAGAGCCTTTATTTTTTATTTATTTATTTATTTTTTGAGATGGAGTCTCACTCTGTCACCCTGGCTGAAGTGCAATGGCATGATCTCAGCTCACTACAACCTTTGCCTCCCAGGTTCAAGCGATTCTCCTGCCTCAGCCTCCTGAGTAACTGGGATTACAGGCACGTGCCACCAAGCCCAGCTAATTTTTGTATTTTTAGTAGAGATGGGGTTTCACCATGTTGGCCAGGCTGGTCTCGAACTCCTGACCTCGTGAGCTGTCCACCTCGGCCTCCCAAAGTGCTGGGATTACAGGCGTGAGCCACTGCGCCCGGCCCCAGAGTCTTTATTTATTATTTAGAGAGGGTCTCACTCTGTCACCCAGGCTGTAGTGTAGTGGTGCGATCTTGGCTCACTGCAGCCTTAACCTCCCAGGCTCAAGCAATCCTCTCACTTCAGCCTCCTGAGTAATTGGGGCCACAGGCTCACACCACCATGCCTGGCTAATTTTTTAAAAAAATTTTTATAGAGACAAGGTCTTGCCATGTTGCCCAGGCTGGTCTTGAACTCTTGGGCTCAAGTGATCCTCCTGCCTCAGCCTCCCAAAGTGCTGGGATTACAGACATCAGCCACCGTGCCCAGCCCAGAATCTTTCAACCCCCAAAATCCATTGGTGTGGGGTTAGATGAGGGATCCTAAAAGGAGAGGGAGGCTGCTGTGCAGTGATCCCACCGGCCTGCTTGCAGGAAGGAGAGCCGACCCTTTCTTGACCTCTACCAAAGACACTAGAGAGCTTTGTAAATCTTCCAATTAGATGATACATAAATACTTCCCCAGGTCTTCTAGGCCTGATTCAATAATATTTACTTCGAGAGGCTGCTGCTTCCTGTTTGTATTCTCTTACCACAAGTTATCTGCTGTTCCTACTTTCACTTAAGCTTTGTATCGTACTCTGTGAGAAATGTTTGAGCTGGCTGGACACATTTCCTGAAATCATTTCTCTAGTCTTTTACGAAATGTCTGCATTTATGCTGGAATCATAGAGCTGAACTATCATTGAGATAAAAATTCCAGTCTTTACCCCAATTTACAATTCCTAAAAACTGTCACTTTCTTAGATCTCTTCACATTTTCATTACTTCTTTTTTTTTTTGTTTTTTGTTTTTTGTTTTTTGAGACTGAGTTTTGCTCTTGTTGCCCAGGCTGGAGTGTAATGGTGCGATCTCGGCTCACTGCAACCTCCGCCTCCCAGATTCAAGTGATTCTTCCTGCCTCAGTCTCCTGAGTAGCTGGGATTACAGGCGCCCGCCACCATGCCCGGCTAATTTTTGTATTTTTAGTAGAGACAGGGTTTCACCATATTTGGCAGGCTGGTCTCAAACTCCTGACCTTGGCCTCCCAAAGTACTGGGATTACAGGCGTAAGCCACCACACCTGGCCAGACATTTTCATTGCTTCTATTACCTGTGTAAGCAAGTGGCTTTATTGGGAGGCGATTTTCACAAAGAAACAAGGTTTTTTAAAAAAGGTGTTTCCCGTAGGTTTCTGCCTGTGAGACCACCTGCTGAGAAATGCAGAGCCGCTTTGGGAAGCTGGGTAGTCAGCTCTCATCCATACTCACTCAACCATGCCCAGCTGGGCAGTGCCACTTGTGTCTGAGCCTCAGCAAAACTGCATGTCCCTAAATGTCAGGGGTCTTCACAGACAAGTGAAGCAACCAGAAATACTGAATTTTCAGATGGACATGTTTATCGTACTGAATCTCCATAGCCAGGAGGCACAGACAACTAATAAAGCCCTGTGCCCCATTATTGCTTCATTGATTCACTGAAATAATGCTGGGTATGATTGTGGCTACAGAGTTAAGCCCCATTGTTAATTATATGGTTTGGTGAGGGAAAGAGTTTTTTTTGTTTTTGTTTTGGCTAGACTAATGTAAACACAGTTCAAATGTTGCTCCTTCACTGGGGACAGAAAAATCCATATGTGGCTCACGCCTGTAATCCTAGCACTTTGGAAGGCCAAGGCAGGCAGATTGCTTGAGTCCAGGAGTTTGAGACTGGCCTGGGCAAGATGACAAAACCCTGTCTCTACTAAAAATAAAAAACAAAAAATTAATTTAATTTAAAAAACTGAGGTGAGAGGATCACCTGAGCTTGGGGATGTCAAGGCTGCCATGAGCCATGTTTGTGCCACTGCACTCCACCATGGATGACAGAGTAAGACCCCATCTTAAAAAAAAAATCCACGTAATATAGTTCACATCTTTGCTTCCCATGTAAATTCCTCTTTTTTGTGTGTCACTATCAGTATGTAATTATTGAAACTTCAAGGTATGACTCTTGTTAGGAAATGATAGAGAAAAAACAATTGCTCTATAATCACCCCTTACATTGTGACTTCTTGCAAATAAATACACCCCACTTTCAGCCTCACTCATTTATTATAAAATTGTAAGAGGTGGAACAAGCCTTTGTTTAGAGATGTGATTCATGTGTTGCTTGCTGGAGTTTCTGAAAACAAACAAACAAACAAAAAAACCCAAGATAGCAGATGGCCAGATGAGCCACTGGGAATGGAGCAATGGCTGGTCATGGCTTCTGTCAAACACAAAGCTCTGACTGGAGAAGCTTGGAATCTTCTGGATGTCTTTTGCAAAGATGACAAATTCTTTTAGATAGGCTGCTGCTTGAAGGTAAGATGGAAGAAGCTTTGTTCATTGTATTATGGAGGTCTTTGACCCCCACCTCCTCCCACCCCATGAACTCAGACCTTCCACATTAGACCTGGGCTGTCCCTCAGCATCTTTGCTGCACATTGCATGAAACTTTTCAGTTATTTCATATAACTTCCAGGTGTTTGAAATACGAAATGCGTAAGAGACATGTTCCTGAGATGTCGGAGTGAGGTTTCCTTTGAGAGAAGGAAGTGAGGGTTGTTGCCTACAGATTGTTGAGGGTAATAATGGGATGAGGCATAAAAAGGACCTAGCCTAGCAGCAGGCATGTAGTAAGAGCTCAGTAAGTATTACATTTGTTTAATTAGTGTCTGCCTACCAGGTTCAACCCTTGGCTTCATATGTCCAGCAACACTTCCTAACTTGCCCATTCTTGCCCTTCCTTGGGTCCTGCTGTTTATTCTGTTCTCTGAAATAAGGAGTTCCTCCCAGTATTGTAGCTGATAAGGTTAGAGCTCAAAGCAGTTAGGGACCTCAAGAGGTATCCTAGTCTGGTTCCTGGTCTAGATAAAATATTATCCCTTATTGCAGAAGTAGCAACTGAATCTAGGAAAGGTTGAGTGATTTGAGAGACTATAGTAGGCATAGGTGGGGATATTGGCTAATTCTTAGTTCTTCTGACTTAGGAGCATCTAGGTCGTGGACACAGAGTGTCCCTTTTTTCAAAGTGGAGTCCCACAGTGCATCATTTACAGTTATTCTAGCTGCTGGTGGTATTTGGAGGAGTATCCTAAACACTTCTCTTTCCAAATCACAGGCCCAGTTGGGATCAGGAACATCAACTCATATCACATGAGCAGAACTTGTTCATTTGGGGACATCCCCAATAATGCCAAAATCTATGCTCCAGATGAGTAAGAGTATGAATTGGAACCACTTTCAGGGAACCTCTTGTCTGCACCTCATTCTGTTTTTATTTATTTATTTATTTATTTATTTATTTATTATTTTTGAGATAGAGTCTCACTCTGTTGCCCAGGCTGGAGTGCAATGGTGCTATCTCAGCTCACTGCAACTTCTGCCTTCCTGGTTCTAGTGATTTTCCTGCCTCAGCCTCCCAAGTAGCTGGGACTACAGGCACGTGCCACCACGCCTGGCTAGTTTTTGTATTTTTAGTAGAGACGGAGTTTTACCATGTTGACCAGGCTGGTCTTGAACTCCTGACCTCAAGTGATCTACCCACCTTGGCCTCCCAAAGTGCTGGGATTATAGGCGTGAAATACCACGCCCCGCCTGCACATCATTCTGGGTGGCTGAATCCTCCACTCTCCTGGTTCTCTCCTCTGTGCTGGTAGGAGGGGAGGCTGGGAGAGAATGGGAGAGGTGGTCATGATCAGTAAAGAGACAATTGGAGGGAGATGGTCCAACCCTGTGGTTCTGGACTCTGAAGTGGTCTTTACTGAAAACAGCAGATTCCTAGGCTCAGAACAGTGGCAAAATAGCTTGGAATTTAGGGGTCTCTGATTTTTTTCAGATTCTCCCAAGCTGGAGTGCAGTGGTGTGATCTCAGCTCACTGCAACCTCTGCCTCCCGGGCTCAAGTGATCCTCCCACCTCAGCCTCCTGAGTAGCTGGGACTACAGGTGCATGCCACCACACCTAGCTAATTTTTGTAGTTTTGGTAGAGATCTTCCTGTCTTGCCCAAGCTGGTCTTGACCTCCTGGGATCAAGCAATCTGCCTGCCTCAGCCTCCCAAAATGCTGGGATTGCAGGTGTGAGCCACCGTACCCTGCCTCATATATTTTGTTTCGTAATAAGTTTACTTTAAATCAAGATCGAAGGCCAGGCACGGTGGCTCACACCTATAATCCCAAAAGTGTGATTTCAGAATACAAAATTTGGGATTATAATTTGTAATCCCAAAAGTGGGATTTGGGCATGGGCCACCACACCCGGCTGATTTTTTTTTTTTTTTTTTTTTTGATAGAGACAGGTTTTATACCACATTGCCCAGGCTGGTTTCGAACTCCTTGATTGAAGCGATCTACCTGCCTTGGTCTGACAAAGTGCTGAGATTACAGATGTGCCTTGCCTGACCTGATTATTGTTTTTTATATCTCCTTTAATGTACAGGTTAGCTCTCTCATTTTTTCCCCCTCTTGAAATAGGTTTGTTGGAGAAAATGGATTTTTTTTGTACTGTACAGCTTTCCAGTCTGGGTTTTGCTGATTCTACCCTGGAGGTGCTATGTAAGACACTCCTCTGATCGCTGACTTCTTGTGAATTGCTAATTTCATCTAGAGGTCTGATCAGATTGAAGTTCAGTGTTTGTTTTTGCAGGGCCCCTTCTCAGGGAATGTTGTGAACATTCACCCAGAGGTACATGCTGTCTGCTTGTGTCCGTCTCTTTTGGTGATGTTCTAAGTCATTCGTGATCATCGACTAATCCATTATTTCATTAGGAGTTGCAAAATAGTAATATTGGAATTCTATTATTTCTTTCTTCATTTATGTATTTATTCTTTTTTCTCCCCCACACCCACTCTCCTGCCCTGCTCGCTCCTTTCTTCAGTTATTAGGTAGACTGCTTGTGTAAGAGAAATTGCTTCATCAACCATGGGGTTCAGTTATGGTTTCTATAGGAAAGGCAGAATAAAGGATTTCTCTTTATTACCAGTTTTCAAGTTGTTGAGTTGGTTACGTAGAGTCCTTCACAAGTGACCAATTATTTAAGATACCATTATGAAATCATGGATTGAAACATATTTGATGTACTTCAGTTCACTATAGTCCATTATAGTGATTAGTCTTATGAATGCTCAAATTGTCCCGTCTTTGGCAAGTGGGAGTCTTTTCACCTCTTTCTGACACAGTCCAAAGAGACTTTGATAGCTTTTTGAGTTTCTGATTTGACCAGATATCGAAGCACATCTTGTACATTTCCGTTCCCAGTCTGAGAGCCAAGCATTTCTTTAAGAAGATCTGATTTCAGTTGAAGGGAAATGATAGACTGCCAGAGATGCTTGTTGCTGCTGGATTGGTTCTTGTTTCTAGGGCCTTTTAGTGGGAAGAAAATATAAACATATTTTAAAAATAAACTCATTGTCTGTTTATACTAATACTTTCTTTATTTTTTTAAAAATTTTTTTACCAGCTCTAGGATCAAGGAAAAAGATACTTTCCATTCAAATAGAGGCTCTCAGTGTTTTTATATAACTTCACATACTTGCATCTGTTTTTTTCTCCCAACCAAATATTCTAGTTTCCAAATCCACCAACGTTTGCTTTATCCCTCAATACTTATACACAGTCTTAAAATAACAACATCAATATTATCGCCATTAATATGATAATGCTTTTCCATGAAAGGGCCATACATGCAAAGTGGCCCCCAAAGGTCAAAGGAGCTGAGAAACCAAAGAACAAGGTAGGCAAGTCCAGTTTGTTGCTAAAGCGTGTTTCACTGGGGAACTTACAGACGGAAGCCTGCTCTTGGGCAGCTGCAAGACAGGTGGATCTCACACTGTTATCTCAGACCCAAGGCTTATTTATATACCATAGGGAAAGAGTATATGTGCTTAGTGCAAGACAAAGGCAACTGTCCAGAACAGGCTAGAATGCTATGTGCGTCACAGCCTATAATTTGTGTGATAACATCAAAGTTGATATATTCTTACACTAGGGACAGTAAATAAAGTAGGAATCAGGAGGCGTTCCTGGGACTGGGGCTAATCAGATGACGACATGGTGGATTAGCATCCAAGATGGGGCCACTTTTGTCTCCACAATAAAACTATTCTTTCAGTTCCTTTTTTTTTGTCCTTAGGGTATATCTCACTAGGAATATACAATCAAATTGCAGTGGTCTAAAGTTGTTTGAGACAGTTTTTCTCTCTGTAATTGTATCACTAACTCACTGTGCGGATAGTCTTTTATTTTTGCTTTTGATTTTTAGAAATTTAAATATATACATGTATATATTCTTAGATATAGAGTAGCATCCAGATTTCCCCACTTCTCTTTTTTTTAAATGAACATTGGGATAAAATTGACATACAGTTTGACCTTTCTTTACTTAACAATAGGTGCTGTCAATCAGCCCATGGCAGTATGTAGAGATATTTATTCTTTTTTTAATGCTCCATAGTACTTCATATTTAATTTAGTCAGTCCCTTGTTGTTAGACATTTGGGTTATTTCCAGTATTTATTTATTTATTTATTTTTAAAATTTGAAATAGAGATGGAGTTTCACCATGTTGCTCAGGCTGGCCTTGAACTCCTGGGCTTAAGCAAACAGCCCGCCTTGGCCTCTCAAAAAGTGCTAGGATTACAGCCACCATGCTCGGCCTATTTCTAGTCTTTTGTTATGACAAACAGAGCTGCAATAAATAGCCTACACAAATACTTTTTCATATTTTTGCCAGTGATGTTTTGGAATAGTTTCCTAGAAACTGTATTGCTGGAAATGCATATGTAATTTTGCTAGATACAGCCAGTCAAATTCCCTTCCATAGAGATTGCCTCATTTTGCATTCCTAGTCACAATGTACTAGAATGCCTATTTCCCTATAGCTTTGCCAACTACATGTATTGACAAATTTTTGGATTTTTTGCCGATCTGATAGGTATAATATGCTACCTTAGGATAGTTGTTTTGTTTCGTTTGTTTTGTTTTTTGTTTTTGTTTTTGTTTTGTTTTTTGTTTTTTTGCGATTCTCCTGCCTCAGCCTCCTGAGTAGCTGGGACTACAAGTGAGCGCCACCATGCTTGACTAATTTTTGCATTTTTAGTAGAGACGGGGTTTCACCATATTGGCCAGGCTGGTCTTGAACTCCCGACCTCATGATCCACCTCCCTTGGCCTCCCAAAGTGCTGGGATTACAGGCATGAGCCACCATGCCCAGCCAAAATTTATCACTCTTTCTCTTCAATTGCAGCTGAAGATTTAGCCATAGTTATGCAAGTCTTTTCCACTCCCAAGCTGTAGAAGAATTTATTTCCCTTTAATATTGTGTGGTTTTTGTTTTTTAAAGTCTCATATGGAATTTATCTTTTTGTATGTATGCTATGATAAGTGGACCAACTTTTATCTTTTTTCATATAGAGTCTCAAATTTGATATTACTAGCTCCTCTCTCCCACTCCCTCCCTTCAGCTTGATTTTTCCTGGACATTTTATTATTTTCTTGGCCAAAGCTGGACATGGATCAAAATAAACGTCTGTTCAACTCCCTGTGTTTGGTTCCATTTTGCTGCCTGTTTTTCTTTCCTGGATTCTTTGTGATTTCAGCACAGTGTTTTTCCAGCCATTCAAGGAGTTATGACCTTTAGGGCTTGAGGAAGAGTGCATTAAAGGCCTGTCCAGAGAATGATTCAAGCTGGAGTGGATCCTGTAGACGTCCAGGAGGGCCCAGCTCTACTTGGGCCAGGGGGTTGGAGAGCTGCTTCTCAGGAGCAGGATAGCCACTCACGCGTGTGAAGCACTCAGGAGCCCAGTTTTTTGTGTTTTTGTTTTTTCCTTGAGACGGAGTCTTACTGTGTCGCCTGGGCTGGAGTGCAGTGGTGTGATCTCGGCTCACTGCAACCTCTGTCTCTTGGGTTCAAGTGATTCTCCTGCCTCAGCCTCCTGAGTAGCTGGGATTACAGGCGCCCGCCACCACACCCAGCTAATTTTTATTTTTAGTAGAGACGGGGTTTCACCATGTTGGCCAGGCTGGTCTCGAACTCTTGACCTCAGGTGATCTGTCCAGCAGCCTCCCAACGTGTTGGGATTACAGGCGTGAACCACGGCGCCTGTCCTGGAGCCCAGTTTTTGTTGATAACCCATGTTTCCTGTTTCCACCCCTCCCCTGCTCTTGATTTCCATTAGGAATTTCTACCTTTCTAACTGGAAAAGACTGGGGTCAGGGGGTGGAGAAGTGGGCAGAGGAAGGGAGGAGTGGAATACAGAAATTGAAACCTGTCTTACTCTGCTCATGTAACTCTTAGCGCAGATCCATATCATTAATGCCAACTACCATTTAGTGGTTATTTCCTACCACCACGCATCAGATACTGCGCTAAGTACTTTATACAGAATAAATCATTTCATCTTGACCTGTTAGTTGGCTAGGGTGGTTACTTCCAGAAGGAAAAAGAGGCCCAGAGATAAGTTCACACAATTGGTAAGTAGTGGGATTTGGGTCTGTGTGACATCAGATTCCAGGCTCAAAACGTCTAAGTTTGTGGCCTCCGCAAAAAAGGCTCATAACAGTCTGTATTTCTGTTTGCTTTTCCATCTAAAGACTAACTTTACTCCACTTCACTGCCCAGATCTGCTGAGCTCAGATGTGAGCAGTGTGCTTGGCTGTGACTGCAGGCATCATGCTAGGCTGTAGGGACCCGTGGCTGGAGAGGGGCTCCGTCTTGCCCTCCGTCTGTTCTGTTGCCAGCACAGTGCTTGGCACACGTGGGCTCTCATCACGTATCTGTTGGATAATTAGATGAAAAAGGAGGAGGAAGAGGAACGTGTGCTGGAGATAAAGCGGCAGGAGTGGAGGAGGCGCAGGGGAAGAGAACAGATTTGGGAAAAACCAGTGGGACATGAGGATGCTGGGCAGGTGGGTAGAAGGTTGCCATGTGTTCAGAAGCACAGAAAAAGGGTGACTTCCAGGTCAAAAGTGATTTCAGGATGGGTGTGATGGCTCATGCCTGTAATCCCAGCACTTTGGGAAGCTGCCGGACGGATCACCTGAGGCCAGGAGTTACAGACTTGCCTGGCCAATATGGTAAAACCCTGTCTCTACTGAAAATACAAAAATTAGCAGGTGTGGTGGCAGGCACCTGTAATCCCAGCTACTCGGGAGGGCTGAGGCAGAAGAATCGCTTGAACCCAGCAGGTGAAGGTTGCAGTGAGCCAAGATTGCGCCACTGCACTCCAGCCTAGGCGGCAGAGTAAGACTGTCTCAAAAAAAAAAAAAAAAAAAAAAAAAAAATATATATATATATATATATAAACACACACACACATATATATACACACACATATATATACACATGTATACACACACATATATATATACACACACACATATATAAAGTGATTTCAGTTTTTTCACAACTTGATCACTGAGCAAGTGACTTAGACTGTGGTCATTTTCTGTTAACTCTTATCTGATCCAACTAGAAAGCAAAGCAAAACAAAAACCTGACTGCCTTCTACAGACAAGCCAATGTGAAGGTATTCAGCTCACACAGGTTGCAAAAGACAGAGAAACACCCAAGTTACCTCAGGGGATGGACATTCCCTAAGGATACACAGGTGAGTAAGGAAAATAGGAAATGGCTTCTGTAGGTCTCAAGAACTAGAGCACCATTCAGGATGCGATGGCCACACACAGTGTGGCCTGGCAGAGAGGAGGAAACTGCTCTCCATCATCAAGAATACAGCTCTAGGCCGGGTGTGGTTGCTCACGCCTGTAATTCCAGTACTTTGGGAGGCTGAGGAGGGTGGATCACCTGAGGTCAGGAGTTCGGGACTAGCCTGGTCAAAATGGTGAAACCTCGTCTCTACTAAAAATAAAAATAAAAAATTATCCGGGCGTAGTGGCGCATGCCTATAGACCCAGCTACTGAGGAGGCTGAGGCAGGAGAATTGCTTGAACCCAGGAGGCGGAGGTTGCAGTGAGCTGAGGTTGTGCCATTGCACTTCAGCCTGGGTGACAAGAGCAAAACTCTGCCTCAAAAATAAAGATAAAAATAAAAGCCGGGCGCTGTGGCTAACACCTGTAATCCTAGCACTTTGGGAGGCCGGGGTGGACAGATCACGAGGTCAAGAGATCGAGACTATCCTGGCCAACATGGTGAAACCCTGTCTCTACTAAAAATACAAAAATTAGCTGGGCATGGCAGCGCGTGCCTGTAGTCCCAGCTACTCAGGAGGCTGATGCAGGAGAATCGCTTGAACCCGGGAGGCGGAGGTTGCAGTAAGCCGAGATCATGCCACTGCACTCTAGCCTGGCAACAGAGCAAGACTCCATCTCAAAACAAAATAATAATAATAATAAATTAAAAAAGAAAATACAGAAATTTGGCTGGGTGCAGTGGCTCATGCCTGTAATCCCTGCACTTTGGGAGGCCGAGGTGGGCGGATCACTTGAGGTCAGGAGTTCGAGACCAGCCTGGTCAACATGGTGAAACCCTGTCTGTATTAAAAATATAAAAAAAATTAGCCAGGCCTGGTGGCAGGTGCCTGTAATCCCAGCTACTCAGGAGGCTGAGGCAGGAGAATTGCTTGAACCTGGAAGGTGGAGGTTGCAGTGAGCTGAGATCACGCCACTGCACTCCAGCCTGGGCAACAGAGCAAGATTCTATCTCAAAATAAATAAATAAATAAATAAATAAAAGAATACAGCTCTTCTAGTTCCCAGCCCCTCTGGGGTTCTTGTGTGAAAGAAAACATTTTAATGTGTCCTTTGATTACATGAAATTCAGGCAGAGTCTGATCAAAGAGATGCCCCATTGCTGAGCACAGTGAAGAGAAAGGATGTCTTCCTTGAGCAGAGAGGTGGTGAGAAATTTCCAGAATAGGGCACCTTGCATGGAGATTATTTTAGGAATGTCATCTCTGGTATGGAATTCTACTTGTCCCCTGTAGAATTCTGGGCTGGCCTACCCATGGTTCAAGCTTCCACTGAAGCTGTGTTGACCCCTAGTCCAGTGTCAGCTGGTAAAGGAAGGGAAGGGCTGAAGGAGCTGGACCCCCACAGGGAGGTGTTGAAAGAAAGGAGAAGCAAGAGGTGATATTGACCAGGGAAATGGCGCCACTTCCTGAGCCAGGGCCCTGGACTTCCTGTAGTTGTAGAAAAGTGCAGGCCTGAGTTATTTAACTATCAAAGAAAAAGTGATGCTCTGTGTGTGGGAAAAACAACACTCAATGTGCTTTTTCCTACTCTCTCACTCACAACAATCATTAACACAGAAGGCTTCTGTGACCAAATGTGAGGAGTTTTGTCTCTACACATCAAGCAAGCAATTAAATCTGCAGCAGACACCAGTTGGGTGTCTTCTAATCCAATTCTGACACTGTCTACCTAGAGGTAGCATCAGATCCCACAGGTTGAGGGCTCAGTCCCCAAGACTGCCCCCCGACCCACACTGGTCACAGGTTTGGCCTTGGGAACTTCTGACCCACCAGCTTCAAGTTGGGATTCCCACAACCCCCTCTTTGGGTTCAGTTAAATGAACACTTGCATTTACTGGTTTATTACAAAGGCTAGAGATGAAGAGATGCACAGGGAGAAGGGGCACAGAGCTTCCGAGTCCTCCCTGTGTGCAACACCTTCCAGGAACCTCCATGTGTTCAGCTCTCCAGAAGCTCTCTGAACCCCGTCCTCTTGGGCATTTATGGAGACTTCACTGGACAGGCATGACTGAAGCATGGACAACCATGTCAAAATGTGATTGAACAAAAAGGATATGATCTAATACTAACAGACAGACTGGGGAAACCCAGTGAGTCCTGTCCAGATTCTTCTTGGCCTCTCTGTGCAGCCTTTCTTCCTCCAGGATATGGGGCATCCTTTCTGAAATGGGAGTCTTATGACCTATAGTCAGACAAGGTAGGTCAAAGACAGAAAGATGGGCAAAGATTCCTGCCTTGGAGAGATAAAGGAGCAGATGAAATGAGGGCAGGAGAAGGTCAGAGAGATTCCGTTTATTGAGACCTGCTTCTGAGGCTTAAAGCACCCAACATTACAACAACAGATGGTAACAAGGGCAATGGGAATTATAAGCCAGGAACCATGGACTAAAACCTATATATAAATTATAATAGCACAGAATCCCAAAGGCTGGAAAACTTGTGGGCTTCCCTTTCACCATATAGAGCCACTGTTCTCTCCACAGTGCCTGCATATTCCTGTCTCTTTCTGTTGAATGACTTTTTTTTTGACACAGTCTCACTCTGTTGCCCAGGCTGGAGTGCAGTGGTGTGATCTTGGTTCACTGCAACCTCCACCTCTTGGGTTCAAGAGATTCTCCTGCCTCAATCTCCCAAGTAGCTGGGATTATAAGCTCCTGCCACCACGCCCGTCTAATTTTTTGTATTTTTGTAGAGACAGGGTTTCACCATGTTGGCCAGCCTGGTTTTGAACTCCTGACCTCAAGCGATTCACTCACCTTGGCCTCCCAAAGTGTTGGGATTACAGGCGTGAGCCACTGTGCCGAGCCTGTAGAATGACTTTAAATCTCCACCCTCTACCTATAGCAGCCCACTTCCTCCTCTCTCTTCAAATCTCCTTTTTCTCACTTTCTTCTCCATCTTCCTTGCCCTTTTAGAAGCAGAAAAGGGCATACCTTTTCTGTGATACCTTTTCTCTCCATCATGAAAGTCTCGGCCACGGTCCTCTAACAAAAGACAGGTTAATGAGAGAAAAACATTTATTGAATCCAAGTTTTATGTGTCACGGTGGCCTTTAGAATGAAGACCCACAGGGGCCGGATGTGGCGGCTCATGCCTGTAATCCCAGCAGTTTGGGAGGCCGAGGTGGGCAGATCACTTGAGGTCAGGAGTTCAAGACCAGCCTGTCCAATATGGTAAGATCCTGTCTCTACTAAAAAAAAAAAAAATTTAGCTGGGTGTGGTGGCATGCACCTGTAGTCCCAGCTACTCATGAGGCTGAGGCAGGAGAATTGCTTGAACACAGGAGGCAGAGGTTGCAGTGAGCTGAGATCACACTGCCACACTGCAGCCTGGGCGACAGAGCAAGACTCCGTCTCAAAAAAAAAAAAAAAAAAAAAGGAAAAAGAAAAGAATTAAGACCCACAGGGAAAATTCTCATTTTTTATGCTTAGAGTTGATGAAGAATGGATGGTCATGTGGAAGCATTATGGGACAGAAAGGGTATGATCTCCTGGAGGAATCCAGCAATGCCTGTCTGTCCGGATTCTTCTCGGCCTCTATGTTGTAGCATTTCTGCCAGCCAGGTATGGGACTGGACCCCTCTGGAATGAGGATCTTATTGTGTCCAGAAATGGTGGGTTCTTGGTTTCACTGACTTCAAGAACGAAGCCACAGACCCTCGCGGTGAGTGTTATAGCCCTTAAGGTGGCGCTTCTGGAGTCTGTCCTTTCTGATGTTCAGATGTGTTCGGAGTTTCTTCCTTCTGGTAGGTTCATGGTCTTGCTGGCTCAGGAGTGAAGCTGCAGATCTTCGCAGTAAGTGTTACAACTTATAAAAGCAGCATGGACCCAAAAAAGTGAACAGCAGCAAGACTTATTGCAAAGAGCAAAAGAACAAACCTTCCACAGTCTGGAAAGGGACCCAAGCGGGTTGCCAATGCTGGTTCGGGCAGCCTGCTTTTATTCTCTTATCTGGCCCCACCCACATCCTGCTGATTGGTAGAGCCGAGTGGCCTGTTTTGTCAGGGTGCTGATTGGTGCGTTTACAATCCTTGCGCTAGATACAAAGGTTCTCCACGTCCCCATCAGATTAGTTAGATACAGAGTTTGGACACACAGGTTCTCCAAGGCTCCACCAGAGCAACTAGATACAGAGTGTGGACTGGTGCACTCACAAGCCTTGAGCTAAACACAGGGTGCTGATTGGTGTATTTACAATCCCTGAGCTAGACATAAAGACTCTCCACATCCTCACCAGACTCAGGAGCCCAGCTGGCTTCACCTAGTGGACCCCACACTGGGGCTGCAGGTGGAGCTGCCTGCCAGTCCTGTGCCGTGTGCTTGCACTCCTCAGCCCTTGGGTGGTCGATGGGACTGGGCGTCGTGGAGCAGGGGGTGGTGCTCGTCGGGGAGGCTCGGGCCGCACAGGAGCCCTTTGAGTGGGTGGGAGGCTCAGGCATGGCGGGCTGCAGGTCCCGAGCCCTGCCCCGCGGGAAGGCAGCTAAGGCTCGGTGAGAAATCGAGCGCACCGCCGGTGGGCTGGCACTGCTGGGCGACCCAGTACACCCTCTGCAGCCACTGGCCCGGGTGCTAAGTCCCTCATTGCCCGGGGCCGGCAGGGCTGGCCGGCTGCTCTGAGTGCGGGGCCCTCCAAGCCCACGCCCACCCGGAACTCCCGCTGGCGCCCAAGCGCCGCTCGCAGCCCCGGTTCCCGCTCGCACCTCTCCCTCCACACCTCCCTGCAAGCTGAGGGAGTGGGCTCCAGCCTTGGCCAGCCCAGAAAGGGGTTCCCACAGTGCAGTGGTGGGCTGAAGGGCTCGTCAAATGCCGCCAAAGTGGGAGCCCAGGTAGAGGAGGTGGCAAGAGCAAGCGAGGGCTCTGAGGACTGCCAGCACGCTGTCACCTCTCATTATGGCCCACCATTAGACAAGCGTAGGTCAGACTATTTATTTATGGTCATGTCTTAGGAAGCAGTAGAAGAAATAATTCTAGTTTTTATGGCTGGCTTTGGGGAACAGGGGTTCTGGTTTCTATGACCTTAGGGAGGACTAATTCTGGCTTCTGTGGCTCACTTCAGGAGAGAATGAGGGGCGAGAGACAGGAGGGGCAGAAGGTCAGAGGGATCTTGGTTTCGAGGCTGCTTCTGAGTCTTCCCAATGTCCTTTAGTTCAAAGTATTCAGCATGCCAAAGTGCCACACTTTGGGGTATTGTTTTCTGAGCCCCAGTGTTTTCTTCCTCTCTTCTTCATTCTTTCTCAATCTCTTCTTCTTTTTTTAATTGAGATGGAGTCTCACTCTATCACCCAGGCTGGAGTGCAGTGGCGTAATCTCCGCTCACTGCAACCTCCGCCGCCGTCCGGGTTCAAGTGATTCTCGTGCCTCAGCCTCCCAAGTAGCTGGGACTACAGGCACATGCCACCATGCCTGGCTTTTTTTTTCTATTTTTAGTAGAGATGGGGTTTTGCCATGTTGGCCAGGCTGGTCTCGAATTCCTGACCCCAGGTGATCCGCCTGCCTTGGCCTCACGCCTGCTGGGATTATAGGCGTGAGCCACTGCATCCGGCCCCCAATCTCTTCTCAATCGCATTCATCAATATTTTTTTTTCTTCTTTTTTCATCCCATCACCTTGGGTCTCTCCTTGTCCGTCTCCCAGTCTTTCTTACTGTCAGCTAGCCCCTTGCTTTTCCCCTTCCTTTCTTTGCAACAGCTTCCTATCTCATTTGTTCAGCATAATAGAAGTGCAAACCGATGGCCTACTGCCTGAGTATCTGCTCTGCAGAAACATATAATTTGCTAAGAGAACGTTTATCCAAAATATTGTCTTCAGGAACTGGGAGCAGTGGCTCATGCGTGTAACTCCAGCACTTTGGGAGGCCGAGTTGGGAGGATTGCTTGAGCCCAGGAGTTTGGGACCAGCCTGGGCAACACAGTAGGACCCCGTCTTTATAAAAAATACAAAAATTAGCCAGGCATGATGCTACACACCTGTAGTCTGTAGTCAGCTTCTGGGGAGGCTGAGCTGGGAGGACTGCTTGAGCCCAGGAGGTCAAGGCTGTAGAAAACTTTGATTGTGCTACTGCACTCCAGCTTGGGTGACAGAGCAAGACCCTGGCTCCAAAAAAAAAGAAGAAAAAAAGTCTTCAATCTCAACAATTAAGAATTGGAGATTTCACATAAAAATCCAGATTTTATCCTGGGCAACATGGGCAACACAGTGAGACCCTGTCTTTACAAAAAATAATAAAAATCAGCTGGGTGTGGTGGTTCACACCTACAATTTAATTTGAGAGGCTGAGGAGGGAGGATTGTTTCAGCCCAGGAGTTCCAGGCTGCAGTGTTTTATGATAGTGCCATTGCACTCCAGACTGGGGTGAGACCCGGTCTCTAAACAGAAATCCCAGTTTTACAGCTTAAAAAAAAATCAGGCTATCTGGCATCATGCGACCTACACCGATTGCTAGTAACAGTTGATGGAGCTGGGCGGTGGCTGCCCCACTCTGTTCACCAGTGCCCACTCCATGCCTCCTGGCCTCCTTAACACTGAGGGAAAGTGCCAATTGGCATTTATTATTTAGCTTGAGTAGTTATTTTTTCCTCTAGCAGACAAATTTTAGTTTCTACCTATATCTTTACTGAAAAAAGGGAAAACAGAGAACAAGAGCCAGGTCTTTCTTATCCCAAGCCTGCTACCTCATTTGCATTTTCTGCTTTGCCCCTGCAGGTGGCTGAATTTTCAACCTTCGCTATAGACAAAGGCTCAGGTCTCCCTTCCCAATTTCTCACCGTGCCTCACTTCTCTTTTACTCTCTCCATATATCCTCGTTTCTCTTTTTGTTCATATAAGGTTAATATTTAGGCCGGGCACAGTGGCTCACGCCTGTAATCCCAGCACTTTGGGAGGCCAAAGCGGGTGGATCACTTGAGGTCAGGAGTTCGAGACCAGCCTGGCCAACATGGTGAAACACCATCTCTACTAAAAATACAAAAATATTAGCCAGGCATGGTGGTGCATGCCTGTAATCCTAGCTACTTGGGAGGCTGAGGCAGCAGAATCACTTGAACCCGGGAGACAGGAGTTGCAGTGAGCCGAGATGGCATCACTGCACTCCAGCCTGGGTGACGGAGTGAGACTCCATCTCAAAAAAAAAAAAAAGTTAATATTTAATGCATTGATGTAAAGCTAACTTCAGGACCACTTTTGAAACTTTTTTTCAGACTGTTTTGAAATCTTCAATCTTCAGAAAAAGTCTGTGAAAAATCATTTTATTTTCGCACTAGTGTGTGTGTTTGTGTGTGTGTGCACGCACATAGATGAGAGTAGTTACTCTGTGAAGGATCTGTTACTTATCTTGCTATTTTTCTTGTTTGACTAACAGCCTATTTATATGGATAAGATCTGAGAATCGGTTACTAGGCCGTATGAAAGAGGAGTCTTCTTTAGGATCATTATCAGTACAGGCCTGGCATTCACCTAACCAGTAATAGAAACCTGAAAAACAGTGGCATAAAAAATTGAGAGTTTAATTTTTCTGCATTTAGAATAAATCTAGAGGTGAGAGCAGGGATCCTAATAGCATAGCAATATTGGCAAGAACCTAGTGTAATTAACCATGTTTTCTAGTTTCTATATTCTGATACTTCCACATCGTGGGGTCTTGCTGACCCTGGAGTGACTGCCTCTCCCAGGTTGAGCTAATTCCTAGAAGCAAAGAACTCGCCTGTCATATGTAGATCAACCAAGCTAGACCCCATCCTCCCAACCACCACCTTCATCAGGCTCTGCCACTCCTAGCTGCAATTCCCCTAGTCAGCCCAGGACCAGTACTAGAGAGCTAGGGACAGCCCCTATGCCCCAGAGGCTGCTGAAATTATTCAAACTAGCCGAGCCTGAACTTGCTTACCTGCCTGCACACTCCTGCCTGTGAAACCACAATAAAGGCTCTTGCCCACATTTTCCTTTCACTCCCACTGCCTCCTGACTGACTCAGGTGCTTCCCCATGGGGCACCCCTGCACGCCATGCCATGCCTCATGCATGTTTCTAGGGAACTGTGAGTAAATGTCTTCCTCCATGAAAGTGATTCCTGTGTCTGCACGTCTTGCCACACCTGATTAAAACAAACCCTGGCTACCTTTACAACCCCCAGGTCCATCCAGCCTTCTGAGCCACCACCCTGACTTGATCGAGCATCAGGAATCTCATTTCTGGGCGGGGTGCAGTGGCTCACGCCTATAATCCCTACACTTTGGGAAGCCAAGGCTGGCAGATCACTTGAGGTCAGGAGTTTGAGACTAGCCCGGCCAACATAGTGAAATCCTGTCTCTACTAAAAAAAAAAAAAAAAAAAAAAATAGCTGGGTGTAGTGGCATATTCCTGTAACTCCAGCTACTTGGGAGGCTGAGGCACGAAAATCACTTGAACCTGGAGGTGGAGGCTGCAGTGAGCCGAGAATGTGCCCCTGCACTCCAGCCTGGGTGACAGAGTGAGACTCTGTCTCAAAACAAACAAACAAACAAACAAAAATAAAAAGAATCTCATTTCTGGGTGGTGTGGTGGCTCACACCTATAATCCCAGCCCCTTGTGAGGTTAGGATAGGAAGATCACTTGAGGCCAGGAGCTTGAGACCAGCCTGGGGAATGTAGCAAGACTCCGTCTCTACAAAAATAAAAAATAAAAAAAAAATTAGCCAGATGTAGTGGTATACACCTGTAGTCCCAGCTACTCAGGAGGCTGTGGCAGGAGGATCACTTGAGCCCAGGTGTTTGAGGTTACAGTGAGCTATGATCGCACCACTGCACTCTAGTGTGGGCAACAGAAGGAGATGGAGTGAGAGTGTCCCTAAAGATAATAAGAATCTCATTTCTTAATTTATTTTCCTTAACACTTACCATATTCTGAAATACTATATATTTGTTTGCTTATAATTTGTTTCCTCTCACTAGACTGTAAGCTCCTTGAAGCCAGAGATTTTTATCTGTTTTCTTTATGGTAAGTTCCTAGAACTGAAAACAGGGCCTGGCATGTATTTACTGAAAAAGTGATTAAGTGCTCTCCAGTTGATGGCTGGAGTTCAGACCATCATGGTTTTGTTTCAGGCTGGAGGAAGTGGGAGAGTAAAAGGCAAAGGGGGCCCATGCCAGTTGAGTCAGTCCTAGAAAAGAACTTTTCTGAAAGTCCCCTTTACATGACTTAGGCTAACATCTCATTGGCCAGCCCTATGCCACACCACCACTCCTACCTGCATGGCAGTTTGAGGCAAAAAAAAATTTAAAGCATAGAACTTTGCTAAACAAAATAAAATTGGGGTTCTGCTAGAAGAAGGAAGGGACAATGAACACTGGGTCTCTGCAAGGGGGCTGTTGGCTGCACTCCAAATGCCCGCAGCATTATACACGAATCATACATGGAGCTCTTTTTTTTTTTTTTTTTGAGGTGGAGTCTTACTCTGTTGCCCAAGTTGGAGTGCAGTGGTGTGATCTCGGCTCACTGCAAGCTCCACCTCCTGGATTCACACCATTCTCCTGCCTCAGCCTCCCGAGTAGCTGGGACTACAGGCGCCCACCACCCCCGGCTAATTTTTGTATTTTTAGTAGAGACGGGGTTTCACCATGTTAGCTAGGATGGTCTCGATCTCATGACCTTGTGATCCGCCCGCCTCGGCCTCCCAAAGTGCTGGGACCGCAGGCGTGAGCCACCGCGCCCAGCCCTACATGGAGCTCTTTACCCTGGCCTGTGCTTTCCTCTCTATTTACTTTTTTTTTTTTTTTCTTTCCTGAGAGGGAGTCTTGCTCTGTCGCCCAGGCTGGAGTGCAGTGGTGTGATCTTGGCTCACTGCAACCCCTGTCTCCTGGGTTCAAGCGATTCTCCTGCCTCAGCCTCCCATGTAGCTGGGATTGCAGGTGCCTGCCACCACACCCAGCTAATTTTTGTATTTTTAGTAGAGAACAGGGTTTCATCATGTTGGCCAGGCTGGTCTCAAACTCTCTACCTCAAGTGATCTGCTCGTCTTGGCCTCCCAAAGTGCTAGAATTACAGGCGTGAAGCCACCACGCCCGGTTTCCTCTCTATTTACTCTTGTGAGTAACATCAGCTTCTTTGAACTTCACCAAACTTAATTCCTTAATTCCATACTAACTGTTTATTTGTTGAGTTTCCAAGATGCAATTGCATATAATTCCAGGAACTGTGAGTAGTAAGAACCCCCTTATCAGCTGTCCTATTTTTAGATATCATGATTCCTACTGAAACATTCAGTGGCTTAAGCTCTGCCCAGCATGTTCTTGACCCTGTGTGCCTGTGGGGTGTGTGTGTGTGGTGTGTGTGTGTGTGTGTATGTGCACACAGTCATGTGCACTCTCACATCACATAAGGGGAAGATAAAGGGAGACTCTCCGTGGCTCTTCCTCCTTTTTTCCAAGGCTGATGTTGGCCCTTTCTGAAAATGCTTTAATGTGTAGAAAGCAGCCCACAGATAGGCACTCCCTGTGATAAAGCAGTCACAGCCAGAGCAGGGTCCCTCCCACCTCAGCCTCCTAAGTAGCTGAGACTACAGGTGTACCACCACGCTTAGGTAAGTTTAAAAAAAAAAGTTTTGTAGAGATGGGGGTCTTACTATGTTGCCCAGGCCGATCTCAAACTCCTGGCCTCAAGTGATCCTCCCACCTTGGCCTCTCAAAGTGCTGGGATTACAGATACGAGCCACCACACCTAGCTGAGAATTTCTTTATGGCCATCTTCTGGACAAAAAGTCAAGGAGAGTTTAGAGTAATAATTCCAGTTTTTATGGCTTTTGCTTCGGGGAAAAAGGGTTCTAGTTTCTAGGACCTACCGTGGGGAAGAGGATTCTGGTTTCTATGACTCACTTCAGGGGAGAACGAGGGACGAGAGAGACAGGAGGGCAGGAGCAGGTCAGAGGGACCTTGGATCTGAGGCTGCTTCTGAGGCCTTCCAATGTCCTTTAGTTAAGTACTCATCGCCATACTTTGGGGTATTGTGTTCTGAACCCCAACAGAAACAACTCACTCTCTCGGCATCAGCCTTGTGCCTATACCCACAGGAGCAGGAGCACAAGCCATTGCAGGTGCGGGCTCCTCAGATGGAGCAACTCCAATGTCACCTGCTCCTCACCTGTACCCAGTGGACTTTTTTGGCAGCCTCCCCCATCTTCTCGTGTGGCTCCATATCTTTATATCTTCTGTGGCAGACGTAGCCTGCTGCCTCCCCAAACTCTATCGTCCTCTTCTCCTTCAACCATGGAAACTTGATTTTGTCTGTGGCATCCATGTGCCTCTTTGAAACACTCACCTCCTCAGACTGCCTTGAATCCAGGGGTGGCCACATGACTGGGTAATGAGTCACCGGTAGAAGTCGGCTTGATGGGGCTTTTAGGGAAACAACGGCTTTCCTGTTTTTGTTTTTCTTCTTCTTCTTTTTAAATTTTCTCCTGCTACCCCTCCCCTTGTTTGTTTTTAAGATGGATTTGTTCGGAACACATCTTTTGCTCTTTCCTTCTCCTTTCTGCCTGGAATGTAAATGTGATGTCTGAAGGCAGAGCAACCATCTTGCACATGTGACATAGAAAGGTAGATGTGAAGACATCTAGCAGGAGATTGCATCTCTGGTGATTGGAGCAGCTGTATCAGCTCTGGACTGCCTGCTCAAGTCTTCTTCATAACTGGGAAAAATAAACACCTATGAAGTTAGGCCATTGTATTGAGTTTTTGTTACTCAAGAACCAAACACAATATTTATTGAGATGGCATTTCACTCTTATTGCCCAGGCTTGTGTGTGGTGGCCTGACCTCAGCTCACTACAACCTCTACCCCCCATCCAGCCCTGCTCCAGGTTCAAGCGATTCTCCTGCCTCAGCCTCCTGAGTAGCTGAGATTACAGGCGCCCACCACATCTGGCTAATTTTTTTGTATTTTTAGTGGAGACGGGGTTTCACAATGTTGGCTAGGCTGGTCTTGAACTCCTGACCTCAGGTGATCCACCCTCCTCAGCCTCTCAAAGTGCTGGAATTACAAAGGTGAGCCACGGCACCCGGCCTTTTTTTTTTTTTGAGACAGTCTCGCTCTGTTGCCAGGCTGGGATGCAGTGTGGTGTGATCTTAGCTTGTGTCCGGAATTGGTGGGTTCTTGGTCTCACTGACTTCAAGAATGAAGCCACGGACCCTCACGGTGAGTGTTATAGCTCTTAAGGTGGCATGTCTGGAGTTTGTTCTTTCTGATGTTCAGATGTGTTCGGAGTTTCTTCCTTCTGGTGGGTTTGTGGTCTTACTGGCTTCAGGAATGAAGCTGCAGACCTTTGCAGTGAGTGTTACAGCTCACAAAAGCAATGTAGACTCAAAGACTGAGCAGTAGCAAGATTTATTGCAAAGAGCAAAAGAACAAAGCTTACACACTGTGGAAGGGGACCGGAGCAAGTTGCCACTGTTGGCTGGGGCAGCCTGCTTTTATTCTCTTATCTGGCCACACCCACATCCTGCTGATTGGTAGAGCCGAGTGGCCTGTTTTGACAGGGTGCTGATTGGTGCGTTTACAATCCCTGAGCTACATACAAAGGTTCTCCACGTCCCCATCAGATTAGTTAGATACAGAGTATGGACACACGGGTTCTCCAAGGCCCCACCAGAGCAGCTAGATACAGAGTGTCGATTGGTGCACTCACAAACCCTGAGCTAGACACAGGGTGCTGATTGGCGTGTTTACAAACCTTGAGTTAGATACAGAGTGCCGATTGGTGTATTTACAATCCCTGAGCTAAATGTAAAGGTTCTCCAAGGCCCCACCAGAGCAGCTAGATACAGAGTGTCGATTGGTGCACTCACAAACCCTGAGCTAGACACAGGGTGCTGATTGGCGTGTTTACAAACCTTGAGTTAGATACAGAGTGCCGATTGGTGTATTTACAATCCCTGAGCTAGACATAAAGGTTCTCCAAGGGCCCACTAGAGCAGCTAGGTAGAGTGTCAATTGGGGCACTCACAAACCCTGAGCTAGACACAGGGTGCTGATTGGTGTGTTTACAAACCTTGAGCTAGATACAGAGTGCCGATTGGTGTATTTACAATCCCTGAGCTAGACATAAAGACTCTCCACGTCCCCACCAGACTCAGGAGCCCAGCTGGCTTCACCCAGTGGATCCAGCACCGGGGCTGCAGGTGGAGCTGCCTGCCAGTCCTGGGCCATGCGCTCACACTCCTTAGCCCTTGGGCGGTCGATGGGACTGGGGGCCCTGGAGCAGGGGGCGGCGCTCGTCGGGGAGGCTTGGGCCGCACAGGAGCCCACGGAGGGGGTGGGAGGCTCAGGCATGGCGGGCTGCAGGTCCCGAGCCCTGCCCCGTGCGAAGGCAGCTAAGGCCTGGCGAGAAATCGAGCGCACCGCCGGTGGGCCGGCACTGCTGGGGGACCTAGTACACCCTCCGCAGCCGCTGGCCCGGGTGCTAAGCCCCTCACTGCCTGGGGCTGGCAGGGCCGGCCGGCTGCTCCGAGTGCGGGGCCCGCCAAGCCCACGCCCACCCGGAACTCCAGCTGGCCCGCAAGCACTGCACGCAGCCCCGGTTCCGCTCGCGCCTCTCCCTCCACACCTCCCTGCAAGCTGAGGGAGCCGGCTCTGGCCTTGGCCAGCCCAGAAAGGGGCTCCCATAGTGCAGCGGTGGGCTGAAGGGCTCCTCAAATGCCGCCAAAGTGGGAGCCCAGGCAGAGGAGGCGCCCAGAGCGAGTGAGAGCTGTGAGGACTGCTAGCAGGCTGTCACCTCTCAAGCTCACTGCAACCTCTGCCTCCCAGGTTCAAGTGATTCTCCTGCCTCAGCCTCCTGAGTAGGTAGGATTACAGGCGTGTGCCACCACACCCGGCTAATTTTTGTACTTTTAGTGGAGACAGGGTTTCACCATGTTCGCCAGGCTGGTCTCAAACTCCTGACTTCAGGTGATTCACCCACCTTGGCCTCCCAAAATGCTGGGATTACAGGCATCAGCCACTGCTCCTGGCCTCTGTGTAGTTTTGTTTGGAGCTGCAGTAAATAGTGTCTAATCTTTTCCTTCCTTACAGGCTATTTCTCCATATTGCTTCCCAGATACAAAATTCATAAATGTATACAAGCCATACCCATGTTACCCACTCCCTCAGGCCCTGCCAAGGCCTTGAGAAACTAGACTCAGACTGTGTCTCCATGTAGGGGGATTGCACATAGCATCTTTGAACTTCAGTTTCTCTTTCTGTAAAATGGGGAATTTTGACTACTTAGCATGCGTCATGTGTTAAAACCCTAACCTCGTTAGCAATTATAACCACTATCAGTATCCCATACTCTGGTTTTTTTAGGGCTTTCCCAAGGCAAATGGGAAGATTTGCTGCCAAGCTCACTTCGGGAGGTCACCAGGCCCAGAACATTCTTGTCCTCACAAATTTTCACTTCCTTCATTTAAGAACAAGGACTAGAGTGTTCTCACTTAATTACAACTGGGATAGGTGGGAGGGAGTTACCCATGTGGGCAACATTAGGGAAACTTTTTCTTTGAGACAGGGTCTTGCTCTGTTGCCCAGGCTGGAGTACAGTGGTGTGATCATGGCTCACTGCAGCCTCGACTTCCTGGGCTCAAGCAATCCTCCTGTCTTAGCCTCCTAAGTTCTGACAGCCCTTAGGGACTACAGGCGCACACCACCACACCCCATTCATTTTTGCATTTCTTGTGGAGATGCGTTTTTTCCATGTTTCTCAGGCTGGTCTTGAATTCCTGGGCTCAAGAGATCCTTAGGGAAACATTCTACCAAACCAGAAGTGATGGATCAACTCCCAGCAAGCCTTTAGTGGGCATTGTTCTTTTCAGGGAGCTGGATAGAAGAGGGGTCTCGGAGCCACAACACCCGTGCTGCCCATGATGGTAGAAAAGGGAAGTCTAAAAAGAGTTTGGGTCTGAACTGGGGCCTAGGAAAAGTTAATGGGGCAGTGATTTTGGCCTTTTCTACCCACCTCCTTGTAATAATATTATTTTAACAATCTGGCTGGGTATGTGGCTCATACCTATAATCCCAGCACTTTGGGAGGCCAAGGTGAATGGATCACCTGAGGTCAGGAGTTCAAGACCAGACTGGCCAACATGGTGAAACCCTGTCTCTACTAAAAATACAAAAATCATTCGGCCGAGGTGGTGGTTGCCTGTAATCCAAGCTACTCGGGAGGCTGAGGCAGGAGAATCGCTTGAACCTGGGAGGCGGAGGTTGCAGTGAGCTGAGATTGCGCCACTACCCTCCAGCCTGGGTGACAGAGGGAGACTCCTTCTCCAAAGAAAAAACCTAACCGCCCCCCCCAAAAAAAACCAATCAAACAAAAAACCAATCTTACCCCCATGACGTTGCCTCTCTCTAGCCTCCCAGGGTATTTCTGTAGTCTCAATATTTGGCCTTAGCTATAAGAAAATTTCCTTACCATTACTCTTTATTGTGCAATTCTCTGAAGATATTCTTCTGATGGCATTCTTTCCTCTCCATTCCTTGTGTGTCATCATTATTTCTTGCTTATTCCTGTCTTGTGCTTACTTCCTGAAATCTGATCTATCCTTTAGGCCTATCTCAGAAGCCTTTATGAAGCCAGCCTGCACGGAGACACTTTCCTTCTCTGGAACCCATGGCACTTAGCTGCTATGGCTTTTGTGCTCATCAGCAAACTGGAATGCGCTTCCATTAGACTTATCCTTTCACCTTAGATTCCTTAAGGCAGGAACTGTCCTGTACTTAGCCTTGCTCTTGTCATGTTGTATTTACTTGATAATTATTCCTTGAATTTAACTGGAAATTCCGGTTTGGAAGGAGAGGACATATATACACGAAGCATGGTATATTTAAATAAACTGGAGTTAATTTTCCTTCAGAAATACCTCCTATTTAAGCCTTTGCCACACAGGTATAGGCCTGGAAATAAAAGGTGTGGCTAAAAGCTACCTGCTCAGAGAACTCTTTTTTTGTTGTTGTTGTTTTGAGATGGAGTCTCGCTCTGTCGCTAGGCCGGAGTGCAGTGGCGCAATCTTGGCTCACTGCAACCTCCGTCTCCCGGGTTCAAGCGATTCTCCTGCCTCAGCCTCCCGAGTAGCTGGGACTACAGACATGCGCCACCACGCCCGGCTAAATTTTTGTGTTTTAATAGAGACGGGGTTTCACCCTGTTGGCCAGGCTGGTCTCAATCTCCTGACCTCGTGATCCGCCCGCCTCGGCCTCCCAAAGTACTGGGATTACAGGCGTGAGCCACCGTGCCCAGCCCAGATAACTCTTTTCTTCAGATTTTCTTTACAGATTCTTCAAGCTGTAAAATAAATGAATACCATCTCTCATCACCTATACCTAGGAAGTGCTGAGTAACTCTTTCCTGTGGACCCACTGAGTCAGAGGTTCACATCTGGTTGGGCAAGTAGTGGGTGTGATCAGTGATGAATATTCTTTGGTTTCAGCACCAGCATCAGCTATTTATATGTCAGTGATGCAAATCTCCATATGCAGAGTCCTTGATACTGTTCGGAGTGCTTCCATACCCATGCCCAAACTGGACCCAGCGGGGGTGGCTGCCGAGAAAAGAAACTTGACAGAGCAGGTTCAAAGGGTCCCTGGTTTCTTGCACTGGAAGAATTAGGGTGGGAACACAGTGGGAGAAGAGAGGTGGAATGTCACAGTTCTGACAGCCCTTAGCATGGAGATAGCCAGCAGCCAATTAGATATGGGAATCGGAAGCCTAGCAGAGAGGATAGCTGGAGAGTACATTTCAAAGTCACTGCCATATAAACAGGAATTAAAACCCTGATAGTGGGTGGGATCGCCTGGGAGAGTACGGAGGAAGAGGAGGATGGATTCAGAATGGAGTCCCAGTGCTTGGGTAGTGCATGGAGGACAGGACCCCTGAACAGGCCGGCAAAGTGTGGGTAGAGAGGTCAAGGAGAGAGAGGAGAAGTTACTGTAGAAATCGATAACTTCAACAAATGAGAGAGAGGTCAGCTGTAAGGTAAGAACCAAGAAGGGCCCACTGGATTTGGCGTGGAGCAAAGGGATGGAGTGAGTGGAGTAAAAGCGAAGATGGAAGGTGGATTTCAGTGGTGCCAGAGGGGAATGGTAGTAAGGAGAGCGTAGTGGACATGGAGATGTGCTGCTCAGATCTCCCCCAAGGAAGGACTTGTTGCCCAGCTATGGGAGAGCAGTCAGCAGACAGCCTCCAGCCATCAGCTCCTTCAGGGTCCCCTGGCTGCAAAGAGCTGCCTGGTCCCTCTTCCTGGTCACACCCTTTCTCCTGGCAGCTCCATGTGGTGACTAAGCAGGGCTGGATATAAATGTCTGGCTCTTTCAGTTCAACTTGCTTTGCTTTGATAGACAATACTGCCCCAAGCTCTCTGCAGAGTTATGAGAGGTGTGGTTGGGCCTGCAGCTCAGTTTAACTTCTCCCTCTGCCCACTCCTGCTTCCTTGCCCTTATTCACAGGTGTTAATACCTAATTAACATCTTGCATCCCAACTTTATCTCAGTATCTGTTTCCAGAGAACATGGTCTCCAACAGAATCATGGGAACAAGTCTTCTGAAGAGTTTGAGAGCAGGAGTCGAGGGACGGGAAGGAGGTGTTAAAAAATTAGTAGGGAATGGTGACACGCCTATAGTCCTAGCTATTGGGAGGCTAAGGTGAAAGGATCACTTGAGCTTAGGGGTGACTATACTCAGCTCTTCTCGGGGCTCACGAAACACTTTACAAAACATCTTTCTGTATCTCATTTGAGGGTTTTTGCCTACAGTCATTGCCAAGGCCACTTATCTGTAGTTTTCTTTTCTTTTTTATTTTTGAGACAGAGTCTCGCTTTGTCACCCAGGCTGGAGTACAGTGGCCTGATCTTGGCTCACTGCAAGCCTTGACTTCCTGGGCTCAAGTGATCCTCCTGCCTCAGTCCCCCAAGTAGCTGGGACTACAGGTGTGCACCACCACACCTGGCTAATTTTTTTTTTTTTCTTGAGATGGAGTTTTTGCTCTTGTTGCCCAGGCTGGAGTGTGATGGCACGATCTCGGCTCACTGCAGACTCCACCATCCAGGTTCAAGCAATTCTCCTGCCTCAGCCTCCCGAGTAGCTGGGATTACAGGCATGCGCCACCACACCTGGCTAATTTTGTATTTTTAGTAGAGACAGGGTTTCTCCATGTTGGTCAGGCTGGTCTCGAACTGCTGACCTCAGGTGATATGCCTGCCGCGGCCTCCCAAAGTGTTGGGATTACAGGCGTGAGCCACCGTGCCCAGCTAATTTTTGTATTTTTTGTAGAGATGGGGTTTTGCCCAGGCTCATCTCAAACTCCTGAACTCAAGTAATCCACCTGCCTCAGCCTCCCAAAGTGCTAGGATTACAGGCGTGAGCCCCCACACCTGGCCTGATCTGTGCTTTTCAACATTCATCTTTTTTTCCATCTTTGGGAATCAGAGCCACACAATCTCCAACTTCTAATACCTTTCTGCCTCTTTGTGATTTCTCAGAGATCGTTGATAGTGACTTGGAGATACTCTCAGTTAATTTTTATTTTGGTACTTAGGAATGTAATCCATTCAGACCAGGAGGTTTGAACACATTTGGAGCAGCTACTCTTGCTGTTATTATTATTTTTTTCAGGTGTTATGGTGATTCCCACTTAGCAGTGGCCGTTCTGCTGTTTCCTAGTCAAATTCCATGCTGCTTACTGATAAGCTGGGGGCACTGGCTTCTGCTCTTGCTCTTTCTTCTGGAAACATTATTCTGTTCCTTTGGACATGGGCAAGGGTCCTGTCCCTAACTTGTCCTTCTTTTTCTTTTGATCTTAACCAGTTTCACTTGTACCAAGACCAAACTTTCTTACCTTTCCATGCAGGGAAACAGGCACCATCAAGATCAATGCCCTGGTACTCCTTATGTAGTGAGTGATAGATGCTCACGGAAAATGGGGAGAAAACTAAGGGGTGAAAGGGAATAACTCTAAAAAGGACACGTTCACACTTTCTGACAGCATAGTTGCATGTTTTCAATTTATTTTGGCCACCAGATGGCATAACTGGGCTCATTAAGATAAACAAAGAGAATGGCTACTACTCTGAAAAAACAAAAAAAAAAACTCTAGATAATTAATGGTGAAAATGCCCCTGAGAAAGCTCATTTCTAATTCTTACTCCTAGCTGGCTTTTTATACACAGGCAGGGGAGACCCATCTTTGGAATTTTAAGGTTCAAAAAGGAATTTGTCTGTACCTGATGGCCAGAAAACCACACTGAAATCGTCAACTGGCATTTAGAATTGTCTGTTCTAAGAGTTAGAAATGAGCGTGTCTCTACCTGCTTCTAGCACACACCTTCCTTTGAGGTAAACTCCTTACTGTTGAGCCCTTGAATCTCGGAGTGGATGAAGAGGGTGATGAGGGATTGTAGCTAATATTAGCATTGTTGAGCTAAAATACCATCATATTTTGTCAGGAGAAGTGCTGACTGTCCTGTGGAATCTGAGGATGAGTGGCATTGGTCCCTAAGGATTAGCTTGTCCCTTTCGGTTACTTTTGAATATGATTTGGAACTTGTGGGGTTTGGGTTATGACAAGAAGGGAACTGAGAAAGTAAAAACATTCATTGCTTGTTTTGTGCTTCTACATATTTTTGACTCTGGGAGATTTTAAAGGTCTATTTCTAATATTTGTTCTAGGTGCATAGATTTGTTTATTCAACAAGCATTCCAGGCACCATATAGGGGCTGGGAAGAAAGAGTAAATAAGGCAGAGTTCCAACTTTCAAAGAGCTTTCTAATCTTGGTTTTTAGTCCCACAGGGGCAAGATGGGAATGCCATGAGAGGCTCTTTGATTGTGGCCCAAGGGAACACTCAGTGCCTAGATGTGTGAAGTGGGATGCAGCTCCTGGTGAAGGCAGAAGTCCTTTAAAAGTTTATTGACTGCAAAGAATAAACCAAAATGGGCCGGGTGCAGTGGTTCACGCCTGTAATCACAGCACTTTGAGAGGCCAAGGCAGGCGGTTCATGAGGTCAGGAGTTCAAGACCAGCCTGGTCAACATGGTGAAACCCCGTCTCTACTAAAAATACAAAAATTAGCTGGGCATGGTGGCGGGTGCCTGTAATCCCAGCTACTTGGGAGGCTGAGGCAGGAGAATCGCTTGAACTCGGGAGGCAGAGGTTGCAGCGAGCCGAGATGGCACCACTGCACTCCAGCCTGAGTGACAGAGTAAGACTCCATCTCAAAAAAAAAAAAGAATAAACCAAAATGACAAAGCTTCTTGATAACATCCCAGCCCATTTCTTCTTCTTCTTCTTTCACTTCTCCTTCTCCTTCTTCTTCTTCTTCCTCTTCCCCTTCTTCTTCTTCTCCTCCTTCTCCTTCTTTTTTTTTGGAGATGGAGTCTTGCTCTCTTGCCCAGGCTGGAGTGCAGTGGTGTGAGCCACCCCGCCCAGCCATCCCAGCCCATTTCTTATACAAGAAACATTGAGGGTTTACTAAAGAAAGAAAGAGACAGTAGAATAATGGGAACCACGTTGCAAAAATGTAAATCGCTCACTGGTGACTGCCAGGATTTTGATGATCTAATAAAATGACTGGCATATGAGGTGGGGAAAATGTACCCTCCTGTGATCAGCCAGAGGTTTCAGCAGCAGTGGAAGATGCATACCAGAAGGCGGTGCAAAGGGGGATTAGAGAGGATCTAAACTGGTATCAGGGATTGGGTGTGGTGGCTCACATCTGTTATCCCAGCACTTTGGGAGGCCAACATGCGAGAATTGCTTGAGCCAGGAGTTTGAGACCAGCCTAGGCAACATAGTGAGACCTCATCTCTGCAAAAGTTTTAAACAATTAGCCAGACATGGTGGTGCATGCCTGTAGTCCCAGCTACTCAGGAGGTTGAGGTGGGAGGATCACTCAAGCCCAGGAGACGGAAGCTGCAGTGACCCATAATCACGCCACTGCATACCAGCCTGGGCAGCAGAGCAAGATCCTGTCTCAAAAAAGAAAAAAAAACACAAAAACTGGTGTCGGGAAAAGTAGTTGGGAAGCTATGGAAATTGCTCCAGTGAGAGGTGATGAACATCTGAATTAGTGGCAGGAGTCTCTCTGAACCTATTCAGTTTCAGGGGATTGCTTGATTTAAAAAAAAAAAAAAGACAAATTAGCCGGGCGTGGTGGTGGATGCCTGTAATCCCAACTACTTGGGAGGCTGAGGCAGGAGAATCACTTGAACCCGGGAAGCGGAGGTTGCAGTGAGCCAAGATGGCACCATTGCACTCCAGGCTGGGTGACAGTGCGAGACTCCATCTCGAAAAAAAAAAAAAAAAAAGGCAGTGGTTAAGGGACTGAGTGGGGACAGATGGGAGATGGATTTTAGGGTAGGAAGGGTGGATGTAAGTGTGAAGGAGAGGAAGAATGACTCTGGAGAGAACACCAGCTCCAGTGGCCTGACCCTAAGTCCTGTGTGCTTTCTCGCATATTGTGCTGCCTCGTCATATAACGAAGATTCCACTTTAGTCCAACTCTTCCATTTTACAGTGAAAGGAGAAGATTAAAACCCAGAAAATGGAAACCCTCATTTATGTTAAAGCTGAGAAATCAAGTGTCCCTTCCCTGATCCAATCCTCTTCCGCAGGTTCATGACAGGGTGCACATTAGAACTACCTGCAGAGCCTTCCAAGCGGCACGTGCCTGGCCCATCCCTAGATCCAGTGAACCAGAATCCCTGGGCTGGGACCACTGGCTCATTCCAGACAGTGCACAAGCATCTCTTCCTGGTGCAACCTTCCATAGCACGTTCCGCTTGGATCACTTTCTCTTTCTCTGTTTTATAATTGTCCATTACATACAGCCACTGATAACTGAAAAGGCTCGCAGTGTTTGGATGAGGAACCATATGCAAACAAATACCACAGTTCTTCCTTATAGACCCACTTAACTGATTTGCAAACATCTCACTGAAACCGCAGGGGAGAGGTTTTAGAAGGCTATGCTCCAGTAAGGAAAAATTAATGGAAGTAATTGTTCAGTAAGCAGTTACCAATCTAAGTTTTATAAAATTGATACTCTCTTTATGAGTGTATTTTAGTAAAAATAGGGAATAGCTTTTTTTTTTTTGAGACGGAGTCTCGCTTTGTCACCCAGGCTGGAGTGCAATGGCGCCATCTCGGCTCACTGCAACCTCTGCCTCCCAGGTTCAAGCGATTCTCCTGCCTCAGCCTCCGATTACAGGCGCCCGCCACCATGCCTTGCTAATTTTTGTATTTTATAGTAGAGACGGGGTTTTGCCATGTTGGCCAGGCTGGTCTCGAACTCCTGACCTCAAGTGATCTGCCTGCCTTGGCCTCCCAGAGTGCTGGGATTAGAGGCGTGAGCCACCGTGCCTGGCTGGGAATAGTTTTAAAACATAAAAAACGCAAAAGTTTTAAAAAACATGGGTTTTCTAAAGATTTCAGTATTCCCTATCCCTAACTTTTCATAAAGTCCTGAGTTTCTTAATCACAATGTTTTCATCCAAGGAGGCTTTTAGGAACAGGACCCCAGGGTTAGGGCAGGAATACACTATTGTTATTTTAACAGTCTATCAACTAGAAAGGCAAAAAAAAAATTAGATTTTTTTCAATATTAATGAAGTTGAATTGTTCGTTGATAATTGTTAATTAGTTATGGTGTTTCTGTTATAAATTGTCTGTGTCTGAATTTCTCACACAGTACAATATAAAATACAAATAGCTGTGGGGTATTTTCTAGGTGCTGGTTACTGTTCTAAGAGCTTTAAATGGAGTAATTCAGTTAATCCTGCCTCACGGTACAATAATTAGTCTCGTATGACGGAGGAAATAGAAGCCTGGAGAGGTCAAGTAACTTGCCCAAAGTCATACCCAGAAAGGCTGGATTCAGAGACTGTTGCCAACATTTTCCTTATTTATTTGCATTCCATTTTTTTCTATTAAATATAAAAATTAGCCAGGCGCAGTGGCTCACACCTGTAATCCCAGCACATTGGGAGGCCGAGGAGGGTGGATCACTTGAGGTCAGGAGTTCAAGACCAGCCTGGCCAACATAGTGAAACCCTGTCTCTACTAAAAATACAAAAAATCAGCTGGACATGATGGCCTGTGCCTGTAGTTCCAGGTACTCAGGAACTCGAGAGGCTGAGGCAGGAGAATCGCTTGAATGTGGGAGGTGGAGTTTGCAGTGAGCCAAGATTGTGCCATTGCACTCCAGCCTGGGTGACAGAGCGAGACTTTGTCTCAAAAGAAAAAAAAAAAAATTTAAAAACTTTTTGTAGTTAAATCTATGCATATATTCCTTTCTTTTGTTGGCCTATTGTTTCAGTTAATTTGTTTTTTTACTTTTTTCCCATGTTTTACTTATTACTTTCATATTTCTTGTATGATATTTATCTTAAAATCTAGTTTTATTTTTCTTTAAGAGACTGGGAGTCTTGCTATGTTTCTCAGGCGGGTCTCGAATTTCTGGGCATAAGCGATCTTCCTGCCTCAGCCTCTCAAGTAGCTGGGAATTACGCCACCAACACACCTGGCTTCTTTCAGCTAATTTAGAACATCCTACCCTTTTCAGAGATTAAAAAATATTTAGATTTGCTCAGGATATGTTAGATGAAGTGAGGATTTACATCTACTATATGTATTTTCCCAAATATTAATAATTATTTCTCCTGAACCATTTATTGCATAATATTTTTCTGTTCCATTGTTATATGACAGCACGTTTCTGCCTGGTTGTAATCTCATAGTGGCTTGATTTTTAAGTGAACATTATATGTTTAACTGCCTCCTTGAGGATACTGAAGACTCTTTCCAATGATTATATTCTTTTCACTTCACCTGTCATGCATCAAGTGTTGATGTTGCTGGCTGCCTTTCTCAGTGTTAGTTTTTATGTGTTTTGGAATTTCAGCTTCCAGGTTCATTTCCAGGCTTTCTCTGTCTCCCTTCTCTTGTTCCTCACTCCTCCCTGCCTAGTGGCTGTGCAGTTGCCCTTCCCAGGGGCCAGTGTTCAGGACTAGGTCTTATATGGCAGTCGGGGCTCCTGCCCTGGGATAACCCTGGGAATGACTCACATCCAGCCCCATGGCTGTGGGTGGCTCAGTTAAGCCCAGGTGTGGTGCCGTTTGGTAACCACGGGCCTCCCTAGGCCACAGTCCCAGGCGAAGTTAGTAGCAAGCTATTTCAGTCTTCTTGAAGAGGGTGGAAGTGTGGGCAAGAGGGGAATCTGAGTCCCTAATATTTTCACAGTGACCATGACACTGGTCCCCCACCTCAGTGGGCAATTTAATTCTATCTCACCACTCAGTACTCAACAGGACTTGACTTCCCAGCTGCCTTTAACTGTACCCTGAGTCAGAACCCAACAGGCCACAGCTGTAGCCCTGTTCATCTTTTGCATTTATATTCAGTTTCTGGGAATATCTTTGGGGATATTCTCCCTTTGTGGAGCATTGCTTTTTAATTTTCTCTAATATTATATCTATCATTGCTCTGTATTGAAAGCCCCTGGGCTAGCCTGTTTCACTTGTGTCTATTTTTTAGAAGCATTTACTGTAGCTTTATACTACATATTTGGGGATCACTAACAATTTTTTCCGGTCACACTCTAATCACTTTCTCAAGGCTGGATCAGGTGCGAGACTCTGTAGCAGTAACCTGAAGTTGAGAATTGAGGAAGTAGTGCTGCTATGAGAGGAGACCTGCGGTGGCATCCCTAGGATGGGGTGCTGGTGGGGGGTGGGTGGCAAGGGGGAAAGGGGGTTTCTGCCTAAGGGAGTTTCTGCTCCATGCCAGCACTTCATCAGAGGTCTTGAGCCAGGGTGGAATCCAGCTCCAGGGAGCATATGAGAGCAAACAATGGAAGCTTGACATGATCACTGGATGAACATCTGAAGTTTCATATGTGATGGGATCTCCCCAGAAAACAATAGTGCACATCACAGCCAGGAGGCACCCAGAGCATTGTGTTGCTGTGTTTTTTGAACCCAGTGAGTTAACTGTCCAGTGTTCCACATCATTCTGACCTGGGTCAACAGATGGAGGCAGGGCACACTCTTGGCTGTAGCTCGATCCGCCTCTCCTGCTGCAGCAGGACATTTCTCAGTAGCACAGGCAAGGTGCTCCGGGCAGGGGACTGCATAGTAAGTGGTGCCTCCTTTGCAATATAAGCCAAACAAGGCTTCCTGCTGGAGCGCCTCTTGGCTAATTCAGGGGCATGAGAGGCAGCATCTAACCTTGCCCAGGGGCCCTGGCTCCCCTTTACTATGGGGGGTGGCCTGTGATCAGGCCCAGTGGGACTGAGGAGCAAATGTGGACAGTCTTCCCCGGCACACATCGGCTGACCTGCATGCCCAGACTGTCTCCTGGGGCGCCTGTACAAGTTGGTCCTAGAATCCAATTCTTCCTGGAACTGGGTGTCATTTCAGGACAGAGAATACCGGGAGTCATAAATTGGCCCTGAAGCAAACGAAAGTCTTCCAATCCTGCATGACATAGCAGATTGTTTTGCTTGGGGCTTTGGCTTGGTCTGGGGCGTGCAGTTCCATGGGGGAACCTCTGGCAATCCCACCAGGGGGAGCCCTTTCCCCATCTTGGGGCTGTGGATCTCAGCTTTCCAGAATATTTGTGTGCATGTGAGTGAGCACATCTGACTTAATTTTTATATTCAGTATAGAATCATGACTCAGCTTTCCCTGTTAATGTAGTCAACTTAAGCTACTGCCATGGTTCAGGTTCCATCATGCTTCAAATATAGTTTATGACTGTAGTTACGTAGTGTGGCAGCAACACAGGGCAACTTGGGGCTGGGGAGAAGTGAGCGTGTCTTTCCCTCCCCAAATGCAGTCATTTAGCATCTTCCTCTTTCAGAGTCCTGTATCCCAGCGATGGGGATCAAGATTCAGACTTAAGGACACCCTACCTGGACCTTGGCAAGGAGATTTTTACAGTGGGAATCTGGTCCAGCCTCTCTCTGGCCCCAGGCCTCTACTGTCCACCTTTTACAAATGCCACATGGTAAGGAGTCAACTGAGCTACCTTCCAAGGAGCTGGATTGGTCTCCTGGCTCTGCCTGACCTTCCTCAGCCCCTCCGCAACCCCCACCTGCTCGCTTCTCCTTCACCTCCTCTCCTGTTCACCTGTACCTTCTTTCCTTAGATGTGGCCACACTCTGTTCCCCCAGGCAGCGTCTTCACTGAGTAGTCTTTGAACCATTAACCACCTGCAGCCCTATCCATGTTCTCTAGGGCACCTGCAAGAGGAGGAAGGGGAATTTGCTGATAGCCACAGCTGTGCATCCTACTGGAGGTGCCTTCCGGAGGGCAGCATAGTTAATCTAGACACCCAGCATTCTCAGTCCACTTCCATGGCCTTCTCTTCCCATTGCCTGGGTCTCAAAAGGCCCAGGACAATCTCATGAGGTGGACCGAGCAGTATTTGGGGAGGGAGGATAGAAAAGAGACTGGGATATCTTTAATTAATAGATACTATTAAAACCTCCTCCCCAGCAGCAGTAGTAGGGATCGTTAGTGGCAGCAAATCCATAGGGGTCTGCAGCAACCTCAATTCTTGCCTCTTTGGTCACTTACTGGGATCTTATTGGGAAACTGCTGATCACCAGTTTCAGATGTTTCTATTGGGAGACTGCCTGTCTCTGGTGCCAGCTGTGACCAATTATTTTAGAGAGCCCGTTAACAACTGCCTGACCCTCACCTGATGTTTGCCTGACATTCCTGTGGGTGTGTGTCTGGGGCGCCCTCTCCTGCCCTGCTCATCCCTGACTAGCTACTTACTCTAACAGGATGAGAAGACATACAAAATAGAGGCTACTTTAAAAAAAAAATTCTCAGAGTGTAGTGTGTAAACGTTCACCTCCACTATAAAGACCTCCTTGCCAGGGGTAGGAAGCCTTTAGTCTGAACCTTGAGCTCCGTCGCTGGGATACAGGACTCTGAAGAGGAAGACGCTAATGATGACATTGAGTTGACTCCACAGCATCTCACAATTCTTTCTTTTTCTAAGTCATCTGCATTTAGTATCCACTGACCAAGCAGGCAGGAAATGTAATTGAAGTTTTATTAGGGACTCCCCTATCTCTTCTCCTATGGGGTCCAGTGACCATCCCAGGGGTCTGACCCAGCCTAGAACATTCAGAGTCTGGGCCTCTGACCTTCAGACACAGCTGATATGAATGGGAGTCTTTGTGGTTAGTAAGGCCAAGGTTCTTAGCTAGTTTCCTTTGGAATCCCTGACCTCCCTCCATCCCCACTGTTGTGTGTGTGGGGTTCTATGTGGGAGCAGGGCTTCTCCTCACTACTCCAAGGACCCCCAAACCACATCCCTTCCACAGCATCTGGGAATCTCCCCCCACCCCCCACTCCCTTGAGCAGCTTTTGCCTCCTTCAGTCCAGTGTGCTTACCTCTCTCCCCTGGCAGAGAACCCAGGTGCTGGCGGGGTCTCCTCTGGATGCCTTGCCAACTTCTTTTTTTTTCTTTCCAACTTCTTCTCTTGGTGAGGCTACGCAAAATCTTCTGGGGCCAGGATGTGCAAACGCTTCCTGGAATGGGGTAGAACAGTGACAAAACAGGAAGAACAAAAAAACACATGTTAATATCTCAAGAAAGTATCCAGCCACCATAATGAAGGGGCTTCCAGGCTCTGAGGGAAGACCACTGAGCTGAGGGGCCTTTGCACTCTATTCCAGGGAAGATAATGGATGCCCAGAAGAAGTGGGACATTTGGAGCCCCAGACAAACCAATGACACAGACTGAGACACTGTGGAGCTGGATGCCTTTCTGTGTGTTTGTTAGAGTATGAGAAGCCCGCTGGGAACAAGTAAGGGCATCCCTAACCATCAGTGTCCATTGCCCAAGAGAGATGGCAGAAGTGGGTTGGTCCAAATCCTTTCCGTTGTAAATGTGGAGGGCTAACATTTTGAAATATTCTCTGGCCAGGTGCGGTGGCTCACACATGTAATCTCAGGTACTTGGGAGGCTGAGGCAGGAGGATCACTTGAGCCCAGGGGTTCCAGGCTGCAGTGAGCTGCAATTTTGCCACTGTACTCCAACCTGGGTGACAGAGAGAGACCTCATCTCTAGAAAAAAAAAAAAAAACAACTTCTGATTTATTTCATCTGTATCTCTCCCTCCTCCCCTCCCACTCCCCAGCCCTTCTAGCAGTTGGGGTAGGAGGGTGGGCAGTCAGCAGAAAGCAGAGCCAAGCAGCATCTTCTGCCTCATAAATTTCAAACATGAGACCTCATGGGAACTGAAAGGATTTATGACATAGGCCAGGTATTTAGGAGAAATGGACACTAAGAACAACCATCCCCTCACCTTCCAACAGAAAGGGGTTCCCTTGTGCTGGTGGGGCAGAGGGGCCATAATAACAATGTGCACATTTGTGGGTATTAGAGAAAGGGGTCCCTGGGCTGAGTCCTGGGGAGGTGGCAGAAATGGCAGACAGGTTTGTGGGGTCAGACAGAAAGCTCTGTCTTGCTTCGTCTTTGAGCCAAAGGGGACCTGGTGCCCCTGAGTTGGGGGCACTGTGTGGTGCCCAGTCACACTCTCCGTGGTGTCCTCAGTGAGTGGCACTCATTGAGGGACAGGAGGAGCAGAGCTGCTCCCAATAGAGAAGCACTGGAGCCCACACTGCCTAAAGTGGGAATGACCCAAATAGCCTTCAGCAGGAGAAAGGGGAGGAAAATTGTGGCATATGCATGCAGTGGAATATTTCTCAGCACTGAAAATGAATGTTCCTATAACTGCATGTGATAACAGGCAAATCTGCAGACATAAAGTCGAGTGAAAGAAGCCAGCTGTGAAAGAGCACATTGTATGATTCCATTTATATAAAGCTCAGGTCCAGGCAAAATGGTAGTAGTGAGGAGAGAGGTTGTCCTTTGGGGAGGGTAGTAACTAAAAGGCACAGGAGGGGGCCCCTGGCATCCTGGGAATGTCCTTTCCTTAATCTAGGCACTGGTTGCATGCATATGCTGTTTGCGAAAGTTCTTTGAGCTGTACATTTAAAATTAATGCACTTCTCTGTATGTATGTTTTATTTATATAAAAACATTTTTTTAAAAGATAGAAGTAGCTGGATGCAGTGGCTCACGCCTGTAATCCCAGCACTTTGGGAGGCCAAGGCGGATGGATCACCTGAGGTCGGGAGTTCGAGACCAGCCTGACCAACATGGTGAAACCCCATCTCTACTAAAAATACAAAAATTAGCCGGGTGTGGTGGCACATGCCTGTAATCCCACCTTCCTGGAGGCTGGGAGGTGGAGGTGAGCTGAGATCGCACTACTGCATTCCAGCATTCCAGCCTGGGCTACAAATGAGACTCTGTCTTTCAAAAAAAAAAAAAAAAAAAAAAGGACTTTCTGCTCTTTCCTGCTTGACATCTTCCTTGACTCCATCTTCTTTTTGATCACCTTTTTATGGCTTCCTGAACTGATCTCATGGATTTTTTATCTGCATCAAAAATGGAAATGGATTAGATGTTGCGATTTTTAGGGTATAAAATTCAATGATTAATTTTATGTGTCAATTTGATTGTGTTGCACTACAGGGTGCCCAGATTAAATAACATTTCTTGGTGTGTCTCTGAGGGTGTTTCTAGGTGAGATTAGCATTGTGGACTCAGTAGATTGTCTTCGCCAGTGTGGTGGGCATCATCTAATCTGCTGAGAGCCTGAACAGAACGAAAAGAGGAAAGAGAAATTCACTACTGTTTCTTCCCGCCTGCGCGCTGGAACTGGAATATCAGTCTTCTTCTCTCCTTGGACTGAGATTTGTACTATTAGCTCCCCTGGTTCCTCTGGTCCACAAGATTGTGGACATAGACTGGAATTATATTACTGGCTTTCCTGGGTCTCAGTTCGCTGATGGCAGACTGTGGGACTTTAGAGCCTCCATAATAATGTGAGCCAATTCCTCATTCTATCTATCAATCTATATATCGATTGATTGATCGATCGATAGATCGATCTATCTAATCTATCTATCTACTTATCTATCTATCATATCATCTACTGATTTCTCTCTCTCTCTTCTTTTTTTTTTTTTTGAGACAAGATCTCACTCTGTTGCCTAGGCTGGAGTGCAGTGGCACAATCCTAGCTCATTGCAGCCTTGACTTCCCAGGCTCAAGCAATCCTCCAGCCTCATCCTCCTGAGTAGCTAGGACTACAGGTGCCCACCACCATGCCCAACTAATTTTTAAACTTTTTTTACAGATGAGGTCTCACTATGTTGCCCAGGCTGGTCTCTAACTCCTGGGCTCAAGCGATCCTCTCACCTCGGCCTCCCAAAGTGCTAGGATTACAGGCATGAGCCACCGTGCCTGGCCCTGATTTCTCCTATTGGGTCTGCTTCCCTGGAGTACCCTAATACAGATGGGTTTGTGTTATTGAGAGCCCTATTTGCTGCCTCCTTCACAAGATGCTAGCTGAACTCTTGAGCATGGGCATCAGCATTGGTAAATCTGGCAGTAAGGCCTGTGGGCTGCTCACATCAGCCAGGCAGACATTTGATTAAGTTTGAGATCTTGATGTCTTCACCAGAGCCACTAAGTTTTATATATGCCATTGTTGAAGCCAACCCCAACTCACCTGGCAATCAGCTGGAGGAAGGGGACTACTTCTATTCATTGCAGATTTAAAAGTTGGCTACATATCCTTTGCTACTTCTCCCATTGGGAGGTGGGGACCCCTTAAATCTGGGTGGCTGTGTGGCTGCTCGAGCGACACAAATTGTTGGAAGTGATGCTAAACCAGCTTCCAGCACAGGATTCAATAGCACCTTCCACCTCCTGTCTCCTGGAGCATTCTCTGGGAGCCTGAATCACCATGTAAAAAGTTCAAAATCAGGCTGGGCACGGTGGCTCACACCTGTAATCCCAGCACTTTGGGAGGCTGAGGCGGGCGGATCATGAGGTCAGGAGTTCAAGACCAGCCTGGCCAACATGGTGAAATGCCGTCTCTACTAAAAATACAAAAATTAGCTGGATGTGGTGGTGCGCACCTGTAATCCCAGCTACTCAGGGGGCTGAGGCAGGAGAATTGCTTGAACCCCGGAGGTGGAGGTTGCAGTGAGCTGAGATTGCACCACTGCACTCCAGCTCTGGGTGACAGAACAAGACTCTGTCTCAGGAAAAAAAAAAAAAAAAAAAAAAGTTTCAAATTCAGGCTGGGCACAGTGGTGCTCCGTAATCCTAGAACTTTGGGAGGCTGAGGCAGGGGGATTACTTGAGGTCAGAAGTTCAGACCAGCCTGGTCAACATAGTGAGAGTCCATATCTACAAAAAAGAAAAGATTAGCCGGGAATGGTGGCTCACGCCTGTAGTCCCAGCTACTCAAGAGGCTGAGGCAGGAGGATTGCTTGAGACCTTTAAGGTTGTAGTCAGCTATGACCATGCCATTGCACACCAGCCTAGGCAACAGAGCGAGACCCTGTACCCCTCTTCCCCCCAAAAGAAGAAGTTCAAATTCCCTGCCACTGCCTGCTGGAGTGGCCGAGTATGGTACTCTGGCCAACCACTAGCAGAGCCCAGCTGTCCCCACAAAGGTGACAAAAATGTGAAGGAAGCTGTCTTGAACACTCCAGACCAGCCAGCTGCCGAAGATGGCATTGAGTGACTCCAGTTAACATCAAGCAGAGTAGAATTGCTGAACTGACAGACACAATTTTTTATGTAAGGAAGTGGCTGTTGTTGTAAGCCACTAGGTTTGGGATGGCGGTTGCTCAGTGATAGATAACTGAAACAGCTGTATCTGCACCTGGACCAGAGCTTTCATGCCCAGGGTGAGTAGCTTCTTGGTTCTGTAAGGCTCTGTCTCCTTCAACTCACTTTGCCGGGTTGCGGCTACAGCATTACCCAGCTCTTCATTCCATTACAGTTCATCAAAGCTCCCATGCCAGGCTTGTGGCAGGGTAATTTACTGTGGAATTGTTTTGTTTTGTTCTTGTTGCTCTGTGTATACTCCCCTCACCAAGAGAGTTACTGGGCTTTTTGTTCCCAATTCTGAGGCTCTTTCTTGAGTATGGAGAAGGTGGGTAGTGATGGCATTTGGATTATGCGCAAACACCTAGGCTAAGAGAGGCAGAAGTGGACTGTGGGTGTGTCTTGAGCAGAGGTTGAGATTCTCTAGGGTCTGGAAATTTGGTGCTTTCTCCCCACGAGTGAGGAGACCCCCACTTCTGCCCAGAGCATTCCCAGGCTGAAGGATTGCTGGAGAATGCCCAGAGAAGCCATGATTTCTCCCAGCTAGGGGCACAGAGGCCAGGGTCCCCAGGGAGATTCTACTATGGGTGATGTGGACATTGCTGATGTGAGGGGAAGTGCTGGGCCTGACCCAGAGGACATCACTCCAGGACTTGACTGTAGCCTCTGAAAGTAGAGGCAGCTAGAGAAACAATAGTGGCTTCTATGGGCTAAATGTCTCTGTCCCCCCATAATTAATATGTTGAAAACCCAACCCCCAGTGTGATGATATTTGGAGGTGGGGCCTTTTGGAGGTACTTAGGTTTAGCTGAGGTCATAAGGGTGGAGCCCCCATGTGTGATTAGTGCCCTTATAAGACGAGTTAGAGACCAGAGCTCTCTCTCGGCCATCGGTAGTGAGAAGGCTGCAGTCTGAGAATCAGGAAGAGAGCCCTCAGCAGACATCAAATCTGCTGGTACCTGGATCTTGGACTTCCTAGTCTCCAGAACTGTGAGAAATACATATTCATTCAGCTGGGTGTAGTGGCTCACACCTGTAATCCTAGTACAGGTTTGGGAGACCAAGGTGGGCAGATTACTTGAGCCCAGGAGTTTGAGACCAGCCTGGGCAACATGGGGAAAACCCCATCTCTACAAAAATACAAAAACTTAGGCTGGCATGGTGGCTCATGCCTGTAATCCCAGCACTTTGGGAGGCCAAGAAGGGCAGATCACCTGAGGTCAGGAGTTCAAAACCAGCCTGGCCAACATGGTGAAACCCCATCTCTACTAAAAATACAAAGAATTAGCTGGGCATGGTGGCGGGCACCTGTAGTCCCAGCTATTCAGGAGGCTGAGGCAGGACAATTGCTTGAACCTGGGAGGCGGAGGTTGCAGTGAGCCGAGATTGTGCCACTGCACTCCAGCCTGGGTGACAGAGCGAGACTGTGTCTAAAAAAAAAAAAAAAAAGAAAAATTAGCCAGATGTGGTGGTATGCACCTATAGTCCCAGCTGCGCGGGAGGCTGAGGTAGGAGGATCACCTGAGCCTGGAAGGTTGAGGATGTAGTGAGGTGACATTGCAACACTGCCCTCCAGCCTGAGTGATACAGTGAGACCCTGTCTCAAAAACAAACAAAAACATATTTGTCATTTAAGTCACCTAGTCTCTGGTATTCTGTCACAGCAGCTAGAGCGAACTAAGTTGGCTATCCTGAGTACTAAGGACCTGGCCTTGCTCCCAGCTTTTCTGGTACTGCCTAAGCCCCTGGTATTTTGTAATGTGTTGGAGGGAGGAGACAGCCCCACTAATGACTAGGGTTGAATTTCCTCCCAGTCTTCTGGGTAGGACACAGAGCAGATTACATTTGATTGAGTAAAAGTAAGGAATGTGACATTTCATGCACATTTTATAGCCCCAAATGACAAAAATAACATGCTTCTCAAGCCACCTGGAACATTTTATAGCTTTCTGTTTTTTTTGCATTGTAGGCTCCTGTGTCCATCAATTTATCAGCATTTTTCTTGGCAAGGATTCCCTGAAATGTCTCCAAGTTTGGAAATTTTGTCTTTATGAAAAGTGGGGCATGGGACCAGAGGAGGGACTTGGTCAGAAAAACAAAATACGATTATTTTTGATCCATGTCCTTATTTCTTGGTTACTAAATAGCTGCCCTCTGTATTTCTTTGATTTTAATAAATCGTCCAGATATGGATTTTTAAAATTCTATGTATGTTTTTTGAGACAGGGTTTTGCTCTGTCACCCACGCTGAAGTGCAGTGGCTCACTGAAGCCTTCAACTCTTGGGCTCAAGCAATCCTCCCACCTCAGCCTCATGAGTAGCTGGGACTACAGCCATGTGGCACCATGCCTGGCTAATTTTTAAAATTTTTTTAGTAGAGACAAAGTCTTGCTATGTTGCCAGGCTGGTCTTGAACTCCTGAACTCGTCATCCTCCCACCTTGGCCTCCTAAAGTGCTGGGATTACAAGTGTGATCCACCACACCCAGGCCTAGTTTTTAAAATGATATTTCATTTATGTAGTTCAAATAAAAATGACATCAATAAGTACATGAGAAATATCACTCCTACCCCACACTTACCCTCTCTTTTTCCCCTCACATTGCTCGTCAGTAACCATTTTTACCAGAATAGTGCCTTATTTATTCTCCCAACGTTTCTTTATGCAAACATAAATAACATACTTTTATTTCCTCTTTTATTACACAAAAAAAGCATGTTATATACATCTTGCTCCTTCCTTTTAAAATCGTAACTAAATATACTGGGTATCCTTCCCTATCACCACGTAAAGCTGTTCCTCCTGCCTTTTTCATTTTGACAGCTCTATAGTATTCCATTGGTGGATCGACCAGAGCTGTGTGTTCGCCAGTCTCCTATTGCTGGGTTGTTGGGCTGTTTCTGATCCGTTGTTATTATAAATAATGCCACAATGAATAACCTTATACCTAAGCAAGTTTACCTTTGTGTAGGTGAATCTATAAGATAGATTCCCAGAAGGGGGATCTCTGGGTCAAAGGGTTTGTGCATGTATAGTTCTGGTAGATATTGCAGGTCTGCTCCACAGAACTGTGCCATCTGCACTGCTGCCAGCAATGCATGGGACAGTCTGTTTCCTCTCAGCCTCCTTCACACACTGTGATATCATATTCTGGACTCTTGCCAACCAAGGAAAGATTTATGTATAAGTTCAACATGGATGCACTTAGGCTAATTCTCCTTCCTGCATTTCCTTCAGAACATCCTCAGTCTCCTCACTCATTTCAGATACCTTAATTAGCTTCCATTTTTCATGACACAGGTTAGCCATGTTTATATTTCCTTCGTGATCATCACAGTTATGAAAGATTTCTTCTTGGGTTGATAGGTTAAGTAACCATGGTCCAGTATTGGTTATTGCAATCAAACCAACAGCTACAGGTGGCTTGGATTGTTTTAGATGGAATTGGTCTCAAATTTAAAAGGTCACTTTGTCATTCTTTGTATCATTGTTATTCATGTCTGTATCTTTTACAAATATATTTATTTAATATTTAATAAGACAAATAAAATGTTAAAAATTATTTTGTCCTGGGAAAGCCCAAGCCTTCCTGCACAGAAGTTGAAATATTCAAAGGACAAGAAAAGGCCTCTGGTACGGTCCTGTCTTGGACAGTTTCCCCGGCCACCCAGCAGGCTGCCTATTGTGCTGTTTGAGATGCAAATGATCTCTTCTTATGCTGGGGAACCTTCTAGGCATGGCAGGGGCAGTGGAGAGGCTACTTCCTCTCTCTCTTTTTTTTTTTTTTTTTTTTTGAGACGGAATTCTCACTCTGTTACTAGGCTGGAGAGCGGTGGCATGATCTTGACACACTGCAACCTCTGCCTCCAGGGTTCAAGTGATTCTCCTGCCTCCGCCTCCCGAGTAGCTCGGACTACAGGCGCATGGCATCACGCCCAGCTAATTTTTGTATTTTCAGTAGAGACGGGGTTTCACCATGTTGGCCAGGATGGTCTCAATCTCTTGATCTCGTGATCTGCCTGCCTGAGCATCCCAAAGTGCTGGGATTACAGGCGTGAGCCACCGCACTCGGCCACTTCCTCTCTTTTTTTGCCCACTTCTCTAGCTAGTCCCAAGACTTGTTCAACTCTTTCTTATGGATGGTTTTGCAGAATACATACATGGAAACCGTCCACAAATTCTAGCCCACCAATTAATGCTGTCAGACTGGGAACTTCATGAAAAGCCTGCTTGAAACAAAAAATTGAAAATAAGTGGCTTAAACAAGGTAGATATTTATTTCTCTGCTTTATCCACGAGGTCTGAGATGAAACGTCCAGGGCAGGTGTGGAGGCTCCCTGGCATGATGGACCCAGGCTCCTGTCTTCTGTTCCTGTCATCTTAGTGTGCTTCCTTCTACCCTTAGGGTGGCCTCATGGTCTGAGATGGCTTCAGGACTCTCCACTTCAGGCCTTTTGGAGTCCATGATTTCTTTTCTTTTTTTTTTTTTTGAGATGGAGTTTCTGTCTTGTTGCCCAAGCTGGAGCACAGTGATATGATCTTGGCTCACTGCAACCTCTGCCTCCCAGGTTCAAGCGATTCTCCTGCCTCAGCCGCCCGAGTAGCTGGGATTACAGGCACCTGCCACTGTGCCTGGCTAATTTCTGTATTTTTAGTAGAGACAGGGTTTTACCATGTTGGCCAGGCTGGTCTCGAACTCCTAACCTCAGGTGATCCACCCGCCTTGGCCTCCCAAAGTGCTGGGATTACAGGAGCGAGCCACCGCGCCCATCCATGATGTTCTCATGGCCAACATCCTGAGGTCTCCCAAAGGCAAGGGCTTCTTTGCTTGCCCACTGGTTTGGGTACAGATATATTTGTGGACTCTGGAGTCCAGGTGTCAGGGTATAGCTTCCTGAGGTGCCCCAGGCAGCTGGTCTCCTCTGAGGCCTTGATGATAGCCCTTGACATGCCTGGGGCTGTGGAGCTGGGGATGGTCTCCACCCCACAGGGATCCACCTACCTCAGCCGGTATCCAGTCCAGGGCCTCTGTCTTCTTGGCTGCCCTCAAGGCACTGGGCTCCTTTAGACACTCCCCACCACACCCTTAATCCTCTCAGGGAACTCCAGTCTCCAGCAAACAAAGGCCTGAAAAGTGTCTACAAGGAAATTCTGAGTTCAGGTTTCTGAGGTGAAGGAGCACAAAGTCCTTTCTCCTGGCTTGGAAGTGCAGGGTGGTGCGAAGAGTGGGAGGGAGGCAGGGTTAGGTGAGGAAAAAACAGAAAACACAAATTAATTTGACAATGATATGTTAACTTAAAAATCACAACTTTAGGCTGGGCAGACAGTGGCTCTTGCCTGTGATCCCTGCACTTTGGTAGGTGGAGGTGGGAGGACTGCTTGAGGGTAAGAGTTCGAGACCAGCCTGGGCAACATAGTGAGGCCCTTTCTTTACCAATAAATAAATAAATAAATAAAAATTAGCTAGGTGTGCTGGCACACGCCTGTAGTCCTACCTACTCAGGAGGCTGAAGTGGATCCCAGTAGTTTGAGGCTGCAGGGAGCTATTTACTCCAGCCAGGGCAACAGAGTGAGACCCTGTCTCTTAAAAAAAAAAAAAAAGAAAAGAAAAATCATAAATTTGGAAAGGAGAGCTTTATTTCTTTTAAAGAGTTACTGCTGACTGGGCATTGTGGCTCACATCTGCAGTCCCAGCACTTTGGGAGGCTGAGGTGGGTGGATCGTTTGAACCCAGGAGTTCGAGACCAGCCTGGCAATACTGATGCAGAACTTTGCTCCTCAGTTCAGCTAAAACCGGGTTCTTGTCACATGACCAGGAAAAGTTAAGCAGGCAGACACTTTGAAGGGTGAGGGGAATGGAATTTTTTGGGTGAAAAAGGAAAAGAAGAAAAGAAAAACCTCTCAGCAAAGAGCAAGGGGGGTTCCTGCCAACAGGTCCCCACTCCACAGATTGATTCCAGGCCACACACAGTAGCTGAAGAGGCCAGGCTCCTCCCCGACCACTGCACACTCGGCACGAACTTCCCGTGGCTCCACCCCATTTTCCCAGTATGCAGGCAGGTGATTCTCCAGGGACCCTCCCCTTTATCTGTCTCCTGCATCTATCATTATCTATTTTATTTTATACATTTAAAACACTATTCTGCCGGGTGTGGTGACCTGCACCTGTAGTCCCAGCTACTCAGGAAGCTGAGGCAGCAGGATCTCTTGAACTCAGGAGGTGGAGGCTGCAGTGAGCTATGATCATGACAATGCACTCCATCCTGGGCAACACAGCAAAACCTTGTCTCAAAACAAACAAACAAAAAACAAAACCCCACCATTATTCTCAGAAGTACAGCAGCTTTCACAAATTGCCAAAGGGGTCTGTTTTAGGTTAGTTTCCTTCAGAAGCAGATCTGGAGACAAAGATTTGAAGCAAGGAGGTTATTAGAGAGGAAATCCCTGGCATAATTGATAAAGTAGACAGGAAAGGGCAGAAGCCAGCATGGGGTGCATCGATGAGCAATGAACTTAATGAACTCCTTGGCTCAATCCCACTGGGACCTTCAAGAGACTACTGTATAGAGCATGCCTCGGAGTCATCCTACCCTTGAGGAAGCTGGGGTATTTCTTCACCAAATCCCATTTCACTTGAGGGCTGCCCCCAGGGCACTGACATTTCTAGCCTGCCCTACCCATGGGTAGTGCTCCTGTGACTAGGGTAAGTCCTCAACAGTGTCAGAGGCTTAAAGACGGAGCCATCTGAATGGCAACCTTAGAGGACAAGTGGGTAGGGCACAAAGTTTGGCTACAAGGCCTGCAGCACTAAAAGGTTAGGAACGCCTCAGAGCTGCCCCTTTTAGGATGGACCCACTCAGCTCCCCGGTTCCCACTCCCTGACATCTGCTTTCTGTCCGCTGCTCAGTGTCTCCAGTGGATTCACAAAACAACTGCCTTTCTCCCTTTCCACCTCAGTTCATTATCAAGAACAACCCTGGGGTTTCCCACCTTAATCAGGCTGCTCCGGCCTCTGCCCACAGCCCTTCTGACACCTGGTTTATGTGTGACCCTGCCACCCTTAACCCCCAGCAGCAGGGGATGTCAGCTTTCTTTCAGGGAAGAACACAGACTCCTTTTGAGAGACTATAGTGAGATAATTTTGTAAACTGAAAATAAAATCCTAAGCCCCCCAGTTGACTTAATGGACCCCCTCTTGGCCAAGGGGACCCCAGAGAAACCTTAAAAACTGAGTTCCCAGGCAGGAGAGGATGGGAGGTCAGACACACCTCGTCATACCTCATCCCTTTTGTGGTTTAGACAACCACTGACCAGCATTAATAAACCAGAGATCATAAGACTGACAGAACAAAGTATTTGAGCCAATGAAAGACCAAACTATAAACAAGACTTAAGGCCATGGCAGGTCAGGGTTAAGTCACACACCCCTGCACTTAAAGAAAAAGTGTTCTGCCACAAGGTTTTAATTTTTCTCTAGCAGCCAAACAAACATTGGCCTTGAGATAAGCAAGATTAAAACAACTTGCAGATCGTCCATCAGCCAAAACTACAGCTTGGGTTGAACACGAGACTGATTTCAGTAACCTTCTCCTGATAAGAAGACTACTGACCATGGACTGGTTCTGGCTGGTTTACAGATGCTGCATACTTGAGTTTGCTTGTGTCCTGAAAAGACCTTTTGATGTATAAGACCTAATTGTAATACATTTATTTTTTTTTAATTAATTTTTTTTTTTTTTGAGACGGAGTCTCACTATCGCTTAGGCTGGAGTGCAGTGGTGCGATCTCGGCTCACTGCAAGCTCTGCCTCCCAGGTTCATGCCATTCTCTTGCCTCAGCCTCCCGAGTAGCTGGGACTACAGGCACCCGCTACCATGCCCGGCTAATTTTTTTTGTATTTTTAGTAGAGACGGGGTTTCACCCTGTTAGCCAGGATGGCCTCGATCTCCTGACCTCATGATCCATCTGCCTCAGCCTCCCAAAGTGCTGGGATTACAGGTGTAAGCCACCGCGCCTGGCCAGCTGTAATACATTTAAATGCTAAGTCTCCACCCTAAGGTGCACATGGGTCATATGCAATATACTAGTTTATTCAGTATATGTGCTTCAGGACCACTTTCATGAATATTCATAGCTCCTTCTGTAACCTGTTGAATATGTATACTTGGCCAACCCAGTCAGATTAAATTCCTTTCTTATTCCTCCTCGTCCCTCAAAGTTCATTCTCTAGGCTCTGCCAGAGGCTATGCTTCCCACTAGTCCGAATGGTACATTGTAGGCTGCAACTCTTTATTTTTATTTTATTTTTAAATTTATTTTTGAGACACGGTCTCACTCTGTCACCCAGGCTGGAGTGCAGTGGTGCAATCACAGCTCACTGCAGCCTCGACCTCCCAGGCTCAGGTGATTCTCCAACCTCAGCCTTTCAAGTAGCTGGGACCACATCCGTGCACCACCAGGCCCAGTTAACTTTCACAATTTTCTTGGAGACAGGGTTTCACCATATTGATAGATGCAGGAGGTAGATAAGGGAAAGGGTCCCCAGAGAATCTCTGACCTGCCTATGCACTTGGGAGAAGGGGGTGGAGCCACGGGAAGTTCGTGCCATGTGCAGTTGGGGAGGAGCCTGGCCTCTTCAGTTCTTGTGTGTAGCCTGGAATCAGTCTGGGGGTGGGGGTGCTGTTGGCAGGAACTCTTCTTGCTTTGCTGAGAGATTTTTTTTTCTTCTTTTCCTTTTTCACCCAATAAATTCTGTTCCCCTCACCCTTCAATGCGTCTGCGTTCCTAGCTTTTCCTGCTTGTGTGACAAGAACCTGGTTTTAGGGTTTAAGGAACAAAGTTCTGCATCAATAAGATTCAAAAGAAATCATTCTATTGAAATATGATTCTAGGCACAGGCTAGTTGGGGGTCTCTGAGCCCCAGATCCCACAGCTGTGCTGAGATGCCTGCCCACAAGCTCAAGGAGCATGTCTAGGAGTCCACGGAGGCAAGCAGAGGCAGGAAGAGGAGACCAGAATTCAGCTGCCGGTGGTGAGCCTCAGGAAACTCTTTATCAAAGCCTAGAAAAGCCAAAGGTGGGCCCGAGAGGGAAGAAAGAGACAAAGAGATGGGAAGAAGATGGAAGTAGGACACTTAGAGTGGGAAGGAAAAAGAGCAAGAGAAAGTGAGAGGGAGCAGCAGAGCCCTGGGAAGGGAGCTTGAAGGGGTGGGGCACGTTTGGAAGCCTCTGTGATTATTTGGGGAAGGCTGATTTTCTAGTGCCTTGGGCTGGGCCCATGCAGGTTACTTCCTACCCAGCTACCTTCCTGGCTCTTCTGCCCAGGGAGCTCCTTCTGCCAGTCCCCAGCCTACTGCACTTCTTCCTTATATGCTTGGAGTGTGTGGAATGCTGCTCACCACTCTGGGGCAGTTGGAGACTGAGATAACTCCCTCCCTGGAATGTAGGGAATTTGGTGTGCTGGAAAGAGAGAAAGAGAGAGGGAGACAGAATGTACCTTGCAGCAGCACAGCTGGGTTCTGGATGGGCTCCATCTCTGAAAGAGAGGGGCAAAAGGGTTGGGGAAGGGGTAGCTGCCGGTCTTAGTGAAGGGTCCCCGAGGCACTAGCGTGTCCTCACATTTGTGCTGCCTGCTTCCCAGAAGACTCAGCACATGGGGAAAGTGGTGCCAAGGGCACACCCACCAGCCACACTGTGGAGCTTGGACACCTGGGGCAGGATATTCAGTAGTCGGCCTGGGGACCTCCAAAGATGCTTTCCCATTCCTTAGCCTGTCAGCCTTGGTAGGGACATCACTTTCCTCCTTATCCTTCAATGAGGACATTCAAGACAACATCCCTGAGCTGGAGGAAACCCAGCCTCACCTCCTCCTTCCACCCCTCATCTCCTAAGCTCCCCATCAGTGGTGTCTGGGGTGTGGAACGTGGGGAGGCAAGGAAGACAGCTCACCTGGCCCAGGCTTCAATGCTCAGCCCCTCTTATTCCTTCTAGCAAGAGCTTCTTGCAAATACCTCAATTTTTTTTTTTATCTTCTGCAGCTGATGCTCAAACTGTCAACTTGTTACTTGAGACCATGAATGTTGGTTATAAGAATTTGTTGACTTTTTAAAAAAATAAAAATGATGTTTGCCCACTTAAAGTTTTAAATTCTGTTTTTCAGAGGAGTTTTTTTTTTTTTTTTTTTGAGACAGTCACCCTCTGTTGATATGGCTCTGATGAGTGGAGGAACACCAGGGCTCTTGTCTCACATCGAATTAGATAAGATGACACGAACACACGTGGAGTGGTTTTAAGGAGCGGAGAGTTTAATAGGCAAGAAAGAAGGGAGAAGAAAGAAAGAAGAAACTCCCTTGTACAGAGACAGAGGGAGGGGGGCTCCAAAGCCGAGAGATGGAACCCCGCACTTAGGTAATACCAGCCAGCTATATTCGATGGGTGGAGGAGGCAGTATCTGATCTGCATAGGACTCAGGGGATTGGTTTGACCAGGCATGTCATTCATGTAGCCGGCGAAAAAGCTGGCCCTCCCACCCTAGCCTTTTAATATGCAAATGTAGGGCTGTGTCATGTTCCACACACGTGGGGATATGTGGGGGCGGCCATGCTGCCAGGCACATGTAGGGGCAAGGGCAAGAGGACAAAGGTGGGAATAGCCTTGTTGGGTGGACCCAGTTTCTAACAGCTAGCGTTTGCATATCAAAGGTTGCTGGCCCAAGTCTAAGAGCCAGGGCTTTCATGCTAGACAAGAGCTGTGAAAAATTTTCCATGGACCTTTTTCCTCTCTATCTGCCTAAAATAATTTCTTAATAACTCCTACCTCACTGTAGCCTAGGTTGGAGTGCAGTGTGGCAACATCTCGGCTCACTGCAACCTCCGCCTCTCGGGTTCAAGCAATTCTCTTGCCATAGCCACCCACATAGCTGGGACTACAGGCACCCACCACCAAGCCCGGCTAGTTTTTTGTATTTTAGTAGAGAGGGGTCTCACCATGTTGGCCAGGCTGGTCTTGAGCTCCTGAGCTCAAGCAATCCACCTGCCTTGGCCTCCCAAAGTGCTGGAATTACAAGCATGAACCACTGTACCTGGCCTTTCATAGGAGATTAATGGCTGATTTTACCCACCAACCTGGTGATCATGAACCAGCCATCTATAACCTTGTTGATCTAGCTCAACCCATTATATAAAACTGTGCTTGGATTGTATGGAATGCTACACACTTACAATTAAAGATATTTAGAGCTGGGCATGGTGGGTCACACATGTAATCATAGCACTTTGGAAGGCCAAGGAGGGAGGATTGTTTGAACCTGGGATTTCCAGAGCAGCCTAGGCAACATAGTGAGAACCCATTTCTTTTTTTGTCTTTTCTTTTCTTTTCTTTTTTTTTTGAGATGGAGTTTTGCTCTTGTTGCCCAGGCTGGAGTGCAATTGCGCGGTCTCAGCTCACTGCAACCTCTGCCTCCTGGGTTCAAGTGATTCTCCTGCCTCAGCCTCTTGAGTAGCTGGGATTACAGGCACGTGCCACCATGCCCGGCTAAGTTTTTGTATTTTTAGTGGAGATGGGGTTTTACCATGTTGGCCAGGCTGGTCTCGAACTCCTGACCTCAGGTGATTCACCCCCCTCAGCCTCCTAAAGTGCTGGGATTACAGGCATGAGCCACCATGCCAGGTGGGGGTAGGTGGGGAAGCCCATTTCTATTAAAAAAAAAAAAAAAAAAGGCCAGGTGTGGTGGCTCATGCCTGTAATCCCAGCACTTTGGGAGGTCAAGGCAGGAGGATCACCTGAGATCAGGAGTTCGAGACAAGCCTGCCCAACATGGTGAAACCCCGTCTCCACTAAAAATACAAAAAATTAGCCGGGCATGGTAGCACGTGCCTGTAATCCCAGATACTCGGGAGGCTGAGGCAGGAGAATCACTTGAACCCAGGAGGCGGAGGTTGCAGTGAGTTGAGATCCTGCCACTGCACTCTAGCCTGGGTGACAGAGGGAGACTCCATCTCCAAAGGAAAAAAAAAAAGAGAAAGTAAAATTTGTACTTCAATTCAGAGATTATAAACAATGTATACTTGACTTTGTGGCAGTGATCACTATTGTACAATAGTTACTTAAACTCAGGAGGCAGAGGCTGCAGTGAGCCAAGATAGCTCCACTGCACTCCAGCCTGGGTGACAGAGCGAGACTCTGTCTCAAAAAAAAAAAAAAAAAAAAAGTTACTCACTCATTTGTTCTGCAGAATCTATTTATTGCTGTGTTCACAGAAAAGGAAGCATCAAGACGGCAAAGCTCTTTGATGAAAAGCCAGGCGTACTCACACACACAACTGAGAAAGTTCTGGAAGTAGGAGAAAACGTCTTTAAGGCATATAGGCTAAACTTATATAAATATTGTTAGTGTTTGCCAAAACAGGGATAATCTAGTAAAATCAGAGATACAAAGCCAGAACAGAGAATTGGTAAGTAAAAAATTGTTAAGAATGTATATTGGCTGGGCGCGATGGCTCATGCCTGTAATACTAGCACTTTGGGGAGGCTGAGGGGGGCAGATTGCTTGAGCTCAGGAGTTTGAGACCAGCCTGGGCAACCCTTTCACTACTGAAAATACAAAAAAAAAAAAAAAAAAAACCAAAAACAAAACTGGGCGTGCTGGTGCGCACGTGTGGTCCCAATTACCCTGGAGGCTAATGTGGAAGGATCGCTTGAGCCCAGAGTGTGGGGGTGGGGGTTGGGAGGCAAGGTTGCAGTGAGCCTGGATTGCACCACTGCACTTCAGCCTGGGTAACAGAGCGAGACCTTGTCTCAAAAAAAAAAAAAGTATCAAAAGGCCTAGGAATTTGTTCTCCAGGTAAATCTGCCCTCCCTCATCTCTAACCTTTATGAAATCACCCAAATGGAGACATCACAGCAAGGCCCCGACAAGGAAATGAGGAATGTAGGTGGATAAGGGACTGGAATAGTGCAGCACAACACTAACTACAGGTTTCAGCCCCAATGAGATTGCCCTCACTTCCGCCGCCAGCCACAAGTGTGGAGGTCCCCAGGCTACTCGCTCCTCTGACCAACTGGCTACTAATCTGGGGGGTACCCACAACCCCCTCGGGTTTGATAATTTGCTAGAACAACTCACCAAACTCAGGAGAATGTTATACTTACGATTACAGGCTTGTTACAAAGGATACAAATCAGGAGGACCAGACTAATGAAGACACACGTAGGGCGGGGTCTGGGCGGGTCTTCCATGCAGAGCTTCTGTGTCTTCTCTCTGTGAATCAGGTTGTGTCACCCTCCTGGCACATGGATGTGTTCACCAACCAGGAAGCTCCACCAAATTTTGGCGTCCAGAGTTTTCATTACATAGGCACAATTGGTTGACTCATTTGCCACCGAATTGAACGCAATCTCTAGTCCTCCCACCCTCCGTCGAGGTTGGGCTGGCTCTAAGGCCCAATCCTTTTATTATGTGATCTTTCTGATGACCAACCTCCCATCGTGAGTTCTCTCTTAGCATAAGCCCAGGTGTGATCCAAGGGGCTCATGAATAACAAAGATACTCATATTACTCAGGAGATTCCAAGGATTTAGTTTCCCTCCTAGGAACCAGGGACAAAGGGCAGTCAAATTCTTTATTGTTATCACAGAGACACAGTAATATAATATGATACAGCAGAAGAGAGGTGAGGAATGTTGCCATGCCTTGAGAAGCCTATCACAAGAGCTTTAAGGAATTCACACTTAAATATTAATAGGTACATTATGAAAGAAATCAGCCAAGTACAGTCTTTTCTTATTATGGAATCTAGTTATTGCAGGAATTGAAAAATTGATGTAATAAAGCCTAGAATGCAATAAAGGAATCGGCATTCAAGTAGATGAGAGAGGTTGGGGAATATGTCAAGATGCAAAAGTGAGAGAGCTGTCACAGTTTACTTACTCTGCAATCTCTGAGGATGGAACAGGATCAAAGATGAAGCCAGGAAGCACAGAGTAGTTTTCTTCCTCCCTAATCTCATCCCTTGTTTTCATTTGGCACTTTAAAAAATTTCCACATTTATATTCATATGGAATTGATTTTGAGTATAGAGAGATAATTCTAATTATTATTGTTTTTCAAATGTTAGCCAGTTGAACCATTTATCATAATCAAGGTGATAATATGGCTTATTTTCTTTGGCCTACAGAGATGATAAATTTGAATATATTTTAAAATATAAAACTATCTTTAAAATTTGAATATATTTGAATATGATACATTTGAATATATTTTAAAACATAGAGCTATCTTTGTACTCCTGGTTAGTCATGGTGCATTTTTTTTTAATACTTCATATTAAATTTTTACCTTCTGGATTGAGACACTAGAGTTCTTAAAGGTTCTTTCAGAAATTCTTCCTATATTCAGTATGCTACCAGAAAACCTCTTACAACTAACCTTACAGAAGATACTGTTTTCTTTGTACTTTGTCCAATATCAAAGGAAACCTCCAAGTTCCAAGGAGGTCAGGCTACTAATACCCACAAATGAATTCTGATGAGATCATTACACAATAAACAATAACTGTTGCTTATTACATGCTTACTTTGTACTAGGCAGGACTAAGATAAGTATTATTTAAGTTTTAAGATCATTCTTAATTTCTTGTCAAAAGTATACTGGTTTGCAAAGTAATGAATAAAATAAATCTTTAACAATATCCCTATAGTAAAGACAATGGTGAACTTCTTATGCCTCTTTTAAAAAACTCTGCTTATGATGACAATTTCAAACATACACAGAAGCCGTGAGTATATAATGAGTCTTGCTGTATCCATCACAAAGTTTTAAAAACTGTCAAAAGTTGACCATACTCACTTAATCTACTCCTACCACTTTTTCAGCTGGAGATCTTTTAAAGCAAATTCTACACATTGTGCCATATCATCCATAAATTATTTTGCATTACATCCCATTCTTATTGAGTCCCTGCAAGCTGAGAGCCGACTGCCAAAGCACAATTCACTGTAAGAGATTCTGTGAAGGGTTAAAACAAACAGTCCAAATTCACAGTGCTGCAAATGTCTGTAATTGCATAATCTGCAAAATATATTCTTCAAGAAATCCTCTGTGCACTTGGTTTCCCTTAACTGAGTTTTTTTTTCTTCTTCAGACCAGATTAATTGATGAGAACTGACAAGCAGGGGAGAGAGGTGATGTTTAAGGTTATATATTTTGGCAAAAAATTATGAGTGTAAATTGTGCTTGTTTCTGATTAAGAGAGGTCCATTAATCAGAAAGTAAACTTGGCATCCTCGTAGAAAAATCACATAGCTTAACAAGAATTCATGACTCTGAATTGCTGCACAGACAGGTAGCATGAGTTCTTGGCAGGATTCTTTCAGCTGAGCTGTTTTCCATTAGAATGGTGTCTGATATGGTTTAGCTGGGTCTCCACCCAAATCTCATCTTGAATTGTAGTTCCCTTAATCCCCACGTGTCATGAGAGGGACCTGGTGGGAGGTAACTGAATCATGAGGGGCAGGTTTTTCCCATGCTATTCTTCTTGTGATAGTGAATAAGTCTCATGAGATCTCATGGTTTTATAAAGGTAGTTCTGCACACGCTCTTGCCTGCTGCCATGTAAGACATGCCTTTGCTCCTCCTTCATCTTCCACCATGATTTTGAGGGCCTCCTCAGCCATGTGGAACTGTGAATGCATTAAACCTCTTTTTCTTTATAAATTACCCAGTGTCAGGTATTTATTCATAGCAGTATGAAAACGGACTAATACGGCTGGGTGCAGTGGCTCATGCCTGTAATCCTAGCACTTTGAGAGGCCGAGGCAGGTGAATCATTTGAGGCCAGGAGTTCAAGATCAGCCTGGTGGTCAATATGGTGAAACCCCATCTCTACTAAACAAACAAACAAAAAAAATTAGCCATGCATGGCGGTTGGCGCCTATAATCCCAGCTACTTAGAAGGCTGAGGAAGGAGAATTGCTTGAACCTGGGAGGTGGAGGGTGCAGTGAACCGAGATTGTGCCACCGTACTCCAGCCTGGGTGACAGAGCAAGACTGTCTCAAAAATAAAAATAAAAAAAGAAAATGGATTAATACAGTAAATTGGTACCAGTAAAGTGGGGTACTGCTATAAAGATACCTGAAAATGTGGAAATGGGTAACAGGCAGAGGTTAGAAGTTTAGAGGGCTCAGAAGAAGACACAAAAATGTGGGAAAGTTTGGAACTTCCTCAAGACTTGGAGGGCTCAGAAGACAGGAAAATGTGGGAAACTTTGGAACTTCCTAGAGACTTGTTGAATGGCTTTGACCAAAATGCTGACAGTGATATGGACAATATTTGTCCAGGCTAAGGTGGTCTCAGATGGAGATAAGGAACTTGTTGGGACCTGGAGTAAAGGTCACTCTTCCTATGCAAAGAGACTGGCGGTATTTTGCCCCTGCCCTAGAGATCTGTGGAACTTTGAACTGAAAGAAATGACTTAGGGTATCTGGCAGAAGAAATTTCTAAGTGGTAAAGCTGTTCAAGTGGAAGTAGAGCATAAAAGTTTGGAAAATTTGCAGTCTGATGATGCGATAGAAAAGAAAAACCCATTTTCTAGGGAGAAATTCAAGTTTGCTGCAGAAATTTGCATAAGTAAAGAGGAGTGGAATGTTAATCACTAAGACAATGGGGAAAATGTCTCCAGGGAATATTAGAGAACTTCATAGCAGCCCCTCCCATCACAGGCCTGGAGGCCTAGGAGGGAAAAAGGGTTTGTGGGCTGGGCTAAGGGACCCCTGCTCTATGCAGCCTGGGGACATGGTGCCCTACATCCCAGCTACTTTAGCTCCAGCTGTGGCTAAAAAGGGCCAACCTACAGCTCAGGCCATTGCTTCAGAGGTTCCAAGCCCCAAGCCTTGATAGCTTACAAATGTGCTGGGCCTGTGGGTGCACAGAAGTCAAGAATTGAGGTTTGAGAACCTCTGCCTAGGTTTCAGAGCATGTATGTAAATGCCTAGATGTCTAGGCAGAAGTTTGCTGCAGGGGTGGAGCCCTTATGGAGAACCTCTGCTAGGGCAGTGCAGAAGGGAAATGTGGGGTCAGAGCCCCTACACAGAGTTCCCCACCGGGGCATTGCCTGGTGGAGCTGTGAGAAGAGGGCCACCATCCTCCAAACCCCAGAATGGTAGATCCACCAACAGCTTACACCATGCACCTGGAAAAGCTGGAGACACTCAACACTAGCCCATGAAAGCAGCTGGAAGGGGGGCTGTACCCTGCAAAGCCACAGAGGCAGAACTACCCAATGCTGTGGGAGCCCATCTCTCACATCAGCATGACCTGGATGTGAGACATGGAGTCAAAGGGGGAGCATTTTGGAACGTTAAGGTTTAATGACTGCCCTACTGTATTTCAGACTTGTATGGGGCTTGTGGCACCTTTATTTTGGCCAATGTATCCCATTGGAATGGGTGTATTTACCCAATGCCTGTACCCCCATTGTATCTAGGAAGTAACTAACTTGCTTTTGATTTACAGGCTCATAGGAAGAGGGACTTGCCTTGTCTCAGATGATACTTTGGAGTTGGACTTTTGAGTTAATGCTGAAATGAGTTAAGACTTTGGTGGACTGTTGAAAGGCATGATTGTGTGTTGAATTGTGAAGACATGAAATTTGGGAGGGGCCAGGGGAGGAATGATATGGTTTGGCTGTGTCTCCACCCAAATATCATCTTGAATTGTAGTTCCCATAATCCCCATGTGTCATGGGAGGGACTTGGTGGCAGGTAACTGAATCATGGGTGGCGGGTTTTTCCCATGCTATTGTCATGATAGTGAATAAGTCTTATGAGATCTGATGGTTTTATAAAGGGCTGTTCCCCTGAGCATGCTCTTGCCTGCTGCCATGTACAACATGCTTTTGCTCCTCCTTCACTTTCCACCATGATTATGAGGCCTCCACAGCCATGTGGAACTGTGAATCCATTAAATCTCTCTTCCTTCCTTCCCTTCCTTCCTTCCTTTCCTTCTTTCTTTTCTTTTCTTTTCTTTTCTTTTCTTTTCTTTCGAGTCTCACTCTGTCACCCAGGCTGGAGTGCAGTGGCATGATCTCGGCTCACTGCAACCTCCATCTCCTGGGTTCAAGTGATTCTCCTGCCTTAGCCTCCTGAGTAGCTGGGATTACAGGTATGTGTCATCACAGCTGGCTAATTTTTGTATTTTTAGTGGAGACGAGGTTTCACCATGTTGGCCAGGCTGGTCTTGAAATTCTGACCTCAGGTGATCCGCCTGCCTCAGCCTCCCAAAGTGCTGGGATTACAGGCATGAGCCACGCGCCCAGCTCAGAATTATAAATTACCCAGTCTTGGGTATTTCTTCATAGCAGTATGAAAATGGACTAATACATTATCTCTTGGAAGTGAATGGCCAGAGTGAAAGAAACCAGAAAAAAAAAAAAAAAAAGAAGAATACATACTATATGATTTCATTTATATAAAACTCTAGGAGAAGCAAATAATCTACAGTGACAGAAAGCAGATCAGTGAGTGTTTGAGAATGGGCATGGCAGGAGGGAAGGAAGTATAACGGGCATGAGAAAACTTTTGAGAGGTATGGATGTGTTCACTATCTTGATTGTGGTGACAGTTTCATAGTATACAAATACGACAAAACTGATCAAAGTGCACACTTTAAATCTGTGCAATTATGTCTCAATAATTTTTTTTTTTAAAGAATAGCCAAGGCCGGGTGCGGTGGCTCATGCCTGTAATCCCAGCACTTTGGGAGGCCGAGGCGGGCGGATCACGAGGTCAGGAGATCGAGACCATCCTGGCTAACATGGTGAAACCCCGTCTCTACTAAAAATACAAAAAATTAGCCGGGCAAGGTGGCAGGCGCCTGTAGTCCCAGCTACTCGGGAGGCTGAGGCAGGAGAATGGCGTGAACCCCAGGGGGCGGAGCCTGCAGTGAGCTGAGATTGCGCCACTGCACTCCAGCCTGAGTGACAGAGCAAGACTCCCTCTCAAAAAAAATAAAAATAAAAAAATAAAGAATAGCCAAGTGGTAGAAAGCCTGCAGATGCTGTTCCAGAGCTGTGCCCACAGCTCTGGGCCCAGGTCACAGGTATAACCTGCAATAAGAAGAGACAAGAGTCTGAGGGCTGACCATCTGTGGGCCCACAAGTTAAGGAAACCAAAGTTTGGGTGCACAAATCATTACTGGAAAGGGATCCTGATCCAGTCACTTCTCAAGAGAGGGTTCTTAGACATTGTGCAAGAAAGAATTTGGGGCGAGTCCACAGAGTAAAGTGAAAGCAAGTTTATTAAGAAATAAAGGAATAAAAGAGTGGTTACCTCATAGGTGGAGTGGCTCTGAGGGCTGCTAGTTGGCTATTTTTATGATTCTTTCTTTCTTTTCCTTTTTTTTTTTTTTTGAGACACAGTTTTGCTCTTGGAGTGCAATGGCGCGATCTCAGCTTATTGCAACCTCTGCCTCCTGGGTTTAAGCGATTCTCCTGCCTCAGCCTCCTGAGTAGCTGGGTTTACAGGCATGCACCACTCCCAGCTAATTTTGTATTTTTAGTAGAGATGGGGCTTCACCATGTTGGTCAGGCTGGTCTCCAACTCCTGACCTGAAGTGATCTGCCTGCCTTGGCCTCCCAAAGTGCTGGGACTACAGGCATGAGCCACAGCGCCTAGCCAATTATTTCTTAATCATATGCTAAACAAGGGGTGGGGTATCCATGAATTTTCTGGGAAAGGGATGGAGATTTCCTGGAACTGTGGGTTCTTCTTCCTTTTAGATCATATAGGGTAACTCTGGGACATTGCCATGACATTTATAAACCATCTTGGTGCTGGTGGGGGGTGACTTTTGGCATGCTAATGCATTATAATTAGCATGTAATGGGCAGTGAGGATGACCAAAAGTCACTTTTGTCACCATCTTGGTTTGGGCCGGCTTCTTTACTGCATCCTATTTTATCAGCGAGGTCTTTGTGGCCTGTATCTTGTGCTGACCTCCTATATCATCCTGTGACTAAGAATTCCCAACCTCCTGGGAATGCAGCCCAGCAGGTCTCAGCCTCATTTTACCCAGCCCCTATTTAAGATGGAGTTGCTCTGATTCAAACATCTCCGACAAAACCACTGATTGGGTATAGAGTCCCAACCAGCCAGTTATTGAAATTTTGTTTTTTTGTTATCACAGCCTAGCCTAATCTAACTAAAGAAAGGGGGATCAGGAAGCAACTTTATTTTCACTTCACCGTGTCCCTTTACATCCATTTTGTGGGATTTCTTCTCCTTTTGCCCCAAGATGAAATTTGGAGCAAGCCCCATGAACTTTCTAGTCATTTGTAGGTAATCTAAGGTCATTGGGTTACTCCAATTCCCCAAGGAGTTTAATAAGTAATTAAATGGTCCAATCTCATGTAATAGTAGAAACTTTAAACTTTATTTAAATTTGAGATTTCTTCCCGTACTTTATGCTATTTACAGACCAGCCACGCTCAATGGGAATTGAGGTGTGTGGTGACCTCTGATTTCCCACTTTGCGCTTTGTGGCAGAAATTGCAGTTATCACCAAATATTCATTCTCCTCTTCTTCCTGATTAGTAAGACTCCCAAATTTTTGCTGGACTTATGGCCAGCCTGAAACAAGACTACATTTTCCAGTATCCCTTGCAGCCAGGTGTGGCTGTGAGACTAACTTTTGGCCAACGGATCTGAATCAGAACAACATAAGCAACCTTTTGTTCTGCCCTCAAACAGCATGGGTGGCATTAGTTTCCCCTTTCCTTCTTTCCCTGGCTGGAATGCTGACCCAGCAGATGTGGGGAGCCATTTCAACCTTTCAAGAGAGAGCAGCCCTCGATGCAATGGCAGAGCAGCAAGACAGAAGGAGCTGGGGTCTCCAACACCGCGGAGTCACTCTATCCAGCCTAAGACTCCTGATGTTGGAACTGTTAATGAGAAACACACTTTGTCTTTTGACATACAGTTTTTCTCTCAGCTGCTGAACCTGGATTCTACCTACACAGGTTCATTGTGTATGCATGCTTCTATCCCTCCTCCCTCATCTTGCTAACTTGGACCCTGGACCTCTCCAGGGTTCCAGTGGTGAGAGGGAGGGGCCAGGAGGTTTCATTGCACTAGAATTACTGTGAGATGGCAGAAGCACTGCCTGGGTCATTAGGCATAGCTGATTCTTCCTTTCATCAGGCACTTCCGTTGATTTTTCTGAGCTAACACCTTCCCTTTGCTACGATTTCTCATCACCTAATTCCCTGAGGTGGACAAATGCCCTTCCTTAGGCTGGTCAACTATATTTCTTTCTGCAGCTTCTAAGAGTCTGACGATTCATCCCTCTATTAGGATCACCAAACCCCTTCAGATGACCCTTTTAGACAGAGTCTAATGCCATCCCCTGCCATCTCTCTCTTATGGTGGCCCCACCTGTGGTCCACAGGAAACATGAATCCAGTGCCCCCGGCAATTGCGGAAGGCTGGCAGCCCTGAAACCCAGCTACCTCCCTTGTTCCACCATCAGGGCAGGTAGCCAGACTCCTGGTGTTCTTTTTTGTTGTGTGTGTGTCTTTGTGTGTATATGTGTTTTTCCATTTCCAGAAATGAACCAGCTAGCTGCTCACCCTGTCCTCCAAATTGCAGGAACATATATTCAGCTCCCTGACGGGTACCACCAAAGGCCCTTTCCTGGGGCTCGAAGAAATACCCTCACTGAATTCAATTTCCTCAAGTAATTGAAGATCTTCCCCTTTCCCCTTTCCTGTTCCACTCGATGGCCCCCACTTTATGGGGACACTCCCAGGCCGGGGACTGCAGAGTTGCTCTGCTACTTTTGGACTCTGGTCCATCTCATTTTTTCCCCCCTCTCTTCCATTTAAGAGGAGATTCAACCTTTTTAGAAGCTCACTGTTTTGAGTAAGAGCCACTGTTTGCCAGATCCCAGCCCCCTCTGCCTCTACCATCTGCCTCATCTCTTCTATAGCTGCAGAGGAATTAACATCCTCGGAAGATCTAGTGAAGCTGCCTTCACTTTCTCTTTCTGCCTTCACATTTCTCTTTCAGCCCACCTCAACCTGAGGCCACAGGCAGCTGGGCTCCACCAGTGCCACTGCCACCATCCCAAAAGGCCAGGGGCTCTCATCCCAGTAGTAGTAATTAATCTGTCATGCACAATTCATAGTATTTCAACATTAGGTTCCAAATAAGTAACCTGAGCATCCCTGGGTCTTGCTAACCTATGGGAATGTGCAAATGGGGCCACCTTAAGATAGTAACAACATTTCAGTGTCTCCTTCTCTGCCCAAGTATTTCTGGGGGTCTGAGGGAAATCTCACTCGTGCTCCTAAATCCAGGCACCCAGGCCAACAGCAACTCTCCATCGCCTGCTGAGCATTCCCCCAGGGAACCGGAGCCCTTCAGGCATCAATTCTGCATTGGGCAGAGCAGTGTCTATGTCCAGTGGGGAAATGCCTTTCCCCTCTTTTGTGTTCCTGTTCACGAAGGGGCCACCCAAGCAATGCTGGTGGGCTCCAGCATTGTGCAGAGCTTGTAGAACCACAGCTTCTATGTTGACCTTCAGCTTTCTTTTTGCTTCGGATGGAGGCAGGACTGGACTAAATGTGGTGACAAACAACATTCATTTACTCTTTTATTCAACACATATTTCCTAAATTCCTTATCCATGCTAGCCACATGATGAACATGATAAACAAGATAAACGTGGTCTCTGTGCCCATGGAGTTTATGGTTTGGTACAAGATCAAAAAGCGGTATACACATACACAAACACGAACAAAAAAGCAGTTATGATTTAATGTCCAAGACTTTGTTATTGGTTCAAGTTTATCATGCATGGATGCTTCTTCTGCTTGGATGAGTTTTGTGCGTGCAGCTTGTCAACTCTCAGGCAAACAAACAGACCCTGTCAACCCACTGCGACCTCACTGCTCCCGGGCTGCCTGCTGGGGCCCAGTGAGGGAGGTTAACTCTTACTGTGCTAAAGTGTCTGATTTGTTTCAACACTCTAACAACCAAAGAAAACACTGATTGTATCTCTTAAAGAGCTTTTCTTCCTTCCCCATTCCACACTATGAATTTATGAATTCCAAACTTCACACTTTATGTAAATTTGAAGCTTCTGGCCAAGCGTGGTGGCTCATACCTGTAATCCTAGCACTGTGGGAAGCCAAAGCGGATGATTGCTTGAGCTCAGGAGTTCGAGACCAGCTTGGACAATGTGGTAAAACCCCGTCTCTACCAAAAATACAAAAATTAGCCAGGCATAGTGGCACACGCCTGTAATCGTAGCTACTGGGAGGCTGAGGAAGGAGGATCACTGGAGCCCAAGAAGTCAAGGCTGCAGTGAGCCATGATCATACCACTGCACTCCAGCCTTGGAGACGCAGCAAGACCCTGTCTCAAAAAAATAAAATAAAAATAAAATAAATAACATTTGAGGCTTCTTCACTTACTTTGTGCCATTTACAGGCCAGCTGCTCCTGGTGAGAATGGAGGTGTGTAGTGATCTCTCACTTCCCACTGTGTGCTTTGTGGCAGAAACTGCTGTTGTCCCCAAGTATCCATTCTCCTCTTCTTCCTTACTAATGAGACTCCCAAATTTTTGCTGGACTTGTGGCCATCCTGAATCAAGACTACATTTCCCAGTATCACATGCTGTGGGACTAGCTTTTGGCCAACATGATCTGAATCAAATGATGTGAGCAACCTTTTGTTCTGCCCTCAAATGGCAGGGGTGATGGCAAAAATTCTGGCAGCAAAAATGGATGATGTGGCCAGGCATGCTGGCTCACACCTATAATCCCAGCACTTTGGGAGGCTGAGATGGGTGGATCATCTGAGGTCAGGAGTTTGAGACCACCCTGGCCAACATGGTGAAACCCCATATCTACTAAAAATACAAAAATGAGCCAGATGTGGTGGCACCCACCTGTAGTACCAGCTACTCAGGAGGCTGAGGCAAGAGAATCACTTGAACTCAGGAGGCGGAGGTGGCAGTGAGAAGAGATTATGCCACTGCACTCTAGCCTGGGCAACAAAGCGAGACTCTGTCTCGAAAAAAAAAAAAAAAAACGATGGTGAAGGCCTATATATTAGTCTGTTTTCATGCTGCTGATAAAGACATGCCTGAGACTGGGTCATTTATAAAGAAAAAGGGGTTTAATGGACTCACAGTTCCATGTGGCAGGGGAGGCCTCACAAGCATGGCAGAAGGCAAAAGGCACATCTTACATGGTGGCAGACAAGAAGAGAATGAGAGACCAAGTGAAAGGGATTTCCCCTTATAAAACTATCCGATCTTGTGGGACTTACTACCACAAAAACAGTATGGGGGAAACCACTCCCTGTGATTCAATTATCTCCCATCAGGTCCCTCCCACAACACATGGGAATTATGGGAACTACAACTCAAGATGAGATTTGGGTGGGGACACAGCCCAACCATATCATTCTGCCCCAGCCCCTCCCAAATCTCATGTCCTCACATTTCAAAACCAATCATGCCTTCCCAACAGTCTTAACTCATTTCAGCATAAACTTAAAAGTCCACAGTCCAAAGTCTCATCTGAGACAAGGCAAGTCCCTTCCAACTATGAGGCTGCAAAATCAAAAGCAAGTTAGTTACTTCCTAGATATAGTGGGGGTATAGGCATTGGGTAAATACAGCTATTCCAAATGGGAGAAATTGGCCAAAACAAAGGGGCTACAGTCCCCATGCAAGTCCAAAATCCAGTGGGGCAGTCAAATCTTAAAGCTCCAAAATTATCTCCATTGACTCCATGTCTCACATCCAGGTAACACTGATACAAGAGATGGGTTCCCATGGCCTTGGGCAGCTCTGCCCCTGTGGCTTTACATGGTACAGCCCCTCTTCTGGCTGCTTTCATGGGCTGGTGTTGAGTGTCTGTTGTTTTTCCAGGCACACAGTGCAAGCTGTGGGCGGATCTACCATTCTGGGGTCTGGAGGATGGTGGCCCTCTTCTCACAGCTCCACTAGGCAGTGCCCCAGTGGAGACCCTGCATGGGGGCTTCAACCTCCCATTTTCCTCCCGCAGTGCCCTAGCAGAGGTCCTCCGTGAGAGCTCCACCGCTGCAGCAAACTTCTGCCTGGACATCCAGGTGAAATCTAGTTGGAGGTTCCCAAACCTCAATTCTTGACTTCAGTGCACCCACAGGCTCAACACCATGTGGAAGCTGCCAAGGCTTGGGGCTTGCACCCTCTGAAGCCATGACCCAAGCTGTACCTTGGCCCCTTTTAGCCATGGCTGGGATGCAGGCACCAAGTCTCCAGGCTGCACACAGCAGGGGGGCCCTAGGCCTGGCCCACAAAACCATTTTTTCTCCCTAGTCTCCAGGTCTGTGATGGGAGGGGCTGCTGCAAAGGTCTCTGACACGCCCTGGAGACATTTACCCCATTGTCTTGGTGATTAACATTTGACTCTTCATTACTTATGCAAACTTCTTCAGCTGGCTCGAATTTCTCCTCAGAAAATGATTTTTTTGGCTGGGCGTGGCGGCTCAGGCCTGTAATCCCAGCACTTTGGGAGGCTGAGGCAGGTGGATCACTTGAGTTCAGGAGTTCGAGACGAGCCTGGGCAAAACCCCATCTCTACAAAAAATACAAAAATTAGCTGGGCACGGTGGCTCACGCCTGTAATCCCAACACTTTGGGAGGCCACGGCAGGCAGATCACTTGAGGTCAGTAGTTCAAGACCAGCCTGGTCAGCCAACATGATGAAACCCTGTCTCTACTAAAAATACAAAATTAGCTGGACGTGGTGGCATGTGCCTGTAATTCCAGTTACTTGGGAGGCTGAGGCAAAAGAATTGCTTGAACCTGGGAGGCAGAGGTTGCAGTGAGCCAAGATCATGCCACTGCACTACAGCCTGGGTGACAGAGCTAGACTCCATCTCAAAAACAAACAAACAAAAAAGAAATGGGTTTTTATTTTCTATCACATCGTCAGGCTGCAAGTTTTCTGAACTTTTATGCTGTGTTTCAGTTTTAAAACTGAATGCTTTTAACAGCACCTACATCACCTCTTGAATGCTTTGCTGCTTAGAAATTTCTTCTGCCAGATACCCTAAATCATCTCCCTCAAGTTCAATGTTCCACAAATCTCTAGGTCAGGGGCAAAATGCCACCAGTCTTTGTGGTAAAACATAGCAAGAGTCACCTTTACTCCAGTTCCCAACAAGTTCCTCATCTCCATTTGAGACCACCTCAGCCTGTATTTCATTGTCCATATCATTATCAGGATTTTGGTCAAAGCCATTCAACAAGTCTCTAGGAAGTTCCATACTTTCCCACACTTTCCTGTCTTCTGAGCCCTCCAAACTGTTCCAGTCGCTACCTGTTACCCAGTTCCAAAGTTGCTTCCACATTTTTGGGTTACTTTACAGCAGCATCTCACTCCCATTACCAATGTACTGTATTAGTCCCTTTTCATGCTACTGATAAAAACATACCCAAGACTGGGTAATTTATAAAGAAAAAGAAGAGATTTAATGGACTCACAGTTCCACATGGCTGGGGAGGCCTCACAATCACAATTGAAGGCAAAAGCCATGTCTTACATGGTGGCAGACAAGAACAGAATGAGAGACTAAGTGAAAGGGGTTTCCCCTTATAAAACCATCAGATCTCATGAGACTTATTCACTACCATGAAAACAGTATAGGGGAAACCACCCCTGTGATTCAGTTATCTCCCACCAGGTCCCTCCTGCAACACATGGGAATTATAGGAGCTACAATTCAAGATGAGATTTGGCTGGGGACACAGCCAAACCATATCAGTTTATAATCCCAGCACTTTGGGAGGCCAAGACAGGATTATCACTTGAGGCCAGAAGTTGGAGACTTACTTGGGCAACATAGGGAGACTTCCTCTCTAAAAGCAAACAAAAAACCAAGTTATCCAGGCATGGTGGCATGTTCCTGTAGTCCTAGCTGTTCCAGAGGCTGAGTTGGAAAGATCACTTGAGCCCAGGAGTTCAAGGCTGCAGTGAACCGTGATTGTGCCACTGTACTCCAGCCTAGGCAACAGAGCGAGGCCCTCTTTCTCTCTCTCTCTTTTTTTAAACAAGGAAGAAAAAAGAAAAGAAAATAGGGTGGTGAGGAGGCTGGCCAAAGTGGTGATAACCTCGTGCACTAGGTCCTAGCAGCTGGTAGCAGGGGAGCCAGGAGGTGTAGCACTCTGCCTGGTAAAGCAGTCTGTCAGGGTCTGTTTGCCTGAGAGTTGACAGGCTGCAAGCACAAAAATATAAAAGGGGGCCAGGGACTTGCTAATCTTGCCGGAGAGTCGGCGCAGCTCAGTGCAAGGACTTGGGAAGGCAGGGAACTTTGAGAGAAGGTAAAAAGGAGGTGGATTCATGGAGAGGGAAGGGGAAAGTTGAGGGTTGGGGAGGTGTGGTGAGGAGCTGAGATCTTGGAGAGACATTCTTCGTTGGCCTAGGGACACCACATAAACACCTCTGTGCATGGTGGGAGGGACCAGCTCCTCCCCAAACACTGTTTAGATTTTGGCCTTGAAAACCATGACTACTAACGTTCCTTGGGTTTTCTGTGAGTGTGACCAGTCTCCTCAGCTCCCAGCTGGCACATAAAGGAGATGTGTTCTTTTCTTGCCGATGTGAGGCTACAGGATCTCATGAGGAACATCCCATGAACAAACAGTACGGCTGAGCCCTCACCTGCGTCTCATCCTAATCTTGGTCCTCCCCCAGCACACTCCCAGCTCTATCGCCTGGAGTTACAGACAAACCCGCAGACCAATGTGAAAAGCCAATTGCCCAGAGAAACCCAGCAGAGTCTTCAGCTACGCCTGACAGTCATCCGGGGTTAAACACCAGCCTGGAATTTTAGCTTCCTGTCCAGGAAAAACCAAATACATAAATCACTTCTCTCTCTCTCTCTTTTTTTTAATGGAGTCTTGCTCTGTCACCCAGGCTAGAGTGCAGTGGTGTGAGCTCAGCTTACTGCAACCTCTGCCTCCCAGGTTCAAGCGATTCTCCTGCCTCAGCTTCCTGAGTAGCTGGGATTACAGGCGCGCACCACCATGCCTGGCTAATTTTTGCATTTTTAGTAGAGACAGGGTTTCACCACGTTGGTCAGGCTGGTCTGGAACTACTGGCCTCGTGATCCACCTGCCTTGGCCTCCCAAAGTGCTGGGATTACAGGTGTGAACCACCACGCCCGGCCTAATAATTCATCTTACTACTAGAATTTCAGGCTTCCTTTTTAATTTGCTTGCTTTCTTGTTGGTCTGTGTCTTGGAACATAGGAACTTTCAATCCCTCCAATATGGGCTCCATCCAAATCTCAAGTTGAACTGTAATTCCCAGTGTTGGAGTGTTGGAGGAGAGGCCTGGTGGGAGGTGATTGGATCATTGGGGCAGATTTCCCCCTTGCTGTTCTCGTGATAGTGAGTGAGTTCCCACGAGATCTGGTTGTTTGAAAGTGTGTAGTAGAGCCGGGCGTGGTGGCTCACGCCTGTAATCCCAGCATGTTGGGAGGCTGAGGTAGGCGGATCACCTGAGGTCGGGAGTTCGAGACCAGCCTGACCAATATGGAGAAACCCCGTCTCTACTAAATACAAATTTAGCCGGCATGGTGGCACATGCCTATAATCCCAGCTACTTGGGAGGCTGAGGCAGGAGAATCACTTGAACCTGAGAGATGGAGGTTGCTGTGAGCCGAGATCACGCCATTGCACTCCAGCCTGGGCAACAAGAGCAAAACTCTGACTCAAAAAACAAACAAACAAACAAAACAAAACAAAAAAACAAAGTGTGTAGTACCTCCCCCTTCACTTTCCCTCTCTCCCACTCCACCGTGTGAAGAAGGTGTTTGCTTCCCCTTGCCCTTCTGCCCAGATTGTAAGTTTCCTGAGGCCTCCCCAAGCATGATTCTTGTACAGCCTGTGGAACTGTGAGCCAATTAAACTTCCTTTCTTCATAAATTACCCAGTCTCAGGTAGTTCTTTATAGCAGTGCTAATACACCCTGTTACAGGACTAATACACCTTCCCTCTGCTAAGTGTCTATTGATCTGAAAACACATGCTATGAAACATTAAAACGCTACCTGAGACCATGTGTTTCTTTTATCAAGTGAGAGATTCCTTTATAATTTGGATAATTTCACTCCGTTTGCAAGTAGGATGCTCTAGAACTGATGTTATAAAGTCAGTTTAATGATTTAAATCCCATTGTGGAGAAAATAGATCTCTGCAGAAAAGTACATCCCTGCCCTTTCCCAGCTCCCCAGTCAAGGGGGGGCTTCCTGCTGAGCCTGGAGAATGCCTCTAAGAAGGTGACTAATGTACCATATCTGGCCCCTAGTGTGGGCAGCAGGCAAGTAGTCAGGTGCCTTCTCAAGTGGAGAAAGTTGAACGCTATTTTCCAGAGACATTGGATGTGAGGGTGATCTGGCTATGACATCTGTCACCCCAGTGATTGCCACTGTTGATTCTGCTGATCTAGCTGGCTAGGTGGTGTCCCCTTCTTCCCTCACCACTCCATGTGCATCCCTCCTGAAGCTGTGTGCTCAGTTGAAGAGGAGGACCATCCCCAATAGAGGAGGACCAGTCTTCGGCTAAGGGTATACGAGTAGCTGCGCTCCCCTGCTAGAATCTCCAAACAAGCTCTCAAGGTCCAGAGACAAGATGTGAACTTCATGTCTCAATTGATGATCACGTGGTTGTGTGGTGGTGCAGATTGTGTTTTTGATGTGCAGCAGGATTTGGGCAGTACAGAGGATGATGTCAGCATATCACCATCATCCTCAGGTGGGGCAGATCATTATGAAGTCCTTGCCTCTGGTTTCCCTGGAGTCTAGGTGAGAGGTGCATGAGATATCCCTTGGGTACCTCCCTCCTCCCCTCAAGGTGAATGTTTCATCAACAAAATCAAGCTAATAGAAGTCTCAGGTTGTCACTTTTGGTGTCTTGAATAGGATATTTGTGTGAGAGCCCCTTTGATTAACCCATTGCCAGCCCCCTCCCACCCTGACCTCTGAACCTTCACAATATCCATCCCTTACCCTCCCCGCTGACCAAGTGGCTCTGGATCCCAGTCAGGCGCTAAAAATCTGCTATTTGTGCTTAGGTTAGCTTTACCCATAGCTGAATGGCTCTGAGGTTCACGGTGGAAGATCTCTAAGGGGGACAGTTTTGCTGCTCCTGGGATGGAATAGGTATGATGGTGATCCATCCACCTGCAAGTTCTGGTTTCCCAGTACGTATATGATTTAGAATTAGAAGCACATAATACATAGCCTTGTTACTGGCACCCCTTCCCCTAATCTTGCTTTCCCTTTGTATTAGGCCATTCTTGCACTGCTATAAAGAAATACTTGAGACTGGGTAATTTGTAAGAAAAGAGGTTTAATTGGCTCACGGTTCTGTAGGCTGTACAGGAAGCATAGCAGCATCTCTTTCTGGGGAGGCCCCAGGAAGCTTTCAATCACGGTGGAAGGTGAAGGGGGAGCAGGGATCTCACATGGCGGGAGCAGGAGTGAGAGAGAGTGATGGTAAAGGTGCTACACCTTTTTAAATGACCATATATCACAGGAACTCACTCACTATGGTGAGTACAGTGCTAAAGGGGATGGTACTAGACCATTTATGAGAAATCTGCCCCCACGATCCAATCACCTCCCACAAGAACCCACCTCCAACATTGGGGATTACATTTCAATATAAGATTTGGGCAGGGACACGGATTCAAACTGTATCACCCTTCATATCATCCTTTATAATACTATGCCAATCTGATCATGGCCAGGTTCAACTTCTTTTTTAAAGGCTTCCCAGAGACTACTGAATCTTATGACCCAAATCTCTTTGCATGGCAGACAACTTGCTGAAGAAAGCCTGTCTGGCTGGGTTCAGTGGCTCACACCTGTAATCACAGCACTTTGGGAGGCCTATTCAGTTTGCGCCTAGGAGTTCAAGACCAGCCAGGGCAACAAAGAGAGACCACTGTTTAAAAAAAAAAAAAATTAGCCAGGCATTGGGGTACATGCCTATAGTCCCAGCTACTGAGGAGGCTGAGGTGAGGGGATCACTTGAGCCCAGGAGGTTGAGGCTGCAGTGAGCTGAGATCACATCACTGTACTCCAGCCTTAGTGTCAGAGTGATACCCTGTCTTGGAAAAAAAAATAAAAAAGAAAGAAAGCCTGTCTGATTTCACGAAAGGTTTTTGCAGGACACGCTTTTAGTTTCCACAAAACAGCCACCCTCTACTTCCTTACTGGCAAAGCTTTCATGAATATTATTTATTTGCCATTTCAGTGCTGCTTTCTCAGATATAGGCATACCTTGGAGATATTGCGGGCCCAGTTCCAGTTCATCACAATAAAGGGAATATCTCGGTAAAGTAAGTCACTAAGTTTTTGTTTTCCTAGTGCACATAAAAGTTATGCTTACACTATATTATGGTCTATTACGTGTGCAATAGCATTATGTCTTAAAGAAGTACATACCTTAATTTTAAAATACTTTATTGCTAAAAAATGATAATGATTATCTGAGCCTTCGGAGAGTTATAATCCTTTTGTGGGTGGAAGGTGTGTTGCTGTCTGATCAGAGTGGGGGCTGCTGAAGCTTAAGTGGCTATGGCAATTTCTTAAATTAAGACAACAACGAAGTTTGCCACATCGATTCACTCTTCCTTTTGTGAGAGATTTCTCTGTAGCATGTGATGCTGTTTGATACATGTTACCCACAGTAAAACTTCTTTTGAAATTGGAGTCAATTCTCTCAGACCCTGCTGCTTCTTTATTAACTAAGTTTATGTAATATTCTAAGTCCTTTGTTGTCATTTCAACAATGTTCATAGCATCTTCAACAGGAGTAGATTCCGTCTCAAGAAACCACTTTCTTTGCTCATCCACAAGAAGCACTTCCTCATCTATTCAAATTTTATCATGAGATTGCAGCAATTCAGTCACATCTTCAGGCTCCACTTCTAGTTCTCTGGCTTTTTCTACCACATCTGCAGTTACCGAAGTCAGGAACCCCTCAAAAGTCATTCATGAAGGTTTGCACCAAACTTCTTCCAAACTTTTGTAAATGTTGATATTTTGACCTCCTCCCGTGAATCACAAGTGTTCTTTTTTTTTCTTTCTCTCTCTCTCTTTTTTTTTTTTTTTTTTTTTTTTTTGAGACAGAGTCTTACTCTTGTTGCCCAGGCTGGAGTGCAGTGGTGCGATATCAGCTCACTGCAACCTCTGCCTCCCAGATTCAAGCAATTCTCCTGCCTCAGCCTCCCAAGTAGCTGGGATTACAGGCCTCTGCCACCAGGCCTAGCTAATTTTTGTATTTTTAGTAGAAATGGGGTTTCACCATGTTGGCCAGGCTGGTTTCAAACTCCTGACCTCAGGTGATCCACCTGCCTCGGCCTCCCAAAGTGCTAGGATTATAGGAGTGTGTCACCATGCCTGGCTAATTTTATATTTTTAGTAGAGATGGGGTTTCACCATGTTGGCCAGGCTGGTCTGGAACTCCTAACCTCAGGTGATCCACCCACATCGGCCTCCCAAAGTGCTGGGATTACAGGTGTGAGCTACCGTGCTCAGCTCACAAGTGTTCTTAATGGCATCTAGAATGATGAATGCTTTCCAAAAGATTTTCAATGTATTTTGCCCAGATATGTCAGAAAAATCACTATCCATTGCAGCTATAACCTTACAAAATTTATTCTTAAATAATAAGACTTGAAAGTTGAAATCACTCCTTGATCCATAGGCTGCAGAATGGACACTGTGTTACCAAGCATGAAAACAACATTTATCTCCTTGTATCTCTGCATCAGAGCTCTTGGGTGGCCAACTACATTGTCAATGAGCAGTAATATTTTGAAAGAAATCTTTTTTTTCCTGAGCAGTAGGTCTCTCAACAGTGGGCTTAAAATATTCAACAAACCATGCTGTAAACAGATATGCTGTCATCCAAGCTTTGTTGTTCCATTTATAAAACACAGGCAGAGTAGATTTAGCATAATTCTTAAGAGCCAGAGGGTTTTCAGAGTGGTAAATGAGGATTAGCTTCAACTTAAAGCCATCAGCTATATTAGCCTCTAACAAGAGAGTCAGACTGTCCTTTGAAGCTTTGAAGCCAGGCAGGCATTGACTTTTCCTCTGTAGCTATGAATGTCCTAGATGGCCTCTTCTTCCAATATAAAGCTATTTTATCTACATGGAAAATCTGTTGTTTAGTGTAGTCACCTTCACCAATTATCTTGGCTAGATCTTCTGGATAACTTGATGCAGCTTCTTCATCATCACTTGCTGCTTCACCTCGCACTTTTATGTTATGGAGCTGGCCTTCTTTGGTTTGGGTGGCAAGGAGAGAAGGTTGGGGTTTGTTTTTGACATACAAATCACTTTTTAAAACTTCAACAATAACAAATTAATACTGTGTTTGTGTGTGTATGTATGTGTGTGTGTATGTGTTTAAGAGAGATAGAAAATAAATGTTTCTTATTGTTTGAAGCTACTTACTTTTGGGGCAATTTATTATGCAGCAATAGATAACAAACACAATGGATTTTCACCAAATTTTAAGGTTTGTTTTTTTTTAATTAAAAAATGACTTAAAATATATGCTATGTGGCATACAGCGTATCTAATTTAGTGGTTCTGTGGTATCACCTCAAAGAAATTAGCAGTTTTACACCAGAGCAAATTAAAGTGATGTATAATGTGAGGCTTGGAAAGATAGTCTATGCCTTTTAAGATATTGTGAATATAGAAAACAAACAGAAATTGCAAGTAGGAACCTTATATAGGAAGTTATAACTGTGAGCACTTCAAATTACAATAACTAATTTGCCATCCGGCTGCTTCTTACATGGGCAACTCCATAGAACCATTCTTAAGGCTCATTACAAACATACTTATTTATGTCAGTTGGTAACCGGGAACAACATAGGGTTCAGCTAGTCTTTGACACAAAAATATCATTAATTTGTTGTGGGAAGTCAGGGACCCTGAATGGAGGGACCAGCTGGAGCCAAGGCAGAAGAACATAAATTGTGAAGATTTCATGGACATTTAGCAGTTCCCCAAATTAATACTTTTATAATTTCTTACACCTGTCTTTACTGCAATCTCTGAACATAAATTGTGAAGATTTCATGGATATTTATCACTTCCCTAATACTCTTATAATTTCTTATGCCTGTCTTTAATCTCTTAATCCTATTATCTTCATAAACTGAGAATGTACGTCACCTCAGGACCACTATTGTACAAATTGGTTGTAGAACATGTGTGTTTGAACAATATGAAATCTGATTGTAAAACATGTGGGTTTGAACAATATGAAATCAGTGCACTCTGAAAAAGAACAAAGTAACAGCAATTTTCAGGTAACAAGAAAAGATAACCATAAAGTCTGACTGCTTGCAGGGTTGGGCAGAATAGAGCCATATTTTTCTTCTTGCAGAAAGCCTATAAACAGATGTGCGAGGAGAAATATCGCTGAATTCTTTTCCCAGGAAGGAATAACCCTGGGGAAGGAATGCATTCCTCGGGGGAGGTCTGTAGATGGCTGCTCTGGGAGTGTCTGTCTTATGTGGTTGAGATAAGGACTGAAATATGCCCTGGTCTCCTGCAGTACCCTCAGGCTTACTAGGATTGGGAAATTCCAGCCTGGTAAATTCTAGTCAGACCGGTTCTTTGGTCTCGAACCCTGTTTCCTGTTAAGATGTTTATCAAAACAATACGTGCACAGCGGGACATAGACCCTCATCAGTAATTCTAATTTTGCCTTCGCTTTGTGATCTTTATTGCCCTTCGAAGCATGTGATCCTTGTGGCTTACTCCCTGTTCGTACATCCCCTCCCCTTTTAAAATCCCTAATAAAAACCTGCTGGTTTTGCAGCTCGGGGTTGTCATCACGGTCCTACCAGTATGTGATGTCACCGCTGGAGGCCCAGTTGTAAAATTTCTCTCTTTGTACTGTTTCTCTTTATTTCTCAGACCAGCCGACACTAAGGGAAAATAGAAAAGAACCTACATTGAAATATTGGGGGCTGGCTCCCTCTATAATTTGTCTTCATACTTCATGGGGTTTTATGAAGGTCAAAGTAAATAATGTGAGGTTTTGGCAACACAAAAGAACTATACAGATGTATCACTGTGATTATATATCAATCAAGAAAGGTCAGCCAGGCGTGGTGGCTCACGCCTGTAATCACAGCGCTTTGGGAGGCTGAGGCAGGCAGATCACGAGGTCAGGAGATCGAGACCATCCTGGCTAACACGATGAAACCCTGTCTCTACTAAAAATACAAAAAATTAGCTGGATGTGGTGGCACGTGCCTGTAATCTCAGCTACTTAGCAGGCTGAGGCAGGAGAATTGCTTGAACCTGGGAGGCGGAGGTTGCAGTGAGCCGAGATCATGCCACTGCACTCCAGCCTGGCAACAGAGCGAGACTCTGTCACAAAAAAAAAAAAAAAAAAAAGTCAAGTTTTGCCATGGTTAAAAAAATCTTTACTTTTTTTTTTGAGACAGAGTCTCACTCTGTCTCTCAGACTGGAGTGCAGTGGCATGATCTTGGCTCACTGCAACTTCTGCCTCCTGGGTTCAAGCAACTCTCCTGCCTCAGCCTCCTGAGTAGCTGGGATCACAGGCACCTGCCACCACCCCCAGCTAATTTTTGTATTTTTAGTAGAGATGGGTTTTCACTATATTGGCCAGGCTAGTCTTGAACCCCTGACCTCAAGTGATCTACCTGCCTCAGACTTCCAGAGTACTGGGATTACAGGCTTCAGCCACCATGCCTGGCCAAAAATCTTAAGATGTTTACAACATCCAAGATTTATTTTTGCTCATGCTATATGTATTCATTGCAGGTTGGCTATGGCCCTGTCCATGTCATCTCACACCAGGACCCAGATGGCAGAGCTGGAGCAGTGACAGGTGTCATGAGAGGAGAAAGAGTCATGGAGAACCACACACTGGCCTTTGAAGCTATTTCCTGGAAGTGATATATGTTGCTTCTGCTCACATTTGATTGGCCACAGAAGGTCACATAGCCAAACCTGATGCCAAGGAGTGAAATAATGTAATCTTCCCATATTTTTGCATTTTCTATTGTTCTTTCTTTCTTCCTGATGCTCCAAGATTTCTTCTTTATCCTCTCCTGTTTGTCTCAAGAGTTCCTTTTAGGCTAGGTGTGGTGGCTTACACCTGCAGTCCCAGCACTTTGGGAGGCTGAGACAGGAAGATCACCTGAGGCCAGGAGTTTGAGAGTAGCCTGGGCAGCATGGTGAGATCCTGCTTCTACACGCACACATGCACACACACACACACATACAGAAAAGAAAGAAAGAAAGAGAAAGAAAGAAAGAAAGAAAGAAAGAAAGAATTTCTTTTAGCCATTCTTTTAGGGTAGGTCTGCTGATGACAAATTCTTTTCATTTTCCTTCTCCTAAGAATGTCTTGATTTCCCCTTCATTCATGAAGGGTATTTTTGATGGCTACAGGATACTGGGCTGACAGTTATTTTCCTTTGGCACTTGAAAAAAATGTCATTTCCTTTTGGTTTTCATGGTTTCTGAAAAGCAATCTTCTGTCATTTGGATTGTTTTTCCTCTACAAATACTGTGTCATTTCTGATTGGTTTCAAGATTTTTTAGTTTCCAGAAGTTTAATTATGATGTGCCTCTGCATGGATTTCTTTGGGTTTATTCTGTTTGGGATTTGCTTAGCATCTTGAATCTGTTATGTTTTTTCCCCCTAAATTTAGGAAAATTTTTAGCCATTATTCCTTTCAATTCTTTTTCAGCTCCATCCTGTTTCTCCTCTCCTTCTGGGACCCCAATAACATGAATGCTAGATCTTTTGTTACAGTCACATAGTTATGTTCATTGTGGTCTGAGGTTACGTTCATTTTTTTCCTATCTATTTTCTCCCTGTTGTTCAGATTGGATGAATTCTGTTGTTCTATCTTCAAGTTTACTGAGTCTTTTCTCTGTCCTCTCCATTCTGCTGTTGTGCCCATTCGGTGAATTTTAAATTTTTATTATGGCATTTTTCAGTTCTAAAATTTCCATTTGATTCTTCTTTATATCTTCTATTTCTTTTCTGAGACTTCTCCCTTTTTTATTTGTTTCAATCATATTTACAATGACTTGTTGAAACATTTTTTATGACGGCTGCTTCCTTGTCAGATAATTGCAACATCTGTGTTATCGTGATATTGACATCTGTTGTCTTTTCTTATTCTGGTTGAGATTTTCCTGGTTCTTGGTATGGCAAGTGATTTTCAATTGCATCCTGGACATTTGGATATTATGTTATGAGACTCTGGATCCTATTTATTAATTTATTTTGAGACAAGGTATCACTCTGTCACCCAGTCTGGAGGAGTGTAGTAGTGCAATCTTGGCTCACTGAAATCTCTGCCTCCTAGCTCAGGTGATCCTTCCGCCTCAGCCCCCCAAGTGGCTGGGACTACAGGCATGTGCCACCACACCTGGTTAATTTTTGTATTTTTTGTAGAGACAGGGTTTTACCATGTTGTCCAGGCTGTTCTCAAACTCTTGAGCCCAAGTGATCCACCCAACTTGGCCTCCTAGAGTGTTGGGACTACAGGTGTGAGCCATTGCACCCAGCCTCTGGATCCTATTTAAATCTTCTATTTTATCAAGCCTCCTTGATACCACACTAACAGAAGGGTGTGTGTGTGTGTGTGTGTGTGTGTGTGTGTGTGTGTGTTAGGGGGTGTTGTCTGGTTCCTGCTGAGTGAGAGGTGAAGGCTTAGGTTCCTCACTTGGCTTCCATTGGTGGGGGTAGGAAACCTCAGTCCTGCTGGGTGCAGATGAGTTTTTGGGCTACTCTCTAGGCCTCTGCTGATATCATTCTGGCTAGGAGCGGGAGGGGTACCACTAGCCATGTGGTTGCCACTGATAACCTGGGGGTAAGGTGGAGGGACAGAGGCTTTATCACCACTGGATGATGGTACAAGTTCCAGCTTTCCTCTTGGCTTCCTCTACTCAGAAGGAGTGAGAGGAACACCTCACTACCACTGAGGGTGAAGAGGAAATCCAGGACCCCATGTTACCTCCACTGACACTGTGGGGTATGCTTTTCACCGTTAGTGTGAATAAATGTCTGGGCTTTTGAGATATCTTTTCAGATTTTTTTCTATGTCTGACGACTTATGGCTCCAACTGGATCCTCCAACTGCTCCTGTGGCCCCACCCAGAAGTGACTCAGCATGTATGAGGACCATTTCCCACACCCCTATGATTGCAACCAATCAGCAGCAAGCACCCATTGCCTAGCTACTCCCCTTCTTCCCCCAAACTATCCTTGGAAAACCCTAGTCTCAGAATTTTTTCTAAGAGGCTGATTTGAGCATAATAAGACTCCAGTCTTCTCCTTCGCCAGCTCTACATGTGAAAAACTCTTTCTCTACTGCAATTCCCCTGCCTTTATAAATTGGCTCTATCTGGGCAGCAGGCAAGAAGAACCCATTGGACACTTACAGTCCCAACAGTTTTAAGTTCCACTTCTCCCAACAGTAAGTAATCTGCTCATTAACACACGCTTTATTGGCTCTTCTCCCTTCCCTGTCTCACTCTTCCCAGCCCTTCACTCAGTGCCCCTCCTAAATAAACTACTTATATCCAAGTACTTGTCCCAGGATGTGCTTTTGGAGAAACCTAAAATAAAACAGTAATTTTTGTGGCTATTCATACCTATTAATGGACATTTAACTACTTACCTTTCCTTTTCTTATTTATTTATTTCTGTATTTATTTACTCATTTTTGAGACACAGTCTCACTCTGTGGTCCAGCCTGGAGTACAGTGGTATGGCTCACTGCAACCTCCATCTCTCAGGCTCAAATGATCCTCTCACCTCAGATGCCTGAGTAGCTGCGATCACAGATGTGCACCACTACACCTGGCTAATTTTCGTATTTTTTTGCAGAGACGGGGCTTCACCATGTTGCTCAGGCTGTTCTCAAACTCCTGGCCTCAAGTGATTTGCCTACCTGGGCCTCCCAAAATGCTAGGATTGTCAGAGGCGTGTGAACCACAGCAATCCCATCTTAAATAAGAGCTGGGTAAAATAAGGCTGAAACCTACTGGGCTGCATTCCCACATGGTTAAGGTATTCTAAGTCACAGGATGAGACAGCAGGCCAGCACAAAATATAGGTCATAAAGACATTGCTGATAAAGCAGTTTTCAATAAAGGAGCCAGCCAAAACCCACCAAAACCAAAATGGCGATGAGAGTGACCTCTGGTCATCCTCACTGCTACACTCCCACCAGCGCCATGACAGTTTACAAATGCCATGGCAATGTCAGCAAGTTACCCTATATGGTCTAAAAAGGGGGGCTGGGTGCCCTGGCTCACGTCTGTAATCCCAGCACTTTGGGAGGCCGAGGTAGGCAAATCACTTGAGGCCAGGAGTTCGAGACCAGCCTGGCCAACATGGTGAAACCTTGTCTCTACTAAAAAAAAATACAAAAATTAGCCAGGCCTGGTGGTGCACGCCTGTAATTCCAGCTACTCAGGGGGCTGAGGCAGAAGAATCACTTGAACCTGGGAGGTGGAGGTGGCAGTAAGCTGAGATCTCACCACTGCACTCCAGCCTGGGCAGCAAGAGTGAAACTCCATCTCAAAAATAAATAAATAAATAAAATAAAAAATAAAAAGGGGAGGCATGAATAATCCAGCCCTTGTTTAGCATATCATCAAGAAATAACCACAAAAACGGGCAACCAGCCGCCCTCAGGGCTGCTCCATGGAGCAGCCGTTCTTGTAATCCTTTACTTTCTTAATAAACTTGCTTTTACTTTGCACTGAGGACTCACCCAGAATTCTTTCTTGTGCGAAATCCAACAACCCTCTCTTGGGGTCTGGATTGAGACCCCTTTCCTGTAACAGGATTACAGCCGTGCGCCACCTCACCTGGCCTTTTTTTTTTTTTTTTGAGATGGAGTCTTGCTCTGTCGCCCAGGCTGGAGTGCAGTGGTGCGGTCTTGGCTCACTGCAAGCTCCGCCTCCCCGGTTCACGCCATCCTGCCGCTTCAGCCTCCTGAGTAGCTGGGACTACAGGGGCCCGCCACCACGCCCGGCTCGTTTTTTTGTATTTTTAGTAGAGACGAGGTTTCACCGTGTTAGCCAGGATGGTCTCGATCTCCTGACCTCGTGATCCGCCCACCTCGCCCTCCCAGAGTGCTGGGATTACAGGTGTGAGCCAGGGCGCCTGGCCTCACCTGGCCAATTCTTGATTCTATCCTGTAAACTGTCCTTGGAGTTTTCCCCAGGTGACTGCCCTCTGACTTCTTCACTTTGTGAATCAGTCCTTCACATCTTCCTCTCTTAGTAGCCCAGAAACCCCAGGTTCTAACTTCCTTGTGACACAGGAGTTAAGAAGAAATTACTTAGGTAGACAGTGAGGTTACCGAAGTTCTTGGTAAGGTTTCTCTTTTAATGGAAAGCAGGCCCAAATCATTTTTCCTTCTAACAAAGAGCAGCCTGTAAAATCGGGCTGCAGACATAGATGACGGCAGTTGTGCCAATCATGTTCAAAATGGCGGCCCCATCATCCCTTCTCTGTCAGCCACAGGTGCAGTAAGGAGCCGACAAAATGGCACCCTCCGAGAGAGTTCATTTGCATAATAAGCTTAGGGTGGGGCGGCCAGCCTTCCCAGCTATGTAAACAAACACCTGATCAAACCAATCTGTGAGTCCTAAGTAAATCAGACGCCGCCTCCTCAAGCTGGACTATAAATTCGGCTCATCTGCCTCCAGCTGCCCCTTTTCTCTCGGAAGTCCCCTCTCTCACTAGAGAGAGAGCTGTTTTCCTTTCTCTTTCTTTTGCCTATTAAACCTTCCCTCTTAAACTCCTCGCGACTCCTCGCGTGTGTCCGTGTCCTACATTTTCCTGGCATGGGATGGCAAACCCCGGGTATTTACCCCAGACAACTGGCTGCTTCACTTGCACTGGATCTTGAGGGTCGGGGAGATTTTTGACCTTTAACAGGGACTCCATCATTGCAAGTTTTCCTTGGAGACTCTTGATGGCCCAGGTTTAGTTTATACCTACTGTGAGAGCAAGAACTTGAGTAATGTATGGATGGACCTTTTTGGAAGGAAAACAATTTTCATGGACTTAAATTATTTTTATAATTTAAATGTGTGGAAACACAACTAACTATGAATTCCTTATGCTTCAGTAGTTAAGCAGTTATAAAACCAAAGCAAAGTAGCCATAGGTACAAACAAAAGTATAAAGACAAGTTTAACATTAATGTAATAAATAGTGTTTTTCTGAAATGAAGTTGCTGCTGGCAACAGACCATGTACTGCCTGATGAAGGTTCTTCCGCACTTGGCACAATATTCCACTGTGTGCCTGGCGATGACTCAATTCTTCCCCTTCTCATGTCTGTTCAAATTACTAAGAAATCTTTGTTAGAACTTGTCTCCTGGCCTTCACTTGGTACAAATGCGACCAAGACAATTAAAGCTATAAATAGGTAAATGCAAATGCAGGTACTCACAAGCAGGGCCAGGATCAGTTACAAATGACCCAAAACATGCTTATAACACTTTTCAAATGCTACTAAGGAAAGTTAGACATGGAACTTAATAGTTTTCACAGGTATTCACGAGTCCTCAGGAGTCCAGAGACCTCAGTTTGAGAACACTATCCTAGCACTGACCTTGACTTCCAGGGTGACCTTGAGGTAAGCATTTACCATTTTTGGATCTCTGTACATTTTTTGTACACAAGAATAATTTGGGCCACCAGTGTTCTTGGGAGATAAAAGAAGTTAGAGGAGTTAATGACAATGTTCCAAGATGTTCAAGGACTAGAGAGAAAGGATAAGAATGTATTATAGACCTCTAGAGTTGGAAAAAGAATGGTGGCTGAGATCCTCCAGCCTAGCTTTGGCTCTGTAATCAAAAAGACTCAGATTTGGGCCAAGCATTGTGGCACACGCCTGTAATCTCATTACACTGGGAGGCTGTGGCAGAAGGATCGCTTGAGGCCAGGAGTTTGAGACTAGCCTACGTAACATGGTGAGACCCTATCTCTACCAATCTCTACATACAAACAAAAAATGGCTGGGCGTGGTGGCTCATGCCTGTAATCCCAGCACTTTGGGAGGCGGAGGCGGGCGGATCACGAGGTCAGGAGTTCAAGATCAGCCTGGCCAACATGGTGAAATCCTGTCTCTACTAAAAATACAAAAATTAGCTGGGTGTGGTGGCGGGCACGTATAATCCCAGCTACTCTCAAGGCTGAGGCAGGAGAATCGTTTGAACCCGGGAGGCAGAGGTTGCAGTGAGCCGAGAGCGTGCCATTGCACTCCAGCCTAGGCAACAGGGCGAGACTCTGTCTCAAAAAAATAAAAATAAAAAATAACAGGACATGATGGTGCCTGAGCCCCAGCTATTTGGGAGGCTGAGGTGGGAGGATGGCTTGAGAGGTTGCATTGAGTTATAATTGTACCCCTGCACTCCAGCCTGGGTGACAGAGAGCTTGTCTCTATAAAACAAATAAACAAACAACTGAGATCTGAATTCCAGATCTGCCATTTACTGTGTGTGTATGGGGGATGGGGATGGAGAGCAACTTTTCTAACTCTCAGTTTCTACCCTAAGTGGGCATGTTTCAAAATGCCACATCACAGAACTGCTGTGTGGGCCAAATGAGATGGCTCTGGAAAGCGCTGAGAGCAGAGCCTGGCTCACAGCAAGGCTCAGGGATCCTAAGACGCTGCTGAGAATTCCACAGGCTTTTTAGCAAAGGACAATAGAAAAGAGAAAGTGAAGATTCTAACATTCTGCCTATAAATGACAACATCTCCTATATGTGCAAATTAGGTCATTGTACCCTAAATAGCCCCGCAGCTGCCCTGGGCTTCCAGTCAGCCTTTCTGACCTCTCTCTTGGGTCTGCTGCTTTGGGGTGCTTCCTGCCATTCCCTGCCCAAGCCTGAATCTCTTTCCTGGCCGCTTTCACTTTCCTTCCATTTTCCAGTAATTGGAGTTGGTCACCTGTGCAGCAAGCGCCCCCAAGTGGCCTTCCTGTTCACTGTCCGGACCATAAGGCCTAAAGAATACTCCGATAAGTTTATCAAGGCCGGGCTTCCGCAGAGGCAGGACTCACCAGGCTTAGCGGTCGGTCCAGGGTCGGTCCAGTCTGGAGGCCCAGGGAGCCATTCTACATCCCCCTTTCCATTTTGGAAGACTGAGATGGAGGAATCCAGGGGAAGTTCTGGGTAGGAAGCAGCCACTTGCCATTAAGTGGCAATTAAATTGCTATTGCAATTTAAGGTAAATCGCAGCCCCTCTGGGCCTAGTTTTCTTTTTTCTCACTCTTTTTTTGGCGATAGAGTCTTGCTCCGTCACCCAGGCTGGAGTGTAGTGGTGTGATCATAGTTACTGTTACCTCGAACTCTGGGGCTCAAGCCATCCTCCTGCCTCAGCTTTTGGGTAGCTGGGATTACAAGGTTTTCTTTTTATGAGAGCCCTGCCCCACTCATGTCAGAGGGCCCTGAGGAGGCAAACACAGGATGGTTGAAAATGCTAGTAAAACACCTAGGATGTGCACTGCTGTCCTGGCTGGAGGCTTAGGGGGAGCACCATGGGACGTACACAGGATAAAGTGGGATTAACTCCTCCCTCCCCTCAGCCATTACTCTGAACTCTGCATCCCACATGCTGCTGCCAAAAACCACTTTTAAAAGAACACAAATCTAAACATGTCATTTCCCAGCTCAAAACCCCAAGGTTCTTTCTCCTCACCTTCAGAATAAGCCAAACTACTCAATGATAGGTTCCAAATCTGCCTTTCTGGTTTCACTCATGGGATGGACCCTTCTTCCAGGTGAGGCTGCATTTGGACATAGCCATATTCACGCCTCCCTGCCTTGGCTCCTCCGCTTCTCTGGCCAGGAATGGCCTTGCCTCATCTCTGCAAATCTTAGCATGACTTAAGGCCCAGTTCAAGCTCCAGCTCCTCCCTGAGGTCTTCCTGAGTCTTGTCTCCTGTCCCACTCAGGAGGACCTGGCCTCCTCCTTCCCTGGGTTCCCATGACCCTTTCCAGCTCTGCCTGTAGCACGGTGTTCTGTCTTCTGTGACTACATATATACGCCTAACACTCTCTAGATTGTAAAGGCCTGGAAGGTGGGGAGTGGGTTCCATTACTGAATGCATCTTTCATAGCTCTCGCTGTCAGAGCCCTGCCCTATGCAAACTCTTTTATTTTTATTTATTTATTTATTTATTTATTTATTTTGAGAGGGACTTTCACTCTTGTATCCCAGGCTGGAGTGCAATGGCGCATTCTCAGCTCACTGCAACCTCCACCTCTCGGGTTCAAGCGATTCTCCTGCCTCAGCCTCCCAAGTAGCTGGGATTACAGGTAACCGCCACCATGCCTGGCTGATTTTTTTGCATTTTTAGTAGAGACAGGGTTTCACCACGTTGGTCGGGCTGGTCTCGAACTCCTGACTTCAGGTGATCTGCCTGACTCGGGCCTCCCAAAGTGCTGGGATGATAGGCATGAGCCACTGCACCTGGTGCCCTATGCAAACTCTTATTTTATTATTATTATTTTTTGAGACAGAGTCTCCCTCTGTCACCCAGGCTGGAGTGCAGTGGTGTGATCTTGGCTCACTGCAACCTCCACCTCTCAGGTGCAAACAATTCTCCTGCTTCAGCCTCCCAAGTAGCTGGGGTTACAGACGCGCACCACCACACCCAGCTAATTTTTTTCTATTTTTAGTAGAGATGGGGTTTCACCATGTTGGCTAGGCTGATCTCAAACTCCTGACCTCAGGTGATCCACCCACCTCGGCCTCTCAAAGCAAACTCTTAATAACAACTGTTGTGGAATGACTTGGGAGGTGGCACTCAGAGATCCCAAGTGACACATGAGAAGTCCACAGAGAGAGATCATGTTTAGTGGAGTTTGGATGGTTGCTTTTATCAGTGGGCCTGTACCTTACAGATGCTATCTCATTATCTTCTAAACAGACTCTGGGCCAGTGACCATTATCTCCCTCTTACTGATGTAGACTCAGCCAAGAGAAGCCAGATGTTGAGTCGGAACCTTAACTCTCCCTCTCAGACGCAGAGCCCTGCTTTCTCCCCTCCCATTTGATACTCTGCTTCCTCTTGCATGCTGTGAGAGGCGGCCTCATTACTCCTCTTCCCTCCTCCAGTCCCTCCAAGCCTAATTCATCACCTTTGGCTTTGGGATCATAGTTTCCAAACCAAGGATTGTCTGAACATTGTCTGACAATGCCCTTTTTTTTTTTTTTTAGGCAGGGTCTTGCTCTGTTGCCCAGGCTGGAGTGCAGTGGTGCAATCATGGCACACTGCAGCCTTGACCTCCCGGGCTCAGGTGATCCTCCCACCCAGCCTCCTGGTGCGCATCACCACATCCAGCTAATTTTGGTATTTTTTGTAGAGATGGGGTTGTGCCATGTTGCCCAAGCTGGTCTCGAACTTCTGGGCTCAAGCGATCAGCCCTCCTTGGCCTCCCAAAGTGCTGGGATTATAGGCATGAGCCACCGCAACTGGCACCATTGCCATTGGTATTTAAGAGGTGATGGTTTAGGCTTTGAAATTGGGGTTGTTTGTGAAAACTGAGAGCACCTTTTGTTTTCAGATATTTCCTATGGCCATTGGTGTAATTGGAGGGAAGCTCTCGCCATATATAATATTTTTGAGACAGCCAACTAAGAAACTGGGATTCTGGTTCTCTCCAGGGTGCAAAATCCTGGGAGAAGGAAGTGAATTCTCAGGGGCCCAGAAGGAGTCTCTAAAGGACCTCTGCCAGTCAATTCTAATCTCTCTTCTCCCCTGCAAATCAGCCCCTGCTTCTGCCTCTTTCTCCGCCTCTCCTAGATTCTCCCCCTCTGGAGGGCCTGAGCTCCCGGCCACCACCCCCAATGCCGCTTTCTGTTTCCTCTGCCTCCCTTCATCTCCTTTTGTCTGGGGTTTCTTTGTCTGGGGTCTCCCTTTGGTTCTGTTTCACAGTTCTCAGCCTCCCCTCCCTTTCTCCACAGCCAGGCTGCTCAGTCCCTCTCTGCGGGGGCCTAGAGGCTCGGTGAGGGGAGCGGGACTTGGTTGCCATGGTCACATTGAAGCCAGCCGCAGCTGGCCCGGGCAGCTGCTCCTCCTGGGCCCGGGGCCCCGGACGCTCGGACAAAGCCAGGCAGCGTTGGCAGCCCCAGACCCGACCCCAAAGGCCTGAGACTGGGGTGACTGGGACCTAAGAGAATCCTGAGCTGGAGGTGAGAGGGGGGAAGCCAGAGATGAACTGGGAGGGCAGGAGTGGGCACTGGAGCTGGGCCCTCCCCTTGTGGGCAGGGACCAGGCGGTCCCCGGCTGGAGGCTGGAGGTGTGTTGGGAGGAGGGGAGCGGCCCAGAGCCTGGCAGGGAGGAGGGGAAAGAGAGGGAATAGAGTTGGGTGCCATGGTGTGGTGAATGGGCTGAGGGACTAGGGTGTCCCCAAAGGGGGACCGTTGTCCAGAAACAGGTTAGATTCTCTCTTTGGTCCTCATGTCCCCATCTGTCCCGCAGGTGCCTCTTCCTTTCTCAGCCTTTTATACTTCTCATCTCCCCGTGTCCCTTAGCTTCACACTCTGCGCCCCAGTCTCCCTCCTCTTTCCCTCCACTCTCTGTTTCACTCCAGCCCCTTCTTCCCTTGTCCTTGCTTCTTGTCCCCTTGATCTGTCTGCCCAGCTCTCAAGCCTCCTCAGTTCCCTGCCTTCCTCTCTTAGGAGTTTGTTTCCAACACTGTTTCCTTCCCGAGTCCACTTCAGTTCCTTCATCCAGTTCAGCCCTTTTCTTCCCAAACTTCAGTCTCCTCCTCTGAGCCCCTGGGGCTTCCCACCTTTTGCTGTGTGTGCCCTGTCTTCATCCTCCTTTTCCTCTCTCAGACCTGTCTCCTTGGCCTTGACCTCAGTCCATCTCCGTCTCTCTGGGAATTCTCTCACCATTGTCCCCATCTGACCATCAGCCTCCTCTCCCTCTTCTGGTCCCTTGCCCTTTTCTTCCCCAACCACAGCTGAGCTGTTTCATCTCTCTCCCAGAGCTACGTCATCTCAATCTCCTCCTTCGCTCCCTGGCCTCAGTTTCCAGTTTATTCAGTGGCATCAGGTCTGACTCACACCCAAAGCCTTGTACACTCCTTCACCCTGCCCCCCACCCGTCGCTTCTTACTCTCCCCAGCTGCTGACCCAGCCTGCTCCTCCAGAGGCAGCTGCAGCTCCCGGAAGGGGACTGCAGCTAGTGTATGTGTGGGGGCCCATCTGGTCCGTCCTCTCGCTCGCTGGTCGTGCTGGGCTTCCCTCCTGTGGCCAGGTGGTCTGCAGGCCTGAAGCTGCCTTCTCCCCTCTCCTACGTGCCTCTCCTCACATTTTTTCAGCTGTTTCCCATCCTCTCCTTCCTGGGCAGCAGGCTGCCACTGGCTTGAAGGGGAGGGAAGCCCAGGATGGGAGGGGATGGTAGAGGGTCATTTGGGGGTTCTCAGGGACACAGGGGGCCTCTGGGGTTCGGAGTGATGCAGGAGATGTGGAATGGGCTCTGGGGACCACGGATGGGTAATCAGGCCCTCTTGGTCTTTGGTGCTGCTCTCTGGGCCCCAGGATGGCTGGGATTTCCCTCTCAGGCCCCTGGGAATCTCGGCTCCGAGTCCCGCATTCCAGCTGGCTCCAGCTCCCTTTCCGTTGTCACTTGACTCCACTGGGCCCCAGCCTTGCATCCCTCCCACTCCTCCAGCCTAGAGCTGGGGCGAGGTGGGCATCACCACTAGGAATTTCTCCTGAGGCAGTGAGAAGAGGGGACAAAGGTTTCAGGACTCTCTAGCTCCTTCTGCTCTCCCCAGTGGACCCCTCTGTCTGGCACTGCCATGCCACTTAGCTGGGGTCAGCGTGGGCCTGGGGTGTGGAATGTCCCACCAGGGTATGACGGGCTGTAGCTTGCCTGGCAGGCCTGTTGGGGCTTTCCCAGAGCACAGCTCCTGGAAGGAGGGGCTGTGGGCTGCCAGGTGAGGTGACTTGGGAAGCCTTGGCCCCACCCCCAGGCTGGCCCCACCCCCAGTCCAGCGTCTCCTGGGCCTAGATTCCCCAGCTGCTGTTCTCTGGAGGGGTAGGTGTTCTGGGGGAATGAATCCCTGGGGGCTTGGTGGGACAGGAAGGCGGGAAGAAGCTGCTCTTCGAGTGACCCTGGGGCTGTCTGTTAGCAGGTCCCTCAGCCGTTGGAACGTCCTTGGGCTTCTGAACTAGTGCCCATGTGTGCCTCGGCCTTTCCCAAGGGCCAGCTTCTTCCTGGTAGTGCTTTTGTGTACTTGTCTGGTTGGGACTTCGTGTTTCTTTCTTGGGATTGTTGTCTGGGACTGCAAGCAGGGTATGTTTTTATCTACTGTGAGGTTCCTGGGGCGGAGATGTGCAGTGGAGCGAGAACTTCCTGTGACCGTGACATTGTCTAGGTGGTGAGCAGGTGTGGGGGTGTGGAGAGAGGTGAGGGGCTGAGGTAGTGCTGAGTGGGGAAAAAGCACCTCCCACCACAAGCTGTTCTGTCCCGCTCCATCCTCTGCCCAGTAGCTCTCTCAGTTGCTTTGCCTACTCAGTCTCACTGTTTCATCTTCCCTGGGTCTCTTGGTCCCCTTCCTTTTGACTGTGTGTGATTTTCAGTGTGCCTCCATCCTTCTCCTGCTCCTCTTCTTCCTCCTCCCGACCACTCAACTTTGTCCTGGCCTCATTTTTGGCCTCTTCTGGCCAGTGATCAGACCCTCTGGCCCACTACGGCCAGAGCTGGCTGGGCCTGAGGGAGGCTTGCCCTGAGGACTCCTGAGTCCCCCTCCCACTCCACTCCGTTGGGAGCCCAGGGGAATCAGGGCCTGGGCGTCTGGACCCCCGGGTCCCTTAGAACGCCCTTCAGAGAGAGGAACTGAGAGGAGAAGGAGAAGAGAGTGGGCCCGCCTTCAGGGTCTGGGGCCTTCCAGGTTGGGTCGTAGGGGCGGGAGCGCACAGGCTGCGAGAGAGGAGCAAAGGTTGGTGGAGGGAGAAGAGCAGTCTGGGGCCTGGCTGGACAGGTGAGCCCTGAGACCTGAGCTCTGCTCCCTTCTCTGGGCTAACTCCCGCAGCTGGGCTGGGCCGAGCCTGTGGGAACCTGCTTCTTCCTCTGTGCCCTGGGGCTGCTCCCCTTTGCCTCTCCCACCAGGAACCGATCCCAGAAGTAGGAGGGGCGTCTTCCCCTCGTGGGCCCTGAGCGGGACTGCAGCCAGCCCCCTGGGGCGCCAGCTTTGGAGGTTCTCGTTTGGGGAAGCGGGGGTGGGCTGCGAGTGGGTGGAGGGGGCTGGGCGCGGAGCCGGCCGGAGGCAGCGGCGCGGGCGGCTGGGCGGCCTGGGAGCGCCCAGGCGGGCTTGGCGGGCGGGTTACCTGGGGGAGGCCGGGCCGGGCGCTAGCGCGCGGGGTGGGCGTGGCGGGCGCGGGGCCTGGAGCTCGGCGCCGGGCGTGGGAGCCACTGGGACTACTGGGTCCGGGAGGGGGAAGGGAGGGCTGCGAGCCCGAACGCGCGGCGAGAAGGCCGAGGGGAGGGAGGGGAGCGAGGAGCGGGAGGAGGAAGGGAGGGAGCCGAGGCGAGGGGGAGGCGGCGCCTGGGCCCGAGCCGCCCCAGCCCTGGCTCCTCTCCCCGGAACAGGCCCCCGACAGCTGCTCTCGGGAGCCGCCTCCCGACACCCGAGCCCCGCCGGCGCCTCCCGCTCCCGGCTCCCGGCTCCTGGCTCCCTCCGCCTCCCCCGCCCCTCGCCCCGCCGCCGAAGAGGCCCCGCTCCCGGGTCGGACGCCTGGGTCTGCCGGGAAGAGCGATGAGAGGTAGGGAGAGCGGCGGCGGAACCCGCGGGCGGAGGCCTGGGGCTCTTGGGGTGGGGGCGCGCGGCGGCGCCTGCAGGGCGAGGGGCGGGGGAGGCAGGACGTCCCGAGCCATGCTTGGTCGTCCAGCTCTTCTAAGCCTCCCTGCCCGCCTCCCCGATGCTCTGGCATACCGTCTGAAAACCGGGGGCGGGGACTGGGTGGAGGTGAAGCCCGTGACCTCCCAGAAAGAGTTTTGAGCCTCCAGCCTTGAGGCAAGTCCCCTCTCACTCAGTGCGGAGGAACTGAGCCCCGGGAGGAGGTGCTCCTGTGCAGCCCCACTGAGTCAGCTCATCTATCGCCTGCCCTCCACCTGGCCAGTCCCTGCGGGCATCTAACTGCTAAGCCTCCGCTCAGCCAACACCCAGTTGGTCAGTCTGGTCACAGTCCAGCAAAAAGAGGGACTGCCACTCTAACCCACCAGTGACACCACTCTTCCCGGCTGGATGGTCAATTAGCTCTGGCATGAGAGAATGTCACTGCCGGTGAGCGCCAGCTTCAGGGTCCCACCCCCCCATGCCTGGCTCTTGGCTGAACATTTCTTCCCAGCGCTTCCAGCAGCCAGAGGCAGGCGCCCAAGCTCGCTGGCTGTTGCTGAGGGCCTGTAGGTGTGTCCAGGACTGAGTGGTGTGGTGGAGACAGGTGAAAGGGGAGTGAGTGGAAAGGCAGGGAAAGGCTGTTGTCCTTATTGCCACTCTTCCCACCCAGCGCCCACCTGTTCCCTGCCCCCTCGACGTCCCTCTGGCTTGGTCACCCATGTGTGTTAGAGGCTGGGCCCCAGTTCTCTGGGGATCCTGTGCCCAAGGGCCCGGGTGTGTGTGTCTCATGCTGTCTTTTGGTCACAGGAGCATGTGGTGTCTGTCATTTCATGTTCACAGGTGTCTGAAGGTGGCTATTCACTGAGCGATGGGGTTGGACTTGAAGGAATGCCAAGGTGTGGACGGGTTGATGTATGCATGAGCTTCTGTGTTTGCTCTGTCTCAGAAACTCTGTGAGGGTTGTCAGGGACACTGAGAGGTGGGTGTGTGCATGCCACATTTAGCCTCGCTGTTTACAGCCAGTTCAGTAAGTTTGTGTGTTTCACCGTGTGTGTGTGTACAGAGCTGTGTGGGTGTTGTCTGAGTGGGACTTGGGGGTTGGGAGAGGAGCGTGAAGGGCTTGAGGCAGGGTGGCCTGGCCCCTGGTTTGTCTTTGGTTGTAATGGAGTGGAAGGGGGTGGGATTGGGGAAGGTCTTCTGGGCTTGTCCTCTCTTGCCCTCTGGGTCTCTGACTGTGGACTGAAGACCCAGTGGAGAGAGATGAGGTGACTGGGGGTGTTGGAGAACAGACAGCCCAGACGTCTCTGTGCTTCTCCGTGTTCCTCTGCTTGGCTCTGTGCCCCGTGTTTCTGAGCCTGCTCTATTTACCTCTTGCATTGTGGCTCTCGCTCTGTCTCCGCCTGCCTCGTATCCTCTGCCTGCCTTTGTATCTCTGCCCCGGGCTCCTCTCGGCTCTGTGTGGCTCTGATGACTCATCTGGGATAGGCATGAAGGTTACTTAGGGGAACAAGAGCCCCGCTGTTCCCGAGAGAGGTGGGGTTGGAGAGCGGCACCCAGGAATTCCAAGCCAGTCTCCTGGGACTCTGGCAGCCTGCTCCCCGGCGCTGGACCCTAAGGGACCAGGCGTGATGCCTTCTGGTTCTAGCCTCTGAGTGCCCCCCACAACTCAGTCGTCCCCCTCAGCTGCTGCTTCAGAGCTCTGGGGTCTCAGCTGCCTCTTACATTCCTGCCCTAGTGCATTGTGGGAGCAGCTGGAGGAGGACAAAGGGATGGGGGAGTATCCCCCACTCCTCCTACCTCCTGGGGTGACCTGCCTTCCTTGTCTTTAGACCCGCCCTCGTCTCCAAGGCAACTCAGCCTTTCCTCAGTCCCTCAGAGGCAGCCACCTTCTGGAAGTGGGAACTGGGGGGACTGGATGTCTGGGTCTCAGGAAGGCAGAGCAGGGATAACTGGGCCCAAGATGCCCTGAACCTGATAAGAGGTGGCAGTCGAGTCCCTCAGGACTCCAGGGCCTGGAGACTTCAGTACAGGGCTCTGAGACCAGTACAGGTTAGGATAGCTTTTCCTGCAGCAGGGGAGGGGAGAGTAGTTACTTGGGTTTGTAAGGAGATGCCATTTAGAATAGTTTTATGTGGGGTAAGCTTCCTGGGCCTGAGGAACAGAGTAGGGATTTTCAAACTTTAATGGGCACAGGTCACCTGGGAATTGTGTTAAAAGGCAGATTTTGATTGAGCAGGTCAAGGGTGAGCCTGAGATTCTGATTTCTTCCATGCTTCCAGGTATTGCTGATGGTCCAGGGACCACCCTGGGCCTAGAGGGCTATAGGGGACAGTAAGACTAGAAGGTGCTGGGGTCCCCTCTGCCCTTCTCTTAGAATTCTGGACTCCTATGTGGGAGGGCAGCAGGGTGAGCTGGTCCAGGCTTATCTGATGTTTAATTCTATCATATCCTCAACAAGGAATTGCCCAACCTTTCCTGGGACATATTTATTTTTTAAAAGTCAAAATGATTTTCATATTCTTTTACATATCTTATGATTTTACATAAATGCATTTATGTTACAAGATTTAGAAAAATAGTACAATCAACCTGTCTTTTTAAATTTGCTTTTCTTTTGCCCCGTTCATGTTAACTCTTGTTATATTGTATTCTATTGTTATATTCTATTATATATTCTCTCCTTCTAGACGTACACACAGGTATATATACAAACATGGGTGCTTGTTTATTCTATTTTCAAAAGGTGGGATATTTTTTATACTTCTGTTGCTTGCTTTTCATATTCAACAGATATACATGGAAATCACACAAAGTTAGGAATATATTGCCTCTTTGTTACTTTTCATAGCTGCATAGTAGTCAATAAACCTTATTTTTTTTAATTCCAGCCTGTCCCCTGTGGGCATTCACATATCTTACAGATTTATGTCTTACAAAAGGTACCATAATAAACATCTTTGAAATCTTCTTTTTTATTTTTATTTTTCACTTTTTTTAAAGAGATGGGGTCTCACTATGTTCACCAGGCTGGTCTCTAACTCCTGGCCTCAAGTGATCCTCCCATCTCGGCCTCCCAAAGTGCTGGGGTTACAGGCATGAGCCACCAGACCCAGACCTGCACATATGTTCTTACTTCCTGGTGCTTCTCTCTCGAGGGAATGCTGGGTCGAAGAGGATGTGCATTTTTAATTATAATAGACATTGCTAGATTGCTTTCCAAATAGAAGATAACACTCATTTCTGCCATTGAGCATGGTGCCTCCCTTTTCATCACTTTCTACCACTTTTATATGTTACAGCCTTAAAAAAATATCTTGTCAGTCTGCTTGGTATTTCCCTGAGGCTGGTGAATTTGACCATTAAAAAAAATGTTTGTTGGCAATTTGGCTTTGCTTTTCTGTGAAATGACTATTCACATTCTTTGGCTGTTTCTTTATTGGGTTACTTATATATTTTTTCTTGTCAGTTCCTAAGGGGCCTTAGTTTATTGTAGTTATTAAACCTTTTCCTGTTGTATGTGTTATAAACATTTTTTGCACACTTGTTGTTTGTTCTAAGCCGTTGTTTATGGGGATATTTTGCCCATTCCTGATTGGAGAAATGGGGCTTTAGGAAGTTATTTAACTGATCTCTGCCCTAGTTTCTTCATGTGTTAAATATGGATAGTAATAGTATCTACCTTATGAAGTGACTGTGAAGATAAAATTATGGATTCTGTTTAAGGGTTTAGGCCAGTGTCTGGCACAGGGGAAGCATTCTAAAAATATAGCTGATGCTGTTAAACAATGACTGTTGTTGTTGTTTTACTGTTATTATCCCCAAAGCGGCCCATTCTGTCTGTTGCTGTCAGCTATGACTCAGTCCCCTGATTAACTTACGCACCACCCATTTTATCCCCTGCAGAGATGCTGCCCCCACCCCCTTAGGCCCGAGGGATCAGGAGCTATGGGACCAGAGGCCCTGTCATCTTTACTGCTGCTGCTCTTGGTGGCAAGTGGAGATGCTGACATGAAGGGACATTTTGATCCTGGTGAGGAGACTGAATCATGGGTCCCTGAGGGCCAGGGCTTGGGAGGTAGAGAGTTGGGGGCCTTGACCTGTTACATGCCTGCTTTTTACTCAGCCAAGTGCCGCTATGCCCTGGGCATGCAGGACCGGACCATCCCAGACAGTGACATCTCTGCTTCCAGCTCCTGGTCAGATTCCACTGCCGCCCGCCACAGCAGGTACTTGGCACACCTGGCACACTTGTAGCTGCCCCGAGAGGAGCTCCTGGGACCTCTACTTCCCCTCCAACCCCTCTGCCCATGCCAGTGAAACCCCTGCAGGCTGAGGGGGCAAATGAAGTGGGGTTTAAATACTGGAGATGGAGGCAGACCTGGGGCCAGATGTTCTCTGTGCCCCTCTTCACCCTCAGGTTGGAGAGCAGTGACGGGGATGGGGCCTGGTGCCCCGCAGGGTCGGTGTTTCCCAAGGAGGAGGAGTACTTGCAGGTGGATCTACAACGACTGCACCTGGTGGCTCTGGTGGGCACCCAGGGACGGCATGCCGGGGGCCTGGGCAAGGAGTTCTCCCGGAGCTACCGGCTGCGTTACTCCCGGGATGGTCGCCGCTGGATGGGCTGGAAGGACCGCTGGGGTCAGGAGGTGAGACTGGCAGGGGCAGCACCCAGAGGAGGTTGGCTCTCCTCACTTCCAGCTGTACTTTAAACACCACCTATACGCTGACGACTCTCCAGTTTATATCATCTCCAGACTAAGCCTCTCAGCTGAGCTCCAAACAATATTGTAAACCTGGCCACCTTTTGGATTTCTCCACTTAGATGTCTTTTTTTTTTTTTCTAATAGATGGGGTCTTGCTGTGTTGCCCAGGCTGGTCTTGAACTCCTGGGCTCAGTGATCCTCCCACCTTAGCCTCCCAAAGTGCTGGGATTACAAGCACTGTAGCCAGCCACCTAGATGTCTAATAGGCATCTCAAACGTACGTTTAACTTCCCAAGCTGAATTTGATTCCCATTCCCAGCCTAAACCTGCTCCTCCCCTGGCATTCTCCAGCTCAGGAAGTGGTATCACCATTGCCTGGTTGCCTAGGCTATAAGTTAAGATGATATCCTTGATTCCTTTTTTTCTCTCACCTCCTTCCAAAGCATCAGCAGCCCCGTCTGTTCTACCTCCATAGTGTTCCTGAGTCCAGTCACTCCTCACCACTCCACCTCTACTGCCCTAGGCCACCTGCCCGCCATCTCCAGCTTAGATGAGTGCAGTAGATGCCAAACGCGTCTCCCTGCTTCTGCCCTTTTCTGCCTGGAGTCAAATCTCCACCTGGGGGGGCGGCATCCAGTGGACCTTAGAGCATGTAAATCAGATACGTCACACCTAGCTGACACCCCCATGCTGGCTTTCCACTCTGCCAGAACAAAAGCTGAGTCCCTAGCTGGTGCAGGATGCTCAGCCTGACCTGGCTCCTGCCTGCATCACTTGTTTCTTGGCGCCTCCTTGGCCACGCTGCCTTTCTTCTTGTTGCTGGAACAAGCCAGGGCTCGTTCCCACAGCTTCTGGACATTTTCTCTGTGCCTGCAAAGCTCCTCCCCTAAATAACCACAGGCTCTCCCTCACTCCATTCAGTTCTCTGCCAGGTGTCACCTCCTTAGAGAGCCTTTTCTGGCCACCCACCTCACTGCTCTGTCCATACTTCCTGCCTCTTGTTCTTCGCAGCTGTTTTCCCTGCTGGGATCTCAGTCCTACAAGGGTGGGGAGTGACGTTCACCACTGAGAACGCGCCTGGCACAGAGCGGGCACTCAGCCAACTTCTGCTGAATGAACAGAGGGAATGGGCTGAAATGAAGGGGAAGCTGAGGCAGGGGTGCAGGGCTGTGAGGATTGGGGAGAATCTGGGCACAATGGGATGATAGGCTTGGAGACAAATGGATGGAGCCAGGCAAGGAGAAGAGGGCAGCTGAGCCTGAAGTCTGAGGATGGAACATCAGAGCTGCGACAGAGCCAGAGGTCTCAGCTGCAGATCTTCATTTCACCCATGCCTGGCTGCGCCCCACAGTGCTGTGTGCTCGGTGCCACCCCTCATGGGTCTCTAAGTGGCCACTGTGGGCTGGGCCAGGGAGCAGCTGGTGGGTGGGAAGTAAGATCTGACCTGGACTCCATCCCACCCACCCCCTGTTTCCTGGCCCACAGGTGATCTCAGGCAATGAGGACCCTGAGGGAGTGGTGCTGAAGGACCTTGGGCCCCCCATGGTTGCCCGACTGGTTCGCTTCTACCCCCGGGCTGACCGGGTCATGAGCGTCTGTCTGCGGGTAGAGCTCTATGGCTGCCTCTGGAGGGGTGAGTGGCTCAGCTTCCTGGGAATCTGTTTCCTGAGCAGGGGACTGGAGGGTGGGGAGTGTGGAGAATGGGCATCCAGGATCCCTTCTCCTGCTGGGAAGCTGTCACTCTGAGGAGGGGGCTAGCCAGCATTGTCTCCTCCATGCCAATGAGCCAGTGGAGAGATACAAGAAGGGACCTGAAACCTGCCCAGGCCTGATGCAGGGATGGGGGATGGAGCCTTAGTGCCTCTGACCCCCATCCTCTCACCCTGCCCCAGATGGACTCCTGTCTTACACCGCCCCTGTGGGGCAGACAATGTATTTATCTGAGGCCGTGTACCTCAACGACTCCACCTATGACGGACATACCGTGGGCGGGTAAGAAAGGCCCCTGCAGGATATGGAGTTTGGGGTGGGAGGGAGGACTGTGTGTGTGTGTGTGTGTGTGTGTGTGTGAGAGTGTGTGTGTGTAGGGGGGCTGGTAAGTAGGGTGGGGAGTGAGATGGAAGAGCTGAGAAGAGGGATGGGTTAGGTGGGGCCTCAAAGGGTAGCACTAGGGTGACCACTAGCCCGTATGACACTGTATGAAAAAGGCACCCCTTTGCTAACACACATTGTTGGAAATTGCTGCAATAAATATACACATCATAGATTGAAATGGTGCCCCTTAGAGGTGGTGCCTTTGTGCTGGATGTGACCTGCAAGGTACCTGTAGTGCTGGGGTGGGGTGGAGAGAGGAGAAGGGCCAGCTGCATGAGTGTGAGGTGGGATGGGAATGGGACTAGTGGATGGGAGCCAGGCTGGCCATGCCACTGTGCCGGAGGGTGGCGGAGCAGAATGCCTGGATGTCAAGACCCTCTTCCCTTCCAACCTCCTCTTCCTTGGTCCCCTCTTCTCCAGACTGCAGTATGGGGGTCTGGGCCAGCTGGCAGATGGTGTGGTGGGGCTGGATGACTTTAGGAAGAGTCAGGAGCTGCGGGTCTGGCCAGGCTATGACTATGTGGGATGGAGCAACCACAGCTTCTCCAGTGGCTATGTGGAGATGGAGTTTGAGTTTGACCGGCTGAGGGCCTTCCAGGCTATGCAGGTGAGTGAGTCCGGCTCTCGAGGAGGGCTCTGAAGCCATGCAGGGTGCCGTTGGGGTGCCCCCACCACTCCTAGCCTTGACCCTGTGCCCTCTTCCCTTCCCCCCAGGTCCACTGTAACAACATGCACACGCTGGGAGCCCGTCTGCCTGGCGGGGTGGAATGTCGCTTCCGGCGTGGCCCTGCCATGGCCTGGGAGGGGGAGCCCATGCGCCACAACCTAGGGGGCAACCTGGGGGACCCCAGAGCCCGGGCTGTCTCAGTGCCCCTTGGCGGCCGTGTGGCTCGCTTTCTGCAGTGCCGCTTCCTCTTTGCGGGGCCCTGGTTACTCTTCAGCGAAATCTCCTTCATCTCTGGTAAGCCCTGGAGTAGCCCAGTCTCCAGTCCCTGAAATTGACAACTGATTTCATTCCTAACCCTGCAGTGTCCCTAAAATACTCATTCCTTGCATTATATCTACCCATCACCCACCGAAACTTCTCAATTAGGGGTGCCCCAAATAACTTGAGCCCCTTTCTGCCTCTTGTTCTCTGCGTATCCATCTTTCCTTTGTAAGCCCCTTGCCCGTGACTATTATTGAGCCAGTATGACAGTACTGGTTGTTAAAATATTGAAATACTTCTGTATTAGTTGAGAAATAGCCTCTTCTCTAAGCCTCCAGATACCTGTCCTCCACCTCCCCACAATCCAGCAACTATAGGGTTAACACCCACCACAGCTGGGTGTTCCAGGACCCTGCTCCCCCAGCCCCCACTGGTCAGTGGTTGCCTATTGAGAATCACCCATGCTTCTGCTCCTTTGCACAACAGTCCACTGCCTCTGCCTCCCTTGGGTCTCCTCCTCATTTACCTCCCTCCTTTCTTTTTGTTCCTTCTCCCCAGATGTGGTGAACAATTCCTCTCCGGCACTGGGAGGCACCTTCCCGCCAGCCCCCTGGTGGCCGCCTGGCCCACCTCCCACCAACTTCAGCAGCTTGGGTGAGCAATCTTGGGTGGGCGTGTGGACCCTCTGCACCCTTCTCCCTGGGCCTCCCCCTCGGCTAGGGTGGGACCCTCCTGTGGTGCTGACCCTGCTGCCTCCACCAGAGCTGGAGCCCAGAGGCCAGCAGCCCGTGGCCAAGGCCGAGGGGAGCCCGACCGCCATCCTCATCGGCTGCCTGGTGGCCATCATCCTGCTCCTGCTGCTCATCATTGCCCTCATGCTCTGGCGGCTGCACTGGCGCAGGCTCCTCAGCAAGGTGGGCACAGCCGTGGCATGTGGAGTGGCGGGGGGAGGCCAGGCCCCAGCACGAGCCAGCGTCCAGTGGGACCTGCAGGGCACAGCCCACTAGCATCCCAAGAGGAGGGCTTAGTAAAGAGACCACTTACACCATGTCAAAGAGGGTATGGGGCTCACAGGGAGGGCTGCTCCCCAGCTCTGGGTCTGCTCAGCGGAGAGGAGCAAATACCACGACCCAGAGGAGAGAGCCTGTGGAGAGGGCACCTTGACAGGGGCAGTAGACTTTGGTCCTGGGATGCAGCTGGCCCGTATCTACCCCTCAGGGAGGGCCTGGGAGAATAGATGCCCTGACCTCACTTTCTGCCCCAAACTCCTGCTGGGCTCCTCTCTGGCTAACCCAAACCAGGCCTGTTGGTGCAGTGTACACTGGTCAGCCTTGGGGCAGAAGCAGGGTAGAGACAGGCAGAGAGTGGGGTTGGAGGGGCAAAGGGAAGACGTCTGGCACACCCCAAGCCACGTCTTCCGGCTGGAGTCCAGTGGCAGTAATGTACATTAAGGTTGATGACTGGACACGGTGGCTCATGCCTGTAATCCTAGCACTTTGGGAGGCCGAGGCGGGAGGATCACCTGAGGTCAAGAGTTCGAGACCAGCCTGACCAACATGGTGAAATCCCATCTCTACTAAGAATACAAAATTAGCCAGGCATGGTGGCTGATGCCTGTAATCCCAGCTACTCAGGAGGCTGAGGCATGAATCTCTTGAACCTGGGAGGCGAAGGTTGCAGTGAGCTGAGATCATGCCATTTCACTTCAGCCTGGGCGACAAGAGCAAAATTCCATCTCAAAAAAACAAACAAACAAAAAAAAAACGGTTGATAGTTATGGACTGGGCAGATGAGGGTTAGAATCTCATTGTGGGACAGGGAAGTTACCTCCATGCTCTTGAGCTTCACTTTCTCTGCCTGTAAGATGGTGCTGATAGTATCCACAGCTGTAGGGCTCTTGTGAGGGCTGAGGGAGGGAACGCAGGGATGGACACAGCAGAGGGCCAGGCCGTGTGTGCTGAGCAACACGGGTGATGCCTCCCATCCCTATGACAAGGCTGAACGGAGGGTGTTGGAAGAGGAGCTGACGGTTCACCTCTCTGTCCCTGGGGACACTATCCTCATCAACAACCGCCCAGGTCCTAGAGAGCCACCCCCGTACCAGGAGCCCCGGCCTCGTGGGAATCCGCCCCACTCCGCTCCCTGTGTCCCCAATGGCTCTGGTAAGACCTGCCTTGTTCCAGTCGCACCTCTGTCCTCTCTGCTGTTTTCTTATTGTATCCCTTTCCCATTCTCTTTTTTTCCTGTCTTCCCCAGTTTCCACTTGTTTTCTTCTTTCTGTGCCCCTGGTTACTGTCTATATCACTCTTTGTCCCTACCATGTAGTCTCTCTCAAGAGTTCCCCATGTATTACCCATAGTCCCCCGTGGTGCTATCTTGTCTGTGTCCCACAGACATCTCTCTATCTTTGTTGTACCCTCTCATTGTGTCTCCCTGGCCCCTTTGCTTTGTATTAGACTCACCATGTTTGTTCCTTCATCTATCCTCCATCACCCATCCTTCCATCCATAGTCATACATCCTTGCATCCATCCATCAATCTTCCATCATCTGTCTTTCTATCTATATTCATAAATCTATTCATCCATCCATCCACCCACCCATATCCATCATCCATCTATCCATCTATATTCACACATCCATCTTTCCATCTGTTATCCATCCATCCAACAAAACATCTGTTTACCATCCATCCATCTATTCATACGTCCCATCTGTCCATGCATTCATTATCCAGCCAGCCGTCCGTCACTCTGCAGATCCTTGTTTTATCCTGTCTGTCTCTTAATGCAATCATCCCATCAGCCCTGGTCTTGCCCTATTCAAGGTCTCCCTGTCTGTCTAGCCTTGAGTCTCATCCCTTCCCCGTGTTTCCCCTCCTCCTTCTCCCGACAGCGTTGCTGCTCTCCAATCCAGCCTACCGCCTCCTTCTGGCCACTTACGCCCGTCCCCCTCGAGGCCCGGGCCCCCCCACACCCGCCTGGGCCAAACCCACCAACACCCAGGGTAAGCCCCTCTGCCCCTGGGCTCCGCCAGGCTCCCCATACCTCTACTGGGGCAGGGAAAAGCCCTCACACCTTGCACTTCCTCCTCTCCCCACTGTGGCCTATTCTGCTCTCCTGAGCTCCCAAGGAGGAAGCTCTTGTGCCCTTAGCTCATCTCTGCTGCTGCTTGCTCTTTTTTAAGGTCCCCCCCTTGAGCTGAGGAGTAGAAAGCTTACTGGTCCCCAGCTCTTCTCCCTCCTCCTCTTCCACGCCATCTCTTCAGCTCTCCAGAGCTAGACAGGAGGTTGCTGTGGTGGCCCCAGACTATAGTAACTCCTCCTTTATTCTCCACTCTCTCTAGAGCTGCGAGGAGGAGGGCTCTCACCCCGGGCGCTTGCCCTTTCCCTCACATGTGTCCTCTCTCTGCAGTCCCAGAGGTGAAGGCTCATGCCCCAACCCTTTCCATCTGCCCCTCTTCTCCTCAGTGTTGCCTTCTCATTGTGGCCCCTTCCCCAGGGCTAAGAGGGGACAGCTCTGCTTCCTCTCCTGTCTGTAGACAACTTGTGTTGGGGCTGTGAGCAGCTGTTACCCTCCCTCCTCTCTGTGTGCCTCTGTCTCTGCTTGTTGTTGAGCTTGGTGTGTTGGGTTGAAAGGGTTGGGAGGGCTTGGCCCCAGGGGGAGCCAGGCTGAAAGCCACGGGAGAGCAGCTAAGTGAAGGGGAGGGAGCTGTGGTGAACGGGACAAGGGTTTGGAAGGTGGAGGGTGCCTGGATGCTGGGACCATCCTGAGGCGGGAGAATTCCTGGGGAGGAATTCTTCTTCCAGCCAAGATTTATCTCACAGTCTCTTGAGAGACCCTAGGGAGGCCCTAAAAGAGTAAGACTTTATGACAGTTTTGCTCAACCATATTCATTGCCTTGAAAAGCTCTGGAATAGCTAACTCTCGTCCCATGCCAGTGTCTTCCTGGTTTGAGGTTGGCGCATGGAATACTGGGAAGATACAGCATAGACCCAGTCTCTCACTCAACCGGGAGACACAGGGCCCTCCGGGAGGCTGAGGTGTGGGGAACTATAGCTCTTGGGCTGTTCCTGATGCCTCGTCCTGTCTTCTTTCCCCTCACCCCTGCAGCCTACAGTGGGGACTATATGGAGCCTGAGAAGCCAGGCGCCCCGCTTCTGCCCCCACCTCCCCAGAACAGCGTCCCCCATTATGCCGAGGCTGACATTGTTACCCTGCAGGGCGTCACCGGGGGCAACACCTATGCTGTGCCTGCACTGCCCCCAGGGGCAGTCGGGGATGGGCCCCCCAGAGTGGATTTCCCTCGATCTCGACTCCGCTTCAAGGAGAAGCTTGGCGAGGGCCAGTTTGGGGAGGTAAGGAGGGTGCCTACCCAGTGTCTGGCCCTATTGTGTGCTCTGATGCCATGCCTGCGCATCCCCCTAGCCAGGAACCTTAGTCATTTGTAACCGTGTTAATCCGTTTGACCCTGTGACCGCCTAGCAAACGAACTTCTTTCTCCAGGTGCACCTGTGTGAGGTCGACAGCCCTCAAGATCTGGTTAGTCTTGATTTCCCCCTTAATGTGCGTAAGGGACACCCTTTGCTGGTAGCTGTCAAGATCTTACGGCCAGATGCCACCAAGAATGCCAGGTGAGGACCAGGGATGGCATCTGGAAGAAGGGAGGGGAGGCCGTGAAGAGTGGGGAGCCATCTAGAGAGAACAATGGCAGAGCCCAACAGAGGGGTGGCATCTCTGGGAGGGGATTTACATGTACGCTGGGGGTGGGGACGCCTGGTCTGCCTGAGGTGGGGCAGGGGGGTGGGGGCGCGGGGGAAGGTGCAGGCCGCCCACTCGGCATTCCTCTTCAGCTTCTCCTTGTTCTCCAGGAATGATTTCCTGAAAGAGGTGAAGATCATGTCGAGGCTCAAGGACCCAAACATCATTCGGCTGCTGGGCGTGTGTGTGCAGGACGACCCCCTCTGCATGATTACTGACTACATGGAGAACGGCGACCTCAACCAGTTCCTCAGTGCCCACCAGCTGGAGGACAAGGCAGCCGAGGGGGCCCCTGGGGACGGGCAGGCTGCGCAGGGGCCCACCATCAGGTACCTGCTTACCCAGGCTGGGCCTTGCTCAGAATTCCCCCAGGGGATCTCCTCCTCTCCCCTCGCTTCAGCCTGGAGGAAAAGAGGGGAGCGTGGGGGTGGGAAGGGAGAGAGGTTCCAGGAGGGCCTGGGATAAGGAATGTGTGACAAGTTAACCCAGGAACATGGACAGAAAGGCTGGAGGTGACTATGCAAGAGTGGTGAAGGGACTTGGGCCCTGCCATGACGTCCCTTCTGCTTTCTCTCACCCTCACTCCCCTCTGAGTCCAGATTGGGGAGCACAATAAAAGAAGAGCCCCCTAGTGTTGGCCAGGCCTGGGAGATTGAGAGGGAAGTGACCCTTGGCCTCACGTGGGCATTCCACCTCCACATGGGGAGCCAGAGTGACCGGGCCCGGGGAGTGGGCTCTCTCTCCTCTCCTGGATGGGAATCTGCGAAGCTGCCCCCAGTGACCTTCTGTCGGTTCCCTTCTCAGCTACCCAATGCTGCTGCATGTGGCAGCCCAGATCGCCTCCGGCATGCGCTATCTGGCCACACTCAACTTTGTACATCGGGACCTGGCCACGCGGAACTGCCTAGTTGGGGAAAATTTCACCATCAAAATCGCAGACTTTGGCATGAGCCGGAACCTCTATGCTGGGGACTATTACCGTGTGCAGGGCCGGGCAGTGCTGCCCATCCGCTGGATGGCCTGGGAGTGCATCCTCATGGTGAGCAGCCCGAGGACAGCCAGGTTGGAGCAGGGCAGGTGGGAGAACACTGGCCGCCACTCACAGCCCTGGTCTCCATCAGTCACACACTTTCTCTGGGTTGCATTTTACAGAATCTCATCTATAATATGAGGTTCTCCTAGCCCAAGGGACTGGGGAAAGCAGGAGCTGCAGTGTGATGGGCAAGAATCCAGGAGCCAAGAGTGGGTACTGGGGATGGAGACAGGGTGGCAGAGAGCTCAAGAGATGAGGTTGGGCGAGGAAGCTGGAGATAGAAGGGGTTGGGTAGGGAGACCGAAGGTCAGGACCAGAAAGTGGGGGTGGATGGAGAGGAAGGAGGAGCAGAAGGAAGAGGTGGGCCAGGGCCCTGGAGAGAGGACCAGAGCATGGAGAGGAAAGGCAGAGCCCAAGGGAGAGGAGTTGGAAAAGGTGGCCAGCGGAGGAGAGTGGAGAGCCTGGCGTCAGGAGGGATCAGGCCTGAGTGGAGCCCAGAGTGGATCTGGGGCTTCCAATAGGAAGGGAGGAGGGTCTACGTTGCCTGATGTCCCTGTCTGTTTTTGCTGCCTTCTCTGCATCCCAGGGGAAGTTCACGACTGCGAGTGACGTGTGGGCCTTTGGTGTGACCCTGTGGGAGGTGCTGATGCTCTGTAGGGCCCAGCCCTTTGGGCAGCTCACCGACGAGCAGGTCATCGAGAACGCGGGGGAGTTCTTCCGGGACCAGGGCCGGCAGGTCAGAGTGGAGGAGAGGGAAGATGGGTCCGAGGCGGGGGACAGAAGGGGCAGAGTTGTCATCTTGGAGACTAAAGAATATTTGTTCCCTGACTCTCATCCACACTGCCACAATGCAGGTGTACCTGTCCCGGCCGCCTGCCTGCCCGCAGGGCCTATATGAGCTGATGCTTCGGTGCTGGAGCCGGGAGTCTGAGCAGCGACCACCCTTTTCCCAGCTGCATCGGTTCCTGGCAGAGGATGCACTCAACACGGTGTGAATCACACATCCAGCTGCCCCTCCCTCAGGGAGCGATCCAGGGGAAGCCAGTGACACTAAAACAAGAGGACACAATGGCACCTCTGCCCTTCCCCTCCCGACAGCCCATCACCTCTAATAGAGGCAGTGAGACTGCAGGTGGGCTGGGCCCACCCAGGGAGCTGATGCCCCTTCTCCCCTTCCTGGACACACTCTCATGTCCCCTTCCTGTTCTTCCTTCCTAGAAGCCCCTGTCGCCCACCCAGCTGGTCCTGTGGATGGGATCCTCTCCACCCTCCTCTAGCCATCCCTTGGGGAAGGGTGGGGAGAAATATAGGATAGACACTGGACATGGCCCATTGGAGCACCTGGGCCCCACTGGACAACACTGATTCCTGGAGAGGTGGCTGCGCCCCCAGCTTCTCTCTCCCTGTCACACACTGGACCCCACTGGCTGAGAATCTGGGGGTGAGGAGGACAAGAAGGAGAGGAAAATGTTTCCTTGTGCCTGCTCCTGTACTTGTCCTCAGCTTGGGCTTCTTCCTCCTCCATCACCTGAAACACTGGACCTGGGGGTAGCCCCGCCCCAGCCCTCAGTCACCCCCACTTCCCACTTGCAGTCTTGTAGCTAGAACTTCTCTAAGCCTATACGTTTCTGTGGAGTAAATATTGGGATTGGGGGGAAAGAGGGAGCAACGGCCCATAGCCTTGGGGTTGGACATCTCTAGTGTAGCTGCCACATTGATTTTTCTATAATCACTTGGGGTTTGTACATTTTTGGGGGGAGAGACACAGATTTTTACACTAATATATGGACCTAGCTTGAGGCAATTTTAATCCCCTGCACTAGGCAGGTAATAATAAAGGTTGAGTTTTCCACAACTGTGTGAGTGGGTTCCTTGGGAATTTGGTAACTCTGCCTCCTGCACCTCCCTCTGAACCCACTTCCCAACCCACTTCCCATCTTCCTTTTTTCCTGCCTCCTCATTCCATTTCCCATCACCTGTTTTGCCCAGCATTGTGTTCTGTTTCTGGATAATCCAGGCCTTTGCCTGTGGGACCTCAGGAGATGCATGAATGTCTGAGTGCATGAACCTTCTCAACTCAGAGGGGTGCTCTGGTGGAGGCCTGGAAGGAATGCAGTCAGGCCAGGGGTGCTGAACCTTTTTTGTGCCATAAACGCCTTTGGCAGTCTGTAGAGGTCTACTGAGTCCTCCTCAGAATTAGGTTTTAAAACCTATAAAATGGACCAGGCATAGTGGCTCACCCCTGTAATCCCAGCACTTTGGGAGGCTGAGGTGGGTAGATCACTTGAGGCCAGGAGTTCGAGACCAACCTGGCCAACATAGCAAAACCCCATCTCTACTAAAGATACAAAAATTAGCAGGGTGTGGTGGCATGCGCCTGTAATCTCAGCTATTCAGGAGGCTGAGGCAGGAGAATTGCTTAGAACCCGGGAGGTGGGGGTTGCAGTGAGCTGAGATCACACAACTGTGCTCCAGCCTGGGCAACAGAGTGAGACTGTCTCAAAAACAGAACAACAACAACAACAAAACCCATAAAATGTATAGGATTATAAGGGAAACCAATGGAAACAGTTTACCAAAATGCTAAAAAATTATGAAACTAATGTGCTTCTTTTTCATGTATTTAATAACAAGATCTAAAAACAGGTGTAATAAACTGACATTTTCCAAATACTAATGAGCATAAGCCATATTTGAGATTTCTACAACAGTCACAGTGAGACATAAAAGTAGCTGTGGTGTCAATTAGTGACAAGTCACAGGTACTGCTAATACTACTGGTGGTTTTACCCATATTCATAATTGGAGGAAATGCTAAACTTCTATTAGAGGTTAGTAAAAGGTGTAATTTCTTTTTCTTGCCCAAATTCTAGAACCCATCTGGCTCCCCAGGGTCTGGAAATCCCAGGGGAGAATCCCTGGGTTATGCTGATCAAGTGTGCAAATGCCCCACTGGGGGTAGGGGATAGGTTGTTGGAATGGAAACCAGAACCAGAAACCAGAATCAAGAGCCTCAGTTATCTCAGAGGCTTGGAAGGATGAGCTGCAACCACCAAGAGAACAATTAAAGGGTTCAAATTTGGTTGGAAAGAAAAAATCGGCCAGTGGGGTGGCTCATGCCCTGTAATCTCAACACTATGGAAAGCTGAGGTAGGAGGATTTCTTGAGCCTAGGAGTTTGGAACCAGCCTAGGCAACATAGCACACTCTGGCCCCCATTTATACATATATATATAAAACTAGCTGGGCTTAGTGGTGTGCACCAGCAACTCAGGAGGCCAAGGTGGGAGGATAACTTGAGCCCAGGAGGTTGAGGCTGCAGTGAGCCATGATTGCATCACTTCACTCCAGCCTGGGTGACAGAGCAAGACCCTGTCTCAAAAAGAAAATTAAAAGTCAGTTGCAGGGATGGGACAAGGCAGACCCATCTTGATGGCCATTCATGTGAAATAAAAACCCTGGGGTTTTGGTTGATGATATTCACAAAATGAGCCAATTGGATAATGAGGATCACAGTAAAGATAAATCAATGTGAAGTTGAATTAATAGGCCCTTGGGGCCTAGGTCCCGAATCTAATAGTCCTGCTAAAACTTACACAGGTCAAACCACTGTGCACTATGATTTAAGTTGTGTACCGATAGGTTAGAGTTTAGAGGCCAGATCCCAGAATAATGAGCGATGGAAGCCACGGCAGTGAGCCTGATAACCCAAATCTCTGAGCTGTCTTTCAAGCAGAAACACCTGGAGTTAATTTTTTTTTTTTTTTTTTTTTGAGACCTGGTCTCGCTCTGTCACCCAGGCTGGAGTGCCGTGGCGCAATCTCAGCTCACTGCAACCTCCGCCTCCTGGGTTCAAGCGATTCTTCTGCCTCAGCCTCCCACATAGCTGGGATTACAGGTGTGCACCACCATGCCCAGCTAATTTTTTTGTATTTTTAGTAGAGACGGGGTCTCACCATATTGGCCAGGCTGGTCTCAAACTCCTGACCTCGTGATCCGCCCACCTTGGCCTCCCAAGGTGCTGGGATTACAGGCGTGAGCCACCGTGCCCAGCCCCACCTGCAGTTAATTTAAAAGTCAGGCCCTGCTTGTCCAAACCTGCTTCTCCTCCACAGTCTACTGACTCAGTGAATGGCAGCATCATCCACTTAGCTGCACAAGCCGCACAAGGTGGCATCCCCGAGCTCCTTCTCCCTTACCTTCCACCTCTCAAGTCCAGTCCAGCACAAAACGCTGTTGATTTTGCCTCCCAAATCTCCCTGGAACTTGTCATCTCTGTCTCCATCGCCCTCCTGGCACATGCTGCCTCCATCTTGCCTGGACTCCTGCAGTGGTCTCCCAGCTGTCACCCAGATCTGCCTCTGCTCCTCTCTGGGTTGTTTTCCACCCTGCAACCACAGTTATCTTTAAAACACACAAATCTGACCCTAATCCTTCATTTCAAATCCAGCAGTGACTTTTCATTAATCTTAAAATGAAGAACAAAATCCTTCTGGCCAAGGTTGGCCCCCACATACCTCTCCAGCGTCCTCCCCCACCCGCTTGCTTTCCTCTGTGGGCCACTGGCCTTCTTTCAGATTCACCCAATGGGCCACAGTACTTCCTGCCACGTGGCCTTCGTGGCATGCTGTTCCCTCACCTGGAACAATGTTCCCTGCAGTCTGTGCCTTATTAACTCCTGCTTGTCCTTCAGCAGTCTTTCCTGACTTCCCCAACCAGGTCAAATTCCCTACTGATAATCTCAGAGGACATGAATCTCTTCTTTGTGGCACTTACTACGTGTGTAATTTTACATATCTTTTTATACCTGCCCCTCCCACCAAACTATAAGTTGCACAAGGGCAAAATCTTGGAACACAGGGCTCAATATTGGTTGAAAGAAAGAATTGTAGCAAATATCTGATAGACTAACATAGATTCTATGTAGTTACAGAACTAGAACTAGGATTAATAAGTGAAAGTTACAATAATGATGATAATATATTACTGAGCACCCACTATATACCAGGTATTGAAATTACGACATATTATATCTTACTTAATACAACAATATATGAAGTAGTTAAAATTACTTTGCACAGAGAAGAAAATTCTGTTAGGTTAAGCAGCTTGCCCAAAGTAGCAGTCAGTCAACAGTAAAGCCTGTGGGAAGTGGGTCTGTGGGCTCCTGGCTCTCTGTTCCTTTTTTTTTTTTTTTTTTTTTTTGAGACAAAGTCTTGCTCTGTCACCCAGGCTGGAGTTCAGTGGCACTATCTCCGCTCACTGCAACCTCCGCCTTCTGGGTTGAAGCGATTCTCCTGCCTCAGCCTCCTGAGTAGCTGGGATTACAGGCACCTGCCACCATGCCCGGCTAATTTTTGTATTTTTAGTAGAGACTGGGTTTCACCATGTTGGCCAGGCTGGTCTTGAACTCCTGATGTCTTGATCCACCCTCCTCGGTCTCCCAAAGTGCTGGGATTACAGGTGTGAGCCACCACGCCTGGCCCTGGCTCTCTGTTCTTTCTCTCCAGGATGCTGCCTGAGAGGAGGAGGTCATGAGCTCCCTATCACAGGAATTTTCTTTTTTGAACTACCATGCCCACTAACATGCTGGCCAACACGGTGAAACCCTGTCTGTACTAAAAATACAAAAAAAAATTAGCCAGGCATGGTGGTTCACGCCTGTAATCCCAACTACTCGGAAGGCTGAGGCACAAGAATCGCTTGAATCTGGGAGACAGAGATTGCAGTGAGCCAAGATTGTGCCACTGCATTTGACCTGGGTGACACTGTAAGACTCTGTCCCCTCACCCCCTCCAAAAGAGGTGTGCCTATTTCAATTTTTTTTTTTTTTTTTTTTTTTTTTTTTTTTTTTTAATTTGAGACAGACTCTCATTTTGTTGCCCAGTCTGGAGTGCAATGGTGTGATCTCAGCTCACTGCAACCTCCACCTCCAGGGCTCAAACAACCCTCCTGCCTCAGCCTCTCAAGTAGCTGGGCCTACAGGCATGCACCCTCATGCCCAGCTAATTTTTTTATTTTTTGTAGAGACAGGGTTTCACCATGTTGCCCAGGCTGGTCTCAAACTTCGGGGCTCAAGTGATCTGCCTGGCTTGGCCTCCCTTCAAAGTGCTGAGATTACAGGCATGAGCTACTGGACCCGGCCTCAATTTTCAGCAAAAGTGTATGAGTATGCTCCTATACCCTGGTCAACATTGAGGTTGTCAATCCTTAATTTCTTTTTTGCTGAACTTTTATATTTTAATTTTATTTATGTATTTATTTTGAGATAGAGTCTTGCTCTGTTGCCCAGGCTGGAGTGCAGTGGTGTGATCTCGGCTTACTGCAACCTCAGCCTACTGGGTTCAAGTGATTCTCCTGCCTCAGCCTCCCAAGTAGCTGGGATTACAGGCGCCCGCCACCATGTCTGGCTAATTTTTGTATTTTCAGTAGAGACGGGGTTTCACCCGCTCAGGCTAGTCTCGAACTTCTGACCTCAAGTGATCCACCCGCCTCGGCCTCCCAAAGTGTTGAGATTATAGGTGTGAGCCACTGCCTCCGGCCGATTTATTTATTTTTATTTTTATTTATTTATTTATTTTGAGATGGAGTTTCACTCTTGCCCAGGCTGGAGTGCAATGGTGTGGTCTCAGCTCACTGCAACCTCTGCCTCCCGGGTTCAAGTGATTCTCCTGCCTCAGCCTCCCAAGTAGCTGGGATTACAGGCGCCCGTCACCATGCCAGCTAATTTTTGTGTTTTTAGTAGAGACAAGGTTTCTACTAAAATGTTGACCAGGCTAGTCTGGAACTCCTGACCTCAGGTGATCCACCCACCTTGACCTCCCAAAGTGCTGGCATTACAGGTGTGAGCCATGGCGCCTGGCCTATATATTTATTTTTAAGAGACAGTCTAATTCTGCGGCCAGGCTGGAGTGCAGTGGTGTAACTGTAGCTCACTACAGCCTTGAACTGCTGGACTCAACCGATCTTCCTACCTCAGCCTCCTGAGTAGCTAGGACTTCAGGTGTGTGCATACCGAGCTAATTTCTTTTTCTCTTTTCTTTTCTTTTCTTTTCTTTTTTTTTTTTTTTTTTTTTTTTGAGACAGGGTCTCACTGTATAGCTCAGGCTGGAGTGCAGTGGCATGATCACAGCTCAGTGTAGCCTTGACCTCCTGGGTCCAAACAATCCTCCTGCCTCAGCCTCCTGAGTAGCTGGGACCACAGAACCAGGCCTGGCTAATTTTTTGAATTTTTTTTTTTTTTTTTTGAGACAAAGTCTCGCTCTTGTCCCCCAGGCTGGAGTGCAATGGTACGATCTCAGCTCACTACAAACTCCACCTCCCGGGTTCAAGCGATTCTCCTGCCTCAGCCTCCCGAGTAGCTGGGCTTATAGGCGCCTGCCACCACGCCCGGCTAATTTTTGTATTTTTAGGAGAGACGGGTTTCACCATGTTGGCCAGGCTGGTCTCGAACTCCTGATCTCGGGTGATCCACCCACCTCGGCCTCCCAAAGTGTCGGGATTACAGGCGTGAGCCACCGTGCCCAGCCAATTTTTTGATTTTTGAAACATTTCTGATATTCTGTTTAACTTTCTTTTTGCTTTGGCCAATCTTTCTTTCTCTTTCCTTCTTTCCCCCTCCCTAACCCTCCCTTCCTCTCCCCTCCCCAATTCTCCCCTCTCCAGTTCTCCCCTGTCCTCTCCTCTCTTCCCCTCTCCTTTTGGGACAGGGTCTCACACTGTTGCTCAGGCTGGAGTGCAGTGGTGCTATCATTGCTCACTGCAGCCTCAATCTCCTGGGCCCAAGTGATCCTTCTACCTCAGCCTCTTGAGCAGCTGGGACCGCAGGAGAGCACACCACTACACCTAGCTAATTTTTGTTTTGTTTTGTTTTTGTAGCGATAGAGTTTCTGTATAATGCCCAGGCTGGTCTGGAACTCCTGAGCTAAAATGATCCACCTTCTTTGGCCTCCCAAAGTGTTGGGATTACAGGCCTGAGCCACCCCGCCAGGCCTCTTTCTTTTCTTTTTCTTTTCTTCTTCTTTTTTTTTTTTTAAGCTGCTCCTTGCTGAGCAGGGCTAACTAGTAAGCAGTGGTCTGTCCCAATCTTTCTATTATGTTTCTTTTTCTTATTGCTTTGTAACAGCTTTTTGTATTTTGTTTATTTCATCAACCATTTCTTCCTAGATTGTAAATTGTCTTTCAACCTTACCTAAAGTTTGCCATAAAGAAGCTCTGTCAATTTTTAGCTTTTCTTTGAAGATTTTAAAACATTAATTGCTAAAAAGACAGGGACAACAGAAAACATGGGTGGGCTACAAAGTATAAAAAGTCTTGCATAGTCATTACCATTTTGATCCCTGGTTGCTTGCAAATGTGCTTCAAATCCCAGCTTGGGCACTTCCTGTCTGATTGTAGGGATTTTTTTTTTAATTTTTTTTTTTTTAGAGATGGGCATCTCAGGTTGGGCTCAGTGGCTCATGCCTGTAATCCCAACACTTTGGGAAGCTGAGGCAGGTGGGTCACCTGAGGTCAGGAGTTTGAGACTAGCCTGGCCAACATGTTGAAACCCTATCTCTACTAAAAATACCAGAATTAGCCGGGCGTGGTGGCACACACCTGTAGTCCCAGCTACTTGGGAGGCTGAGGTAAGAGAATCGCTTGAACCCGGGAGGCTGAGGTTGCCGTGAGCTGAGATCATGCAACTGCACTCCAGCCTGGGTGACAGAGTGAGAGACTCCGTTTCAAAAAAAAAAAAAAAAGAGAGAGAGAAATGGGGGTCTCCCTCTGTCACCCAGGCTGGTGCGATCATAGCTCACTGTAGCCTCAAACTCCTAGTCTCAAGCGATCCTCCTGCCTCAGCCTCCCAAGTAGCTGGGGGTCACAGCTCTGAGCCACCTCGCCAGGCTGCAGGCAAATTTCTTAATCTTGCCGGGCTCCAGTCTTCCAGTCTATAAGGTGGGAATAACAAAATTTGCATATAGGAATTTGGGGAAACGTGTAGTTCTGGGTTTGGGTGAAGACCTCCACTTTTGTAGTAGGTTCATAAATCAAATCAGAGCAAATAGTTGGTGTCTTAAAAACTGTATTTATCTGGGTCTTCTAAGTAAACGGTTTGAGGAGTGGTGGAGGCAGAAATTAAGATTTACTGAGTACTTAGGGTCAAGTAAGGTGCACTGGATCGTGTTAATCGTTAACTCGTGGAAACCGCCCAGAGTGTGTACGCTTTCTTTCTTTTCTTTCCTTTTCTTTTTTTTTGAGACGGAGTTTCACTCTTGTCGCCCAGGCTGGCGTGTAATGGCATGGTCCTGGCTCACTGCAACTCCGCCTCCAGGGTTCAAGCGATTCACCTGCCTCAGCCTCCAGAGTAGCTGGGATTACAGGTGCCCACCACCACGCCCGGCTAATTTTTGTATTTTTAGTAAAGACGGGGGTTTCACCATGTTGGCCAGGATGGTCTCGAACTCCTGACCTCGGGTGATTCGCCGCCTCGGCCTCCCAAAGTGCTAGGATTACAGGCGTGAGTCACCGCGCCCGGCCTGGAGTGTGTATTATCCCAATTTTATGGGGAGTAATTGTGCTCACTCGGCTCACCACCAAGTCGCCAGAGCGCGCCTCCGCAAGGAAGCCCTCCAGGCACTTCTACTTTCCCGGACCCGCCTCCCGCTCCAGCCGGTTACACGCGCCGTTAGCAGCGTGGGCGGAGTTGGTTCTGCCTTCGCGGAACCAACTGGTCCAGCTTCTGGTGTCTCCCCTCGCTCAATTAAAAGCCAGCTCCTCTCCTTTCGGCTTCCCCACGGTGCCTTTCGGGATTTGTAGTCAGACGCGCTTCAGCCGGCTCTAAGGAGAGCAAAGGCAAGACTCCAATTCCCAGCATCCCCCGCGCCCGGAGAGTGCAGCGTCTATTCTCATCCTCTTCACTTTTCCACTCCTCCCCTTACCTCCCTTCTCTTCTGAATTCTCCATTCTGGGCTCTTGCCTGTGAAATCTTTCTTTGCTTTCCCCATCTTTTCCTCGCATTTTTTCACCATCTTTCCCTCAATCTCCAGGAGCCAATGCGAGACTTTGGCTCCGATTAAGCGACGGCCCGAGACTCGGGGTGCGCGAGGAGGATCGACAGAGTGGTGAGGGGACCTAGGAGGGCGGGAGTGGCAGAGGTATGAGAGAGAGAGAGGTGAGTGGGAGGCGAAGAGTGAGAGGAAGGCAGGGAGAAGCTAGGAGATCGGAAGGCGTGGGTCAGGGTGAATGACGTGAAGTAGACTTGGGAAGGGAAAAGAGGTGGCTTTAGATTTGGGAAGCATGGAGGGGAGAGGTTACCGCCGTACTTAGCAGAAGTGGGCTAAGAGATAGAAGATAGGAAGGACGGGCAGATTTGGAGCTTGTAGACTGGTCTGACCAGGATGGGATGGAAGAGAGAGGTGTGGGCTCAATTTTCTTTGTCCCTGTTTAGCCAAAGATGAGACAAGTCATTGAAATACAAAATGATCTTGCAAACACTGGACAGTTAACAATTCTGTCACTTGGTAATTGAGGGAAGACTGGAGTTGAAGGGCAGAAATAGGGTGAGGAGGCAAGAAAGGGAGGGAGATTGGTCAGGTTTGGGAGAAACCAGAGGAGATGAGTGACATGGGAAAGGAGACCACAGAAAAGGTGGGGTTATTGTGGGGACTGATGGATCTGGAATCAGTTAGAAAGGTCAGGGGTGACACTGGCATGGATGGTGAGGTTGCACTTCTGACGTTTGCATTCCTCAGGTGATGGAGAGCACCCCTTCAAGGGGACTGAACCGAGTACACCTACAATGCAGGAATCTGCAGGAATTCTTAGGGGGCCTGAGCCCTGGGGTATTGGACCGATTGTATGGGCACCCTGCCACATGTCTGGCTGTCTTCAGGTGAGAAGCCCCTTCATGGCAGGGAAATGTAATGGGGTCTGCGGAGTGGAATAAAATATCATAGGTAAAAGTGTAGCAGCCTGGAGTCGGGGTGGGGACTGGGGGCAAGGGTTGGAAATTGCTCTAAAGTGTGGAGGCCAAAACAGCAGGACTGGTAAAGTTGTGCTGGAGTGAGATGAGATGTTTGAGAGGTAATTGAGGGCAGAGATGCAGATACAATGCAGCTTCTGATACTAACCTTTGACCTCTGTTCCTGTACAGGGAGCTCCCATCCTTGGCTAAGAACTGGGTGATGCGGATGCTCTTTCTGGAGCAGCCTTTGCCACAGGCTGCTGTAGCTCTGTGGGTAAAGAAGGAATTCAGCAAGTAAGTCTCAGCCAGATACAAATTTCTCAACAGCTACATTTCCCAAACTGCTGTTCCTTGGAGCACTTCCAGGAAGTGTTAATAGATATATCACAAAACTTAAAAATAAATACATTTGGGAAACTCTGCATATTGCCTTTTCCCTTTTATTTATTTCCCAGCTGAGATCTTGCTTTCAAATGTATCTTCCCTCTTAAAGAGTTATGTGTGATATCTGTAATGAGGCTCTGATAAGTAATGCAGTAAAGAATTTGTCTTAGGAAGATACTAATTTCACTCTGTGGAACAGTGTTCCAAGGGTCAGCAAGTTCAGAACAGGCAGAGATGGTGGCTTTTATGGGCCTCCTTTTTGTTTTCCAAATACCCTACTCACCTCTCTGCTTCTGTTCCAGGGCTCAGGAGGAAAGTACAGGGCTGCTGAGCGGCCTCCGGATCTGGCACACACAGCTGCTCCCAGGCGGGCTCCAGGGCCTCATCCTCAACCCCATTTTCCGCCAGAACCTCCGCATTGCCCTTCTGGGTGGGTATGTCACTTCTCTCTCTTCCTAAGCTAGGGCAGGGGAACTGCTGCTTATTAAACCACTAATTAAACTTTGGGAGGGGGAGCTCCTGGGGGCCTCCCCAGAACCTTGTGGTCTCCACGTTGGGAACTCCTTTAGGAGTAAGTTGGACCAGATGTAGTGTGTGGTGTAGGAAATGTCCCCCACTCATGGCCCCTGAGGATAAGGGTGGAAAGATGGCAGAGGGCAGCAAGGAACACAGACAGGGTTCCTTACTCTTTTTTTGTTGTTCTGTTTTGTTTGTTTTTGAGACAGAGTCTCACTCTGTCACCAAGGCCAGAGTGCAGTGGTGTAATCTTGACTCACGGCAGCCTCTACCTCCTGGGTTCAAGTGATTCTCCTGCCTCAGCCTCCTGAGTAGCTGGGATTACAGGCACCCACCACGACGCCAGGCTAATTTTTTGTATTTTTAGTAGAGATGGGGTTTCGCCATGTTGGCCAGGCTGGTCTTGAACTCCTGACCTCAAGTGATCCGCCCATCTCGGCCTCCCAAAGTACAGGGATTACAGGTGTGAGCCACTGCGCCTGGCCAGGGTTCCTTACTCTTGGCCCATCCTGGCCGTAGGGGGAAGGCCTGGTCTGATGACACAAGTCAGCTGGGACCAGACAAGCATGCCCGGGACGTTCCCTCCCTTGACAAGTACGCCGAGGAGCGATGGGAGGTAAGCACTTGGGAGTGTGTGTGTCTCTGCTTGTGCTTCTACTTCCCATGGCCCTTGGGGCATGGTCTCCCTGTTCTCTTCTGTTCTTCAGGTGGTCTTGCACTTCATGGTGGGCTCCCCCAGTGCAGCTGTCAGCCAGGACTTGGCTCAGCTCCTCAGCCAGGCTGGGCTCATGAAGAGGTGAGGAAGCCGGAGGTACAGCAGCTCTCTGCTGTGCCATCTCCTTGGGTCCCTAAGAAATGGTATCTGGGGCTAGTCAAGATCAGAGGACATTAGCTGGAAAAGGCAAGCTGAGTAGAATATAGCCAGAGATACCAAGAAAAAACGTGAGTGGACAAGTGGGGATAGTAGTCTTTCTCTGCATATCACCATCATTGTCCTGGTCTTTGTCTCTAGTACTGAACCTGGAGAGCCGCCCTGCATTACTTCCGCTGGCTTCCAGTTCCTGTTGCTGGACACCCCGGCTCAGCTCTGGTACTTTATGTTGCAGTATTTGCAGACAGCCCAGGTGAGGAGGCAGGGCCACTTAACCAGCATGCTCTGCTCCTCTCAGGTCTCACTGAGAGACTCCTGCCTACAGACTGTTCCCTGATTTTCTCTTCTCTGTCCCTTTCTTCCCATTGTCTCCCTCCCATCCCTCCTCCTTTGTCTCTGCCTCTTTCTCCCTAGAGCCGGGGCATGGACCTGGTAGAGATTCTCTCCTTCCTCTTCCAGCTCAGCTTCTCTACTCTGGGCAAGGTAAGCAGGGGGCTGAAAGGTATAGAGATGGGAAGGGGAAAGCAAGTTGTGGGGCAGTAGAGTAGACTGAGAAGATAAGAATGAAAACAGAACGAACAGAGATGGAGAAAGAAAGAATGAATGTATGGGGTTGGGGGTGGGTGGGTTGTGTTTTGGACCCCAGCTGGAAACCTCTGTTCCTCAGGATTACTCTGTGGAAGGTATGAGTGATTCTCTGTTGAACTTCCTGCAACATCTGCGTGAGTTTGGGCTTGTTTTCCAGAGGAAGGTATGAGCGCCTAGATAAGTGGCTTCCAGGGAAGAAACAGGGTGGTGTGTTGCCTTTGCCTTTAAAAAGGAGTGGGGTCTTGGGGCAGTAGCAGGAAGCAGTTGCCAGAACTGAATACTTGGGTCTCTCGGGGGAGAGAAGTTGGGGGTTGAGGTTCTGCATCTTGGGAGGGATCTGATATTTCAGGCAGGAAGATGTAAGGCAGTGACTTCTGAGACAAGGCATCTGCCTTTCTATTCTTTTCAGAGGAAATCTCGGCGTTACTACCCCACACGCCTGGCCATCAATCTCTCATCAGGTGTCTCTGGAGCTGGGGGCACTGTGCATCAGCCAGGTTTCATTGTCGTGGAAACCAATTACCGACTGTATGCCTACACGGGTGAGGCGGGACAGAGGGCCCCTGGAAGAGGAGGTTGGGGGTGAGGGAATGCCAGTTTATGTTCGTGTTTACCTGGCAGTCTACAGAGCTCTCTGACATTTCTCATGACACTTGAAAGAAGGGCTTGAGGGAGTCTGGGTGTGGGGGTGGCCTCCTCATCCTCTTTCTATCCCTGGCTCAGAGTCGGAGCTGCAGATTGCCCTCATTGCCCTCTTCTCTGAGATGCTCTATCGGTTCCCCAACATGGTGGTGGCGCAGGTGACCCGGGAGAGTGTGCAGCAGGCAATCGCCAGTGGCATCACAGCCCAGCAGGTATTCCCACTTGGGAGAGGTGGAGCAGGAAGACAGGCTGCACTTGGGCTGCGGGGGACAGGGGTCACATTATGGAAGGCTAGCTCTGAGTCTGTTATAATAGGTGGTGGTGAGTTGTCTGTGTTTGAAGAGAAATGAAGGCTTTGGGTGTGAGAATAGGTAGACCCTTGAGGGGAAAAAAACATGGAGGGAGGAGGTATAGATCTGGATTTGTGCCTCGGCACTGCCACATCCTAACTGCGTAAACTAGACATAGTTGTTTTGCCTCTGTGAGCCTCAGTTTCCTCATCTAGTAAATGACAGTTCTTACCTCAGGGTTGCCGGGATAATTCATTGGAAGAATAGGGGCAAAGCATTGAGCTCAGCACCTGTCATGCAATAAATGCTAAAAAAAGAAAATAGTAGCTGCTGCTATTTTAAAGAAAGAAAAACAAAACATTACTGGAAAGGGCGAATGTGCCAGAAAAGGAATATCCCACGTTGCTGGGAGCAGCAACGTGGGATAACAGCTGAACTGGGATGGGTGGAGTTGATGACAGGAGTTATGAGTTTTTAGAATAAGCTGATGTTCCAGTGACATTAGGTGACAGCTCAGATGGCTTTCCTGCCTTCTTGCTGGAGCCCTCATGCCATTCTTGTCTGTTTTCCTAGATAATCCATTTCCTAAGGACAAGAGCCCACCCAGTGATGCTCAAACAGGTATAGACAGGCTCCAAGATGTCAGAGGCTGGCAGCTGGTGATGACATGATGGAAAAGAAAAAGGGGCATCCAAATCTGGGGAAGAAACAGAGGGCCGGGTTGTCTGGGGCAGTATTCTGAGTCCCTACAGTCAACCCTTGCTCCTTGCAGACACCTGTGCTGCCCCCCACCATCACCGACCAGATCCGGCTCTGGGAGCTGGAAAGGGACAGACTCCGGTTCACTGAGGGTGAGTAGCTTCTGGTGGCCAAGTCTTGGTCATTGGCCAGAGAAAGGGCAGACAGTTCAGTCTGCATTTTATTTTTTACTTCATGGACTAGGAGAGAAAAGCTGGCAAGACAGTTTTTTGTTGTTTTGGGGTGAGTCGGTAGTAAACAAATCGTCCCAAATCAATGCACTTTGGATTTGGCTAGGTGAGGGAATAATTCACAGTAATTTGTATTAGGCCTTTCTGAATATGGCTGGATCACACTGGTGTTAAGATGAACCCCTGAGCAGACAAGCATAGAGAATTAGTTTGTAAAATTGCGGTGGGGGCAAGCCCAGACCGCGTCCAGGGCTGCCACCAAGGAGCTGGGGGGATTCCCAATAGGAGCTCCGAGCTTCACTTTCTCGTCTTCTCCCCGCGCCCCTCCCGTCCTGCCGACCCCAGGTGTCCTGTATAACCAGTTCCTGTCGCAAGTGGACTTTGAGCTGCTGCTGGCCCACGCGCGGGAGCTGGGCGTGCTCGTGTTCGAGAACTCGGCCAAGCGGCTCATGGTGGTGACCCCGGCCGGGCACAGCGACGTCAAGCGCTTTTGGAAGCGGCAGAAACATAGCTCCTGAGAGCGCGGGACTTGGACACGGACCTCGGCGGGCGGGACTGGGCGGGGCGGGGCATCAGAACTCAGGTGTTTTTTATTTACGCGTCAGGGCTTTTCTTGTTTAATAAAGTTATGATAGCTAGCAGTGCGGTCCCGGGCGCCTCCCCGTGGGGTTTGCCTTCGCGGCGGACTCGCTCCTCTGGTCTACAGCCTTTGGACCGGTAGGGAGAGGGTGGGGCCAAAGCCAGCTGCTGCGCATGCGCCGGCCGGGGCCCCGCCCCCATGCGCCGCGCGGCTCCAGGGCCACGTTCCAGGGTCGGGTTTGGTGGATTCCTCAGTCCCTGCCGCCGCGGGGCGCCCTGGGATAGCGGCGGGGCCTCCTGGTGAGCGCGCGCCGGGGCGGCCTCCGGGAAGTGGGAGACGCTGCGGGTCCTGGGCCCAGGCCTTGGGATGGGCGGGAAGGCTTGGCCGCGCCGGGCTGTGGGCACTGCAGGAGGCCCCTGTGCAGGTGGAGATCGCCGCGGCCCTGGCGGGACTCCTTGCTGGCTCTTGGGCGCGCTGATGCCCATCATCTCCCTGAGTTTCTGAGCCCTATCTCTCATGTGTCAGTGGTCACCGCCGAATCCAGACACTCCGGCCCTGTTCCGGAAGAGCCCTGATATCCGTGGCTCCATGGCGCTGTCTGTCGATACCATGCACTCTAGCTCTCAAGGAGGAAAGGTTTTGTGGAAGGGAATAGAGACTTGGAATAACAGACCTGTGCTAATTAGAGACAGGAAAGATGGAACAAGGGGAGTGACCCTTCTCCACCCCCATATCCTAATGTGCTCTCTCTCTATCCAGAACAGATCTCGGCCCCTTTCCAAACACTCCTGATGCCTCATTTGCCTCTCGCCTCTTTTCGACCACCATTTTGGGGGCTGAGGCACTCACGGGGCCTCCCCAGGTTTCACTCCGTTTCTACACAGTCGGAGCCCCATGGATCTCCCATCTCCCGGAGGAACCGTGAAGCCAAACAGAAGCGCCTGCGAGAGAAGCAGGCGACTCTGGAGGCTGAGATAGCAGGGGAGAGCAAGGTTAGGGGTCAGACAGCTTGTCCTTGGGTTTCTGAGACTTGAGAGGGGCTGGAGGAGACCGGCTGAAATGCAGTCTGGGGTATACTGGATCCCAGCCTCTTCTGCTTTCTCTTCTCAGTCACCTGCAGAATCCATTAAGGCCTGGAGGCCTAAGGAGTTAGTATTGTATGAAATCCCTACGAAACCCGGTGAAAAGAAAGGTAAGTAGAATAAGTAAGAAGGCCTTTTCTTTCACATATGTGTTGCCCATTTGGCCTGCCGAAATGCAGCCTGGGAACAAGTTCAGTGGTTAGTGGAGCTCTCCTCTGCCTTCACAGATGTCTCTGGGCCCCTGCCTCCTGCATACAGCCCCCGATATGTTGAGGCTGCCTGGTACCCGTGGTGGGTACGAGAGGGCTTCTTCAAACCAGAATATCAGGTTAGTATCTGGCAGGGAGGGGTCCTAAATTGTCTCCAGGACAGAGTGGCCCTTGAATACAACTGGACCTCAGAGTTGAGCTCACATTGTAGACCTTGTCTTCTTTCTGGCTCTGGTGTCTCCAAAGATTTCTCTTGGCAGGTTCCCCCTGGCCAATTCCCTCCTCTCCACTCTCCTCTTATTTGCAGGACAGTTCTTCCTTGAAGTTCTTTCTGTTCTGGAGACAGTAGAGGGTGCTCTTTCCCCAATCCAATTCTCTCTTGCCCCTTTGACTTTTTTTCTTCCTCTAGGCCCGGCTGCCCCAAGCTACAGGGGAGACCTTTTCCATGTGTATCCCACCTCCCAATGTCACTGGCTCCCTGCACATTGGCCACGCACTCACGGTGGCCATACAGGATGCCCTCGTGCGCTGGTGAGAGGGGAGTGGGGGCTGCTTGAGTTCTTGGAAGGGAAATAGGAAGGGCAGGAATGAGTGAGGATAAACATTTAAGCTCAGGGGCTCACAGGAGGGCATTTTTGTTGCAGGCACCGGATGCGTGGGGATCAAGTGCTGTGGGTCCCTGGTTCAGATCATGCAGGAATTGCTACACAAGTATGTCTTTTGTTACCTGTTCCTTTTCTTGGGCAAAAGCAATTTCTTCCCCCAAAGCAACCAAGCAACCTGACTCTGTTCATTTGCCCTGAATCCAACTGCAGGCTGTGGTGGAGAAACAACTGTGGAAGGAACGGGGAGTGAGGAGACATGAGCTGAGCCGGGAGGCCTTCCTTAGGGAGGTGTGGCAGTGGAAGGAGGCGTGAGTATGATGGGCAGGACTCGGGGGGCCCAGATGGCAGATTTGGTTTCTTGCCTCCCACCACTATCACTCCTGACTTGTAATCCTTGGCTCTTCCCGACACAGCTCTGACTTCCTCAGAGATGGAAGCTCTGGAGCCTGTTAACATTTGGTGGAGTTTCTAAGCCTTATGTGTGTGGATATTATATATGCATTAGAATATTCGTGTGTGTGTGTGTGTGTGTGTGTATTTATATATATATATATATTTTCTTTCTCTTTACTTACCCCAATTTCTCTTGTCTAAATCTCACCTTCTTCCACTCGCCCATTCCCACCTTTCAATTCCCATGGAATTACCCTCATTCTTCTGGGTCTGTTATCTCATGCCATCTCTGTGAAGCATCCTTGGATTTCCCACAATATGGCTATCCCTCCTCTCTTCCTATAGAATCTTTTGCCTCTTTTAATATCTTAGAAAACCCCATACTGGGTTTGTAAGTCCATTTCTATTAGCCTCTAGAGGCTAGATCAATGCCATCCTCACTTGATTTTCCTCCAACACCTGGCATTGCTGGGGGCATCGCTGGGCCTGGTACATAGGAAGTGCTTGGGAAGTGTTTGCTGACAAGGATCTCTCTGGGCACAGGAAAGGTGGAGAGATCTGTGAGCAGCTGCGAGCTCTGGGTGCCTCCCTGGACTGGGATCGAGAGTGTTTTACCATGGATGTTGTGAGTGTTCTGTGCCTTGGTCCCTGTGAGTGATGGGCGATGTTTAGGGATCTGTGTGGGGCAGGGAGGAAGCAATGCCTGGGTCCCTGAGCAGGGTGATGGGCTGAGAAGTGGCTCTTAGAGGTGGACACTCAGGTCATTCCAGGGCTCCTCAGTGGCTGTGACTGAAGCTTTTGTGCGGCTCTACAAGGCGGGGTTGCTGTACCGGAACCATCAGCTTGTCAACTGGTCATGTGCTTTAAGATCAGCCATCTCGGACATTGAGGTGAGGCGGAGAGAGGGAAGCAGGTTTGTGAGAGCTCTGAGGCAGAGTGGTCAATGATTAAGAGCTCAGACTCTGGAGCCAGGGTGCCTGGATTCAAATCTGATGCCTGCCTGTTACAGCTGTGTGGCTTTTGGCAGGCCGTTTAGTCTCTTTAAGCCTCAGCTTCCTCAGTCTGTAAATTAGAGATGATGGAATGCTTGCATCGTGGGGGTGTTGTAAAAATTAAATGAGAATTCACATAGGTGCTTGGCAAGATACCTGGCCATGGCTTAAGTGCTCAGTGAATATTTATTAGAAGTGTGACTGCACGAGCATTGGGTGAGGGCAGAGGGAGGTAGCTCCCGAATCCTCCAAATGGCTTTTAGATGGATTGCAGGGAGGCTGGGCAGATGGATGAGTGGCAGAGTGAAGCCTGGGCATGAGCCTTGCAGAAAGGCTGCCCTCTGACCCAGCTTTCTCGGTGCCTCCAGGTGGAGAACCGGCCCCTGCCTGGCCACACACAGCTTCGACTGCCTGGCTGCCCCACCCCCGTGTCTTTTGGCCTCCTATTTTCTGTTGCCTTCCCCGTGGATGGAGAGCCTGGTGAGCATAGTACTCTGCAGGGTCACCCGTTTACCTCCATTTTTCCTGTTTTCTGAAGCCCATGTTGGGCTGCTAGGAACCCATCAGTCCATCTCTCACATGTACCTTGGTAGTGTTCACCTCAGCGTGGGCACTTACCCAGGGTCTTCTGGGGGATGTACAAAAAGTGCATGTGGTCACTGCCCTTTGAGAGTGTGGTGTGATTCTTCAGGAGTGCGCTACCCAGGAAAGAGATCAGTTCTAAGGTATGTTTTGTTTTGTTTGTTTGTTTGTTTGTTTTGAGACAGAGTCTCACTCTGTCACCCAGGCTGCAGTGCAATGGCACGATCTCGGCTCCTGCAACCTCTGCTTCCCAGGTTCAAGCGATTCTCCTGTCTCAGCCTCCTGAGTAGCTGGGATTACAGGCGCGTGCCACCAGGCCTGGCTAATTTTTGTATTTTTAGTAGAGACGGGGTTTCACCATGTTGGTCAGGTTGGTCTCGAACTCCTGACCTCGTGATCTGCCCGCCTTGGCCTCCCAAAGTGCTGGGATTACGGGCGTGAGCCACTGCACCTGGCCTCTAAGGTGTGGTTTTTACGGTAAATGTTCTGAAGAGCTCAGAGAAAGGGAAGACAGATGAGCTGGAATTGTCAGTGGAAGCTTCTTGTAGGAGCTGGTGCTCCCCCTGAGGAATGTACAGCATTTGTGATTAGGACACTGAGAATCCCCAGTGTCCTCTGGGCACCCAGCAAGAATTCTATTATAGTTGCTTTAATTAATGCTGCCCCCATTTCTTCCATGCAAATTATCAGGGAATTCTTTAGCACCAGAGACCCTCTCAGACCTCTGGTCATCAGCTTATGGGAAACCCTGGGTTCCTATAAACACTGCTCCTACTTTTTTCTAGTCACTCCTGGGGGCCTCTTCCACCTTGACTACTCCCTGCCCCTTCCCCTTTCCAGTTCTACTGCCTTTAGCTATGTTGGCAGTGAGAGGTGAGGATGATGACCAGCTGTAAGTGTTTAAATGTTTATCTTCAGATGCAGAGGTTGTGGTAGGAACCACAAGGCCAGAGACGCTGCCTGGAGATGTGGCTGTGGCCGTTCATCCAGACGACTCGCGATACACAGTAATACCCAGTGCGCTCCTGCACTCTGGCCCGCCCCGCCAATGGCCTTCTCTTCTCTTGGGTTTTAAATGGTGGCTCTTTCTCTCTTGCTTCTACTTCCTTTTCCTGAGACTTCTCTCAGTGGTTCTGATTGGACTCCCTCCTCCTCTTATAGTTTTTCTGTAGCTCAGGGGTTGACAAACTGGCCCATGGTCCTAATCCAGCTTGCGGCCTTTTTTTTTGAGACAGAGTCTCGCTCTGTCACCAAGGCTGGAGGGCAGTGGTGTGATCTTGGCTCACTGCAACCTCCACCTCCTGGGTTCAAGCAATTCTCCTGCCTCAGCCTCCTGAGTAGCTGGGAGCGTGGCACCATGCCCGGCACGTGCCACCACACCCAGCTAATTTTTTGTATTTTTACAAAAATTAGTAATTAATTTTTTTTAAGTAATGTAATTTTTAAGTAATGTTATTTAGTAGAGACGGAGTGTCACTGTGTTAGCCAGGATAGTCTCGATCTCCTGACCTCGTGATCTGCCCACCTCGGCCTCCCAAAGTGCTGGGATTACAGGCGTGAGCCGCCGCGCCTGGCTGCTTGCAGCCTTTATATTATCTATGGCTGCTATTATATACCCTCTCCAGCTCTGCTGCAGTGGCATAATAGAGTAATTGTGCTGAGAATGAATTTGTCTCTAGGCCCAAAAGCCTAAAATATCTACATTCTGGCCCCTTAAGAGTTTGCTGACCTTGCTCTAGCTTGCTACCTTCCACTTTCTACCTTCTTATTCCTGGGGTTCTCACGCCCCAGCCCAGACCCTTCCAACCCTCACAGGTGCCTGTCCTTGATCCCTCTCCCTTCCCTTCAGCATCTACACGGGCGACAGCTTCGTCACCCCTTGATGGGGCAGCCTCTTCCCCTCATCACAGACTATGCTGTTCAGCCACATGTGGGCACGGGTGAGTGGAAGTCAGGGGAGGGAGAGAAAGTTGGGGGTCCTGGAGGAGAGGGGAGGGAACCAGGAGGAAGAGGAAGGTGGGAGTGGGAGATCCTCATATAGGGTGGTCTGAGTGGGGAATGGGAGGGAGGCACAGACAGAGAAAGTCGCAGGGGCTGGGGCGGTGCAGGTGATGATGATACATCTGGAAAAGCAAAAGCCAAGGTCAGGTTCAGTACTCACCATGGCTGTGCTCCCCAAGGGGCAGTGAAGGTGACTCCAGCTCACAGTCCTGCCGATGCTGAGATGGGGGCCCGACATGGCTTGAGCCCCTTGAATGTCATTGCGGAGGATGGGACCATGACCTCCCTCTGCGGGGACTGGCTGCAGGTGGTACCACCCTATGTTACCCCATCCTTTGGGGGCTCTCTGTCCCCCTAATCCTCCTCCTAGTTTCTTATTTCTCTAGAGGCCTTCAGTCTTTACTCTTGCCGCTTTTTCTCCAGGGTCTTCACCGGTTTGTGGCCCGGGAAAAGATAATGTCTGTGCTGAGTGAATGGGGCCTGTTCCGGGGCCTCCAGAACCACCCCATGGTACTGCCCATCTGCAGGTAACCTCATTTTAACTCCTTTACTAAGGGCTACCCCAAAAGGGAATGTATGGAGCTTAAGGGTGACAATAGGATGGGCTCTGCACCCCTCCGTTAGAATACGAGCTCCGTGTCGGTTTTATTCGCTATTGTATCCTCAGTACCAAGGGCCTGGCATGGCATGGGGTCTTGTGCCCCTGGGAGAAGTCACAGGGCCGGAAGAGCAGTGGACTCACCCTGTCTCTCTTTCAGCCGTTCTGGGGATGTGATAGAATACCTGCTGAAGAACCAGTGGTTTGTCCGCTGCCAGGAAATGGGGGCCCGAGCTGCCAAGGTGAGGCTGCAGTGTAGGAAGGACTGGGGCCAGGGGTTGGGGGAGCTCCCTGAGAATTGGAATGAAGAAATGGGAAGCAGGAGACCTCCTGCCCTGAAGACCTCTCCAGCTGTGGTAACTGAGAGGATGTGTGGGATGGAGGCTGGGCGGCCCAGCAAGGGCTGGCTCATATCCTTACTCAAGCCCAGAATCTTGGCAAGAGGCTTGGGAGGTCCTTTCTGAGTTTTAAAATGACCTCAGAGGCCACTCGTCCTATCTGTGGAGGTGCGGCCGTGCAGGAAGGGCAACATTGTCTAAAGTCCCCTTTCTCTCCAGGCTGTGGAGTCGGGGGCCCTGGAGCTCAGTCCCTCCTTCCACCAGAAGAACTGGCAGCACTGGTTTTCCCATATTGGGTAAGGGTAGGGTAAGGGGAGCTCTTGTGGAGATGGGGAGGGGGGACTGACTGGTTATTCTAAGACTTCACGAATGTCCTCCCGGCAGGGACTGGTGTGTCTCCCGGCAGCTGTGGTGGGGCCATCAGATTCCAGCCTACCTGGTTGTAGAGGACCATGCGCAGGTGGGTAGGAAGAAGCACCCGGAGGGCCGAGTGTGGCACAGAGCACCTAGCCCAGGAGTCAGAGCTCCGCAGGGCCAAGTCCCGCTCCTGCCTGGTCATGTGCTTCATGCTCATAGTCATGTAACCTTCTGCGCGATCAAGGCTCCCTGAAGTGGCATTTCTTTATCTCACCCCTGGGGGAACCTGGCCACTCTAAGACCACATGAGGACGTGAAAACCAAGTGACATTTACACCTGTCAGCTGTTCTTCCTCACTCTCCCCAACCCCTTCCTACTTTTGCAGGGAGAAGAGGACTGTTGGGTGGTTGGGCGGTCAGAGGCTGAGGCCAGAGAGGTAGCAGCGGAACTGACAGGGAGGCCAGGGGCAGAGCTGACCCTGGAGAGGGGTGAGTGCCTGAGCTGGGGAGGGATGTACAGGGGAGCGGGGGCCTGGGCATCTGGGCCTTTGAGGGGAACAGATCCCAAGATACAGAAGGTAGGGTCAGGAAAGTTGGGAATGGAGCCAAAGGGGACAGCCCTGGTCTCTGGGGGTGGGGGTTGGCCTAGAATGGTGGCAGCAGTGGTCTGAGGTCCTAGAAGCCAAGGTTCCAACTGTCCCCATTCTTTTTCTGTTTCCCAGATCCTGATGTCCTAGACACATGGTTTTCTTCTGCCCTGTTCCCCTTTTCTGCCCTGGGCTGGCCCCAAGAGGTGAGGTGGGTTGAGAGGGCGAAAGTGAAGGGGAAACGATAAGGAAGGGATGGCTGGGCCCCCACAGAGGCTTGAGGGGGGCCTGGGGCCTGGGCCTCTTACTGCTCCTCTTCCCCCTAGACCCCAGACCTTGCTCGTTTCTACCCCCTGTCACTTTTGGAAACGGGCAGCGACCTTCTGCTGTTCTGGGTGGGCCGCATGGTCATGTTGGGGACCCAGCTCACAGGGCAGCTGCCCTTCAGCAAGGTAAGAGCCCTTCAGTGCCCTGCCGCTTTCTGTGACTCCAGTGTTCCCCAAACCTTGTCCTCCCTTCTAACCCCTAATGTGGTCCTTTCCACGTTGCTGATTCCTTTTTCCTAATTCACTTCCTACCCTACCCCCAAAAGTATGGAGGCCAGAGATCCCAAGGCACCTCCAAGGAAACCCCCCTCTGTTGACCCCTCCCTGCCCCCAGGTGCTTCTTCATCCCATGGTTCGGGACAGGCAGGGCCGGAAGATGAGCAAGTCCCTGGGGAATGTGCTGGACCCAAGAGACATCATCAGTGGGGTGGAGATGCAGGTGAGGACGAAGCACCCACTAGAGGGACAAGGTTTGCAGGGTTTGCAGGAGAGAGGAAGGCAGGCTGAGGGAGGAGTGAGGCCAGCAGGTGTGACCCTTATAGAGGCAGGGCCTTCGACCTGGGTCGTGAATTGCCCCCTTCCATCCCCAGGTGCTGCAGGAAAAGCTGAGAAGCGGAAATTTGGACCCTGCAGAGCTGGCCATTGTGGCTGCAGCACAGGTGAGTCATCGCTGCCTGCCCCCCACCAGCTCTAGCTCACCACCTCTGGCTTCCTCTGCAACCCAGGTCCTGGCCCTGCAGCCACAAAGGCATCTGCCACCCTTCTTCTTCCTCTGGTTGCAGAAAAAGGACTTTCCTCACGGGATCCCTGAGTGTGGGACAGATGCCCTGAGATTCACACTCTGCTCCCATGGAGTTCAGGGTAAGCCTGGGCGAGGGGTGTCGGGGTGAGCAGAGGGCAGCGGGCACCTGTGCAGGGGCAGGGCAGGGGCAGGACTTCTGGTGCTGCTGCCACCTACATGCAGACTACCTCGATTCTTCCCTTCCAGCGGGCGACTTGCACCTGTCAGTCTCTGAGGTCCAGAGCTGCCGACATTTCTGCAACAAGATCTGGAATGCTCTTCGCTTTATCCTCAATGCTTTAGGGGAGAAATTTGTGCCACAGCCTGCTGAGGAGGTAAGAGAAAACAGAGGTGCTTGGGAGTAGGGTAGTCAGGTGTCAGAGGGCCAAGGTGGCATCTGGAAGGAAAGGAGGCAGGGGAGGGGGAGTCAGGCCATCCTGCCCCCTCTGCCTGCAGCTGTCTCCCTCCTCCCCGATGGATGCCTGGATCCTGAGCCGCCTTGCCCTGGCTGCCCAGGAGTGTGAGCGGGGCTTCCTCACCCGAGAGCTCTCGCTCGTCACTCATGCCCTGCACCACTTCTGGCTTCACAACCTCTGTGACGTCTACCTGGTGAGTGAGGCTGGGGGAGGCTTGGTATTCCCATGCCTGCTTCTAATTCCTCTGGAAATTTCCAAGGCAGAGAGCTCTGGAGTTAATAAGTTCCCAATTGTCCCCTCAGTTAGGAGAGGAGAGGAGACGAGGGAGTCTCAGTTCCCCTCTTCCTGGGACTGGTTTTGGCAGTGCAGCCCAGGCACTGTTGCCTGCCTGTCACCTGGGGAGAGGAGGAGGAGGGAGACTTCTAGAAATGTCTGACAAGTCGGTGTCAGAAGGCAGAGGGGAATTTTTTCAGTCCCTGTAGTTGCTGAGTTTGGCCCATGGGCAGGCTGCGTGCTGAGAGAGGCCTGGGAGGGACTAGCAGCGGTCTTTAGACCAGGGGTTCTCACGCTGTCCTACGTCCAAAGCACCTGGAGGGCTTGTTGACGGTGGATCCCCCCCGCTCCACTGCCACCCCAGAGTGGCTCCTTTAGCAGGTTGGGGTGGGGGTGGGTGGTGTAATGAATATTCATTTCTTGTCCCAAGTGGTGCTGCTGCTGCTGGCTGTGGACCACTGCCCTAGCTCAGCCTTTTAAAAACCTCTGTCCCCTGTTGATAAGCAAAAAACTCAATGATTTTTTTCCCTAAACTACATGTTTCCCTGGAAATCCTGTCCCTGTGTACTGCAGAGAATTGCTGTCCTGGAGTCCCCTTCTTTGTGCTGAGTGTGTCCTGGGACTGTGGATCATATCAGAAGTGCTAAGTGCTTCTGCCTGTCCCTCTCTCCCAGGACCCATGGCCTGCCCCACTGGCGGGTAGCAGTGGCTGTAGGGAGGAGGGCTGTGGCCCTGGACCTGTCCTCTGACCATTGGCTTCCTCTCCAGGAGGCTGTGAAGCCCGTGCTGTGGCACTCGCCCCGCCCCCTGGGGCCCCCTCAGGTCCTGTTCTCCTGCGCTGACCTCGGCCTCCGCCTCCTGGCCCCACTGATGCCCTTCCTGGCTGAAGAGCTCTGGCAGAGGCTGCCCCCCAGGCCTGGTTGCCCCCCTGCCCCCAGCATCTCGGTTGCCCCCTACCCCAGCGCCTGCAGCTTGGTGAGTCCCAAGCACCTTGGAGTGGGTCTGTGGGTGAATGGGGGGGAGCACCTTCTGAAGGGGTTTGCTGCAGGGGGCTCATCTGCAGGAATGGTTCGTACTTTACTGTGGAGCCCTGGGGAAGATGGATTGTTCCTGCAGGGTTGCTGCGATGACCCTAGGGTCTTGAGGGACAGTATTAGCGTAGTGCTCAAGAGCAGGACTCTGTTGCTAGACTGCTATTTTTGAGCTGTGTGATCGAGCCTCAGTTTCCCGCATGTTTAAACTAGGAACAGTAATAGTATATGTTATGGTTGTGATGAGGGTTGGATAAGTTAGTAATAGGGTGTCCCCAAAATCTCAGTGCAGCTTTAATAACTTCAGAAGGATAAATGCTATGAACTCACCCAAAAATTATTTTAAAATTTAACTATTTAAATTTATACTTATTTGGTTTTGAGTTTTGACTAATTCATTTTAAATTCTAATTTATTTTTGGTTGGCCATTTCAATCACAGCAACTAAACAGGCATCAAACACTGATCATCTAAAACCTCTTAAATGACGCCTCACTTTTTGTCATGTTCCTTGAGATAGTGGATTTTCTGTGGTGCTGAGGACAGATCTCATTGCCCTAAGGAGATGGGGTGGATGGGTCGAGAAGAGAGCCAGCAGGGTTGGTACTGAGTCTCCCAGGAGCCCCTTTGCCAATTCTGGGTCCCCCCCATTGCCAGGAGCACTGGCGCCAGCCAGAGCTGGAGCGGCGCTTCTCCCGGGTCCAAGAGGTCGTGCAGGTGCTAAGGGCTCTCCGAGCCACGTACCAGCTCACCAAAGCCCGGCCCCGAGGTGAGGCAAGGCGGGTCCTGGGCTCGGATCCCTGCAGGAAAAGGGGGCTGGTGGGGAAAAGAGCAGAGCCTGAAGGGCCAACCCCCCCGTTAGGAGGTGCAGGGTAGGAAGGGAGGCAGGAGCTGAGGCCTTGCCCCTGACAGTTTCTTTCTTTCCAGTGCTGCTGCAGAGCTCAGAGCCTGGGGACCAGGGCCTCTTCGAGGCCTTCTTGGAGCCCCTGGGCACCCTGGGCTACTGTGGGGCTGTGGGCCTGTTACCCCCAGGCGCAGCAGCTCCCTCCGGCTGGGCCCAGGCTCCACTCAGTGACACGGCTCAAGTCTACATGGAGCTGCAGGTGACCAGAGGGGATGGGGAGGGTTAGGGCAGGCTTGGGAAGCATGCTGGGAGGAAGGGAGGGGCTGGGCTCTATAAAGTAGGGGAAGGGACCTTCTAATGGAGGATGGAGGCCTGGCAGCAGGCGGATGTCTGAGCCTTTTCTCCCTGTTCTTCCCCAGGGCCTGGTGGACCCGCAGATCCAGCTACCTCTGTTAGCCGCCCGAAGGTACAAGTTGCAGAAGCAGCTTGACAGCCTCACAGCCAGGACCCCATCAGAAGGGGAGGCAGGGACTCAGAGGCAACAAAAGGTAAGGCTGAGGGAGGCCCCCAGAAGGCTCCACCCCTGAGGGAATGTGGGCCAGGAGGGGCCTCATTCCTGGATCCTCACCTCCTTTTCTCCTCGTCCAGCTTTCTTCCCTCCAGCTGGAATTGTCAAAACTGGACAAGGCAGCCTCTCACCTCCGGCAGCTGATGGATGAGCCTCCAGCCCCAGGGAGCCCGGAGCTCTAACTCATCATCCCCATCAGTTTTCCTCCCTCTCAGACCTGTCTTTGAGGACAAACAGATTTGTCAGCTGTCAGGGTGCAGTGGGACGTCAGAGACTATGTGGTCCATCGCCTTCATTGTGTAAATGAGGACACAGACTGGCTTGGTCGCAGTGACTGTGGTGTCCTTGAGATGCTCACATTACTGCCCGGCCTGCCTCCCACCTGGAAGTCTGGGAATGAGGAGATTGAGATAAACTTTTGAAATCCCAAACATGTCTGTTTATGGCTCTTTGGTCCCCTTTGCTCCCAGTGGTGACTTTTGTGCTTCTGAGTTGTCCCCTGAGAGCTTGGTCTGGGAAAAGAGGAGGAGGGGTCCTCGCTGGAGGAAGAGGAACTTTCTAGTCATGGGTAGGGTATGGGCACAGTGGTTCCGGTTCTACCTACTTTCTGGACTAACTGACAGTGCCCTGGCTTTTGCAGGCTCTTTCTCCTCCACTTCTCACTAAATGGAAGCTTCCCCGCTCCTTGGCTGTATCCCTAGAGGTGCTGAGAGAAGTAGGACTTCCTCCAGACCTGATGGGCTGCAGGCTGTGCTGCAGATGGTGTGCCCCCACCTTCTGTGCTCTGACACCTGAGTGCCCAGCCTCTGAGTTACACATTCACAGCACAGCCAGCCACCTTACCCACGCCAAACACCATCTCATCTCCATGGAATTCAAGGGCCTGGCCCTTCCACGCCCAGAGTACATTCTGTCCAGCAGCTCTGAGTAGCCTGTCCTGGGCTGGGTCCTCTGTGGTGCTAGATGTACAATGCCATTTAATCCTACTGAAAACCTCATGAGGCGGGTGTTAGCTCCATTTTGGAGATTTTTATTTTTACTTTATTTTTGGGACAGGGTCTCGCTCTGTTGCTCAGGCTGGAGTGCAGTGGCATAATCATGGCTCACTGTAGCCTCAACCTCCAGGGCTCTAGTGATCCTCCTGCCTCAGACTTCTGAGTAGCTGGGACCACAGGTGTGCACCACTGTGCCCTGCTACTTTTTTTTTTTTTTTTTTTTTTGGAAACGGAGTCTTGCTTTGTCACCTAGGCTGGAGTGCACTGGTGAGATCTTGGCTCACTGCAACCTCTACCTCTCTGGTACAAGTGATTCTCCTGCCTTAGCCTCTTGAGTAGCTGGGATTACAGTTGTCTGTCACCACGCCCAGCTAAATTTTTTTTGTATTTTTAGTAGAGACAAGGTTTCACCATGTTGGCCAGGCTGGTTTTGAACTCCTGACCTCAAGTGATCTGCCTGCCTCGGCCTCCCAAAATGCTTGGATTACAGGCATGAGCCACCATGCCCAGCCCTGCCCTGCTAATTTTTAAAATTGTTCTGTAGAGATAGGGTTTTGCCATGTTGGCCAGGGTGGTCTTGAACTTCTGGGCTCAAATAATCCACCTGCCTTGGCCTCCCAAGGTGTTGGGATTACAAGCATAAACCACTGCGCCCAGCCCCCATTTTGGAGATGAAGACGTGTGCTCAGAGAAAAGTCTCCACTGGGACCTAACCCAATAAATTAGGTGCAGGCTCTTTCTGGCTGCTGTAACTAAACTTCAAATATAATGGTGGCTTAGATGAGGTGGATGTTTCTTCTGCTGGGCATAAGTAGTGCAGAGATCTGCAATAATGGGAGCCCACACCTCCTTCAATCTTATTTTCCTGCCATTCTGATGCATTGTCAAACTTCATGTCCAAGGTCTGCACCAGCTCCCATCACCGTGTCTGCATTTCCACCCAGAGGGAGGAGGGAAAGAAGGGGATGGGCAGTTTTCTTTTTCTTTTTACTCTGTTTCAGCAAGGTGTTTTTTTTTTTTTTTTTTTTTTTTTTTTGAGCACCTGCTATGGATGGGCTGGGCCTTATTCTGGACACTTAGATTCATCAGTGAGTGAAACAAAATTCTGTGCCCTTGTAGTACTTTCCTTCTAGCAGGACAGTCAGAAATAACATACAAATGAGTGAACGATATACTATGTTTGAATGTCATGAATGCAGGGGAGGGAAAAAGGATAGAACAAGGTAAGGGGACTCTAATGTGTTTGTGTGGCGGGGGGCAGGTTGTACTTTTAAATAGTGGGTCAGGGCAGAACTCACTGTAAAGGTGAGGTTTAAGCAAAGGCTTGTAGGAGGTATAGGAAGAGCGTTCCAGACAAAGGGAAGGGCCAGAGGAAAACAGATAGAGGCATGGTCAGACAGCTCGAGGAGTAGCCTGGAGACCAGTGTGGTGGGGCAGAGTGAGAAGGGGAGGATGGTGGGAGGTGGAGAAACAGAGGTGAGGGTGGGGAATTGGTGGGGGGTAGGGAAGACTCAAGGCGGACAATCTGGGGCTTGTGTCCAAAATGGTAGCCAGTTGGCTACCTAAAGCATTAAATAAAATAAAAACGTTCAGTTTCTTAGTCGTACTTGCCATATTTCAAGTGTTTTGGTAGTTGCATGTGGCCAGTGGCTACTATGTTCGTCAGCACGGTTATAAAACATTTCCATCATCACAGAAAGTTCTATTGGAAAGCACTGATCTAAGACCTTATAGGCTGTTTCAAGAACTTTGCTTTTCCTCCTCTGAAATGGAAGCTCCTTTCTTTTCAAGGATACTACCAGAAAGTTGCCCACCTCCTTTCTACTTGCATCCTATTGGACAGAACGTGATCACATGGCCACAGCTAGCTGCAAGGGAGGCTGGGAAATGTAATGATCCACATGCTGAGTTGAAATCTACATGACTATCCAAAAGGAGGAGGATGGCTGTTAGGGGGGCCAGTTAGCAGTCTCTGCCACCCCCAGGTCTGGTGAACCCCAAAGCACTCTTCACTGCACTGCTCTGTTTTGAGCCTTGGGAGACAATTCTTTGAGAAAAATAATCTGGAAATCACATCCTGGTGATCTCAGGCCCTGAAGTCTAGGAACCAGGTTGAGGTGCATTTAGCTGTCTGCTCTACCAACCTCTTGGACATTCAGATATCCAGTCCCCCAACTTGTTTGGGGATCCTCACAGCTGCCCCATGGGCGTCACCTGCCCATTACTGCAGGCTAGGGGCAAGTCATAAAATACTAGTCTCCTTTGGAGCCCCCTGCTACCTCTCCTTGGGGGCTAATTGTCCCAGGACAGTTGTGAAGGAAGGTAGACCAATTTTTTAAGTGTTTTTTTTCCACCCTGCCATTTTCTATGCTCCCCTCATCTTCAGTGATGCTCCATACTGAACTCTTGTTGTCTTCTGTCTCCAAAGGAGTCAGTCTCCAATTTCATATGGAGATAATGGAGGGTTGTGTAGGTGTGGGGGGCAGAGTGGGTACCACAGAGGACAGAGAGCAATCCTATCAGTACCCCCCACTGCTCAAGTCTGAGCTGCAAGTTTGTGTTTTGAGAGCTGGTGAGAAGTCAATTTTTTTTTTTTTTTTTTTTTTTTTGAGACAGAGTCTTGCTCTGTAGTCCAGGCTGGAGTGCATGGTCTTGGCTCACTACAGCCTCTGCTTCCCAGGTTCAAGCAATTCTGCCTCAGCTCCCCGAAGTAGCTGGGACTACAGGCACATGCCACCATGTCCAGCTAATTTTTGTGTTTTTAGTAGAGATGGCGTTTCACCATGTTGGCCAGGCTGGTCTTGAACTCCTGACCTCAGGTGATCCACCTGACTTGGCCTCCCAAAGTGCTGGGATTACAGGCGTGAGTGAGCCACTGCGCCTGGCCAAGATAATCTTGAGAAGGTGGTCAGGAGTGCCTGCCTCAGAAATCAGCATAAGGAGGACCCTGAACCCCAGGGGACTAGGAGTTATATGTTGGGACCAGGTTTCCATCCTAACAGCAATCCCTACCATCCTGCCGACGACCTATAAGACAGGCTGTGATATGTCCCTAAGTAGCTTCCCTGTGTGATCCTCACAACAACCTGATGGTGCAGGAATAATGAGAAAAACTCAGAATTGTGTAAAAACAAAACAAAACAACAACAACAAAAACCTTCCCCCAAACTGGGAGGGAGCTGAGAGGCCAAAAAGTGACTCAGACAAGTCCAGCTTGGTGAGTAGATGAGTTTTTTAGGACTTACATACAAGGCACTCCTGGATGGCAGCAGGACAGCTTTAGAGATCCGTGCTGCCTCCCATGCTAAAGCTGCTTTCAAGCTAATTTTCTGACTCTGCCGACTGTGTGTGTGCGAATGGACTGTTTTCCTTGGTGGGTTCCCAGATACTCTCCGGGATGTTTGGGTTCTCAGGGACACCTGCTCCTCGGCCAGGCACCGTGACCTTGGCTCGCCACCTGGCCTTCAGGATTCAGGCAGTGGCATACACCGTTAAGTAACCTGGTAGGGGACCTGTCACACTACAGCAGGTACCATCATTGTTCCCATTTTGCGAGTGAAGAAATGGAGGCTCCAAGAGGATAAGAAACATGCCCAGGAATTCACATGTGGGCTGGTGTCACCTCATACTCACATGGTTAACCAGGACAGGCTCAGCTTGCACCTGGCCTCTCCTCCCCAGCACTTGCGCCTGGCTGGGCATCCTCTCACAAGCTGAACCCGTCATCTCTCACCTGAGTGCCCACCCACCTCCCACCCCAATTACCTGTGTGGATCCATGGGCCAGGGGAACCATGTCCTGGGGGTGTTCTGCCTATGTCTCTTTCTTTGGTTTTTGAGCCCCTGGCCCCAATGCTTAAGCAAAGGGAAATGAAATAAAAATCTTGCTTAAACCAAGACCTCTGTCTAGTGCCTGACTTCTCCACTGCTATTAGATCTCAGGTGAGTGACTTGCCCTCTCTGAGCTTCAATTTCCTTATCTGTAAAATAGGATAATGATACCTAGTATGCCACATTCAAGACTGCTGCAAGCATCGAAATAGGGATGCAGGAGAAAAGCAGGACTTCAATAAATGTTGCTTCTCTTTATTCCCAGGTGTTCCAAAGATCTCAATTTGGTGTGTGTTCCTATGCATGCGTATATGTGTGTGGTGTGTGTGTCCCCAAACAACTCCCCAGATGCCTTGTAGGCCTGTGACACTGGTGTTGAGGGAGACATTGTCCATCCCTGGAACCCTCTGCTCAACAGGGGGACAGTCAGAGACTTGAGCATCCAACCCCCACTTCCTGCCAGCTCTGTGCTCAGGGACCCACAGAGTCAAGCAAGTTATTGAATTCAGCATACCGAATTTTATTTATTGCCGCTCAGGAGGGTGGGGGCCTGCTGAAAGACAGGGTCGGGGCCTGCCTCCTGCATCCCCGGCCCAAAAGCCCGGGCCAAGAAGGACACAGGCTTCAATGGCTGTCATGTGTTGCAGACAACATGGTGTTGAGATCTTGCATGGTGGAGGGTGACGCTGGTCCCTGAAGGGAGATGGAGGAGGAGGCAGAGCTGGGAACAAAGGGTTAAAGGGCGCCATGTAAGAGAGCTCTCCATTCCCACCACGGAGACATCCAGACCCCAGCAGAGGCCCAAACTGACTCACAAACACACAGCCCCATCTTTCCCCTTCCAAAGAACTACCTTTTCAAGCAATTCCAGGAAGCTGGACTCATAGGAGGAATTTGTCAGAAAAGACTCCTTCAGCTTCAGTTGCAAAGTCATACCCGGCCCTGCGGATCCAGAAGTACAGCTTAGGACCCAGCAGTCAGGGCTGATTCCTCCGGAGACACAGAACCTTCCTGCTCACGCTCCCCGGCACAGTTCCTCTTCCCCAGCAATGCCCCTCCAGAGCCTCTTGGAAGCTCAGGACTGGGGTGTCTCTGTCACTCTCAGGGACCATGAAGTCCCACCCCTTTTCTCTGGCCTCTTCTTGCCACAGGGACCCAGGAGTCCTGCCCTCTAGCCCTCACCTGTTCCATGTGAGCTGCCAAGGAGGGTCAAGAGGAGGACAAGGGGCAGCCCAGACCCCATAGTGGCCACTGCGCTCCTGGGATGGAGGAGACACTGAAGTCCCGGTGGCCTCTCCTTAACAGGCCTGTTTCTACACCCCACTCAAGCCTTAGCATAAGTGTTTGAGGGGAAATGGGAGGAGGAATCTGGTCAACTGGATTTTCCAGTTCTCCCAGTAAGAGAGGACCCAGGAGAGGACCATTCACTGTGCTTTTGGGGAAAATAGAAGGAAGTCCCCTCTTTTCCACTCTGTGTCCCACCCCTCCCTTGTGTCTCCAGGTTTGAGGGAGTGAGTGCGGGTCCTACAGACAGGGAAATGGAGAGGGAAGCGGGGACCAGGGAGGCGTCCCTCCTGCAGGTGTCTGGGCCCCCACCCATGCCCGGGCCTCCCAAGGATCTTTAGAGATTAATTATTAACTGCAGCTAATTTTCATCATTCTTGACACCGAAGGGCTCAGGAATGTGGGCCCAAAAGGGAGGGGTGGATTAAGCCAAGTTTCTTCCAGAACCCAGGTGTCCTGCTCCCTCAGGTTTTTTTTTTTTAAACACTAGTCAAGTGCAGTAGTGAAAAGAGTAGAAGGAGTAGAACAAGGAGTTGGGTCTATAATGGACTGTGAACACTGCTTCCCCAGCCTTGGTGGCTTTCTAGATGAGAAATCTGGTCATGGGAACTTCCATTGCTGAACATTCTGTTTTACTTGCTCTAACGCATCCTGGATTGTCAGGGGGAGACACGAGTTTCCTCAGACATCCTCTCACTCCTGCCTTGTGCACCCATGAAAAGGGGACACCCACCTACTCCCGGCCGAGATGCCTACAGGCAAGCGCTGGGACAGGCAAGCACAGGACAGATGTGCAGAGGGAGTTACTGACCCTCTTTAGAAACTAGGAAAGTAAGGCACAGAGAGGGTAAGTGACCTGCTAAGGTCACCCAGCCAACAAGTAGCAGAGAGATTAGAACCCATCCCTCTAGCCAGACAAAGAGACACACCAGCCATGGAAACTTGCTTGAACACACAAGGGCACAGGCCAGCATCTTCCTATCTGCCACTTCCCTATGCAGCCTCTCCACCTTCCCCAAAGCCAGCGGGACTGAGCACAGAGAGACAGAGGCAGAGAGAGCACTGGGCAGAGGTGGGGAGAGCAAAAGCAAGATGGGGAAACAGAGATAGAGGCCTGGTCTGCACTGTAAGTGTAAAGTGAGGCAACCAATGACTCCCAGACTTGCACAGGACAACAGGAAGACCACAGTGGGAAGAAAGCATGGAGGAGAAGAGCAGCAGGCACAGGAGGGACGAGCAGGAGGTAGAATTGGGAACACAGAGAGATCTTCCTCGGAGAAGAGTAAGGGCCCTCCCTCCCTCCCTCCCTCCCTTCCTCCCTCCCTTCCTCCCTCCCTCCCTCCCTCCTTTCCTTCCTTTTTTTTTTTTTTTTTTTTTGACAGCGTCTCATCCCTGTCGCCCAGGCTGGGGTGCAGTGGTGCAATCTTCTCCTGGCTCAGCCTCCCGAGTAGCTGGGATTACAGGCACCCGCCACCACAGCAGGCTAATTTTTGTATTTTTAGTAGAGACAAGGTTTCACCATGTTGGCCAGGCTGGTCTCCAACTCCTCACCTCAGGTGATCCACCCCCTCGGCCTCCCTGAGTGATGGAATCACAGGCGTGAGCCACCGCACCTGGCCTCCCCCACACTTTCTACAGCCATGTGCTAGGCTCATCACTAAGTATTCCTTTATAGCGCATAAGCGCCTGTGAAGTAGGTACTAGATTACCCCGATTTTAGAGGTGAAATTAAGACTTAGGCCTTGTGACTTGCCAGAGAATGCACAGCTCAGCAGTGGTGGATTCCAGTGCAGTGGACTCAGCCCTGGTACTGAGCTTCTGAGGATTCAGGGCTGTCTGGCTCCAGAGCTGGGGTCTGACCTTCCATATCACACTGTCCCCAAACATGACACGTGTCTTCCTTGGTGCCCCTTATCTCCCCTTTCCCCTTCCCTGTCAAAGGAATGGAAAGCTCTGTCAGCTGCAGCCATCTAGGTGAGACACGGCTCAGGTATTGACCTTCCCAGCCCACTCTTAGGTTTCCAGAAGGTCAGATGCAGTCCTAGACCCTCATGGTTCCCCTACAACCCCAGCTTCCAAATCCTGCTTCCCTGAGGGACTCATACGTCCTGACTTCCAACGGTTGTACTTCTAGGAACAAGAGGATGACCTTGGGATAGGTCATTTGGGTCTCCCCTTTTAAAGGAGGGTCTGGGCTGTGAATTGACTCAGACCTGGGGGACAGGTCCCTAGTCCAGGAAGAGCCCAAGGGCCAGGTGGGGGAGCCCGCAGGCTCTTACTCACTCTCCCCCTCACCCTGTGCTTCCTGGGATCAGGCTGGGACAGGTTAATCCCCTGGGACAACTTGGCGACCTCTCTCTGGGGATGGAGATTCTGGTGTTGGTGGAGGCCCCGGCACAACTGGCTCTCCCGGGACTCATAATAGGCCCCAGAGCCTTTAAAGAGCCTGGGAGATGGGCCTGGCCAACACACTTCAACTGGTGCCATGGACACTGTGCTGGTGCTGCTCCTGGGCCTGCAGGCCTTGGCCGGACCCAGTGAGCACTTGGGCCCAGACAGGGGGTCTTGAGGAAGGACATGAATTTGGGACCCAGTGGGATGGCCAACTCTTCTAACCCTGTTCTATGGTTTATCTTCTTTTTTCAACAGTTCAGCTGACCCTACTGGGGACTTCTGACACAGTATCCCCAGGTCTCCCCTGTCTCTGGAAGTCTCCCCACTGTCTCTGGAAGTCTCTCCTCTGTCTCTGGAGCTCTCCCCGGTTTCTGGAAGTCTCCCACTGTTTCTGGAAGTCTTCCCACTATCTCTGGAGGTTTCCCCACTGTTTCTGCAACTGTCCCCACTATTTCCAAAAGTTTCCCTACTGTCTCTGAAATCTTCCCTCTGTCTCTGGAGGTCTCCCCACTATCTCTGCAACTGTCCCCACTATCTCTAGAAGTCTCCCTACTGCCTCTGGGAGTGTCTCAACAGTTTCTTCAAACTCTGGGAGTTTTCCCAGCAGTCCTCAGTCTTTAGCTCCAGCCGTTTCTGGGAGCACTTCAGGAACAGTCTCCACATCATCAGGTGATATTTCTGTTGCTCAACCCATCTCGGGAGAACCCTTCAGCTCGGTCTGTAGCTCTGGGGTGGGGCTTCCTGCAAGCCTGGCAGTTTTCCAGAACCTCAGTGGAAGCAGCTCCCTTGCCTTTGTGGCTATACAAGGGCCTCTCTTTCTGTTTTCCAATTCATCACCTTTTTCTGTCATGATTAGTTCCTGTTGTATCCTAAGACTTTTTTGGCTACTTCAAGGTCATGAAAATATTCTCCTCTGCATTCTTCCAGAAACGTTATTATTTTAGCTTTCAAATTTAAGTCTATTATCCATCTCAAGTTAATTTCTGTGTATGGAGCGAGGTGGAAGTCAAGATTCATTTTTTCTTCTTATGAATATCCAGAACCATTATTTCCAAGGACCCTCCCCTGTCCCTGCCATTGAACGGTGAGCACCTATCCTGAAAGTCAAGTGACTATTTGTGTGGGTTTTTCGGTAAGTTTTTTTTTTTTTTGAGGTGGAGTTTCACTCTTGTTGCCTAGGCTGGAGTGCAATGGCGCGATCTCGGCTCACTGCAACCTCCGCCTCCCGGGTTCAAGCAATTCTCCTGCCTCAGCCTCCGGAGTAGCTGGGATTACAGGCGCCTGCCACCACACCCAGCTAATTTTTTTGTATTTTTAGTAGAGACGGGATTTTACCATGTTGGCCAGGCTGGTGTCGAACTCCTGACGTCAGGTGATCTGCCTGTCTCAGCCTCCCAAAGTGCTGGGATTACAGGTGTGAGCCACTGCACCCGGCCTATCAGTCAGTTCTTACTCCAGGGCCACAGTGCTTAAGGACTACAGATTTGTAGCAAGTCTTGAGATCTCATAGTGTAAGTTCTCCCTTTTTTTTTTTAAGAGAGTGTCTTGGTTATTCTCAGTCTTGATTTTCATAACATTATTTCATCAGTTTATTCCAAAAACTTGCTGGAGTCTTGCCTGTGGGTGCATTTGATGTGACCTCTGCTTTGCTCTTGCTTGAATCTCTTCTGTTTTTTCCCTCTGCCCTCTTAGGACCTGCCTCATCCAGTGCTCCCGGAACAGCTCCAACTGTGCCTGGGACTTTAGCACTGAGTGTTGCTGTCTTAGGAGTTCCACTGCCACCATGGCTGGGTGGCCACCACGTCCTCTGGGCTCAGCATCCTGGCCAGTTAAGTCACTCTTCTAGGCACTGGGTCACTTACAGTAAAATGTTGGTGGGCCTATTCTCTCTCATTTCCCTGCAGCCACCCCTGGCTCCTTGGGAGGAGTTCAGGGAGAGTCATTAGCTCCTGCTTTCAACTGTATTTTAAACCTGTCTGAGGATGTGTCTGTAGCTCAAAGGGGTTTTGGTGGCCTCTGGTCAGACCAACTGCCAGATGCCTGTTACCTGGCTGCTTTCTCGAAAGGTTTTCATCTTTCTTCCTCATGATCTAATCTCTCTGTTCAGGGCGAGAGGCATTCCTTCCAGAGATCACCCCTCCTTCTTCCATCATCCTCCTCCCCTCCCTTTCATTCCTAGAAGGGGAGCATAGGGAATACCACGCGGGAAGTCTGACGGCAGGAAACGAATGGAAGGAAGACAGGAGATCAGGCTCTGGTTCCCCTTAAGGACAAGAATCAGGGTGGAGTGGTGGGGAGAACTGGGGCTTGGAGGAAGGAGAGTGCCTACTGAGGACCCTCCCAGTGCAGAAGCATCACAGACCCAGGGATGCAGAAAATAGGGCCCGAGAAAGACAGTGAGGTGCGGACCTCAGTGATGAGTCTGGGACTGACAGACGTGTCCACAGGGAAGAGGCAATTGAGACTTGGATTGAAGCCCTTTAAACCCCCACCCCCACCCCTGCTGAGATTCTGCTCCCAAGGTGATAGGAGAAAACACCAGAGAGATGAGGTCTCAGAGTCAGAGACATCAGTCACAGAAAGAAAGATGGAAAGTCAGAGGGCAGTGGGGGTCTGGGGGGCTGGAGGCACCACTTACCTCAGTCACTGGCCCTGTCTTTGTGCCCCAGGTCCGAAGCCCCAGAAGGACTCTGTCTCAGACTGGGCCATTGTGTTGATCACTCTCACTTTGGTGGCAGCAATTGTCAGCCTAATGTACGGTATCAAGAAGGTGAGCAATGCCATGGTCCAATGTGTGGGATCCCTGTGCCAGTGGGGCTGGGACCTGGTGCCCCAGGATTCAGAGGAGAACAGGGCTTTGGGGAGGGGAATGACAGCTTGCAGGGCTTGTTGCAGGGAGGGCAAAGAGAGCCCTTGTCTCAGTGGCCGAGAAAAACACCGGTCTGGCAGGGATAGGGGGTTGGGGCCACTGAAAGAGGCGGGGGAGTGCTGGAGGCTGACTGGCACGTGGAAGCACTCAACTCAGCTCTAGGCAATGAAGGACCAGTTCTGTGGAGCCACATTCACCTGGGCTTGAATCCTTGTGCAAGTTACTTAATCTGTCTGTGCTCCGGATTCTTCATTAATAATAATACTTAAATAATAATAATATTACATCGCACTGATTATGTGCTAGGTGTGCTAGGTGCTGTACATATTTTAGTTCACAGCAAGCCAGTGATATAGGAAATATTACTCCTCATTTTACAGATGAGGTAATTGAGTCCTGGATGAAATGAGAATGATGGCATCCATCTCAAAGGGTGGTTGGGAGGATCAAATAAGCTTATGCAAAGAGAGCACTAATGGTGCTTGGCATGTATTATAGTAAGTGCTCAATATACAGCCTTATTCATTATTATTGCTGTTTTTGCTCAAAGAGGAATGCTGAGTGCCTGGGTTGCCAAGAGGAAGCAGCAGTTCATGGGAAGAGCTGGGCTGAGCAGCAGGTTCCCGGGTCCCTAGATTAACCCATCGTACCCTCCCCTCATCTCACAGGCCTGCCAGTTCCGGAGGGAGATGAGTCTGGGGTGTGGCTGTGGCTCTGTGACCCCTTACAGCAGCCACCATGAGGGGGAGGCTGCCAGCCAGCGCTACTCTTGTCAAATGAAAGGTGGGGCTGGGGCAGCTGAGCGCCTACCCTTTGGCCTTCCTTCTTCCTCTCCCAGATAGTCTCATTCCCAGACTCCCCTATCCCATTCACCTTAGCTGGGACCATTTCCTGCAGGTAGATTCCTGGGGTCACTGGCCCCCCCAGGTCTCTTCCACCCACAGCGTAAGGAGGAGTCTACTGTCAGTCACAAGATTCTGCTCTCTGTCCTGCCGCCAGCCATGCAGACTGCGGGAAGGTGCCCAGCTTCTCCGAGGGCAGTTTTCTCATCTGTAGAAGGAAGGACCAGGGCTAAGTGGTCTGCAGGCACCTTCCAGCCCTCACGGAGCCCAGGTCTGGACAGCTGGAACCCCTGCCCCTCACCCTCTCTTCCTAGTCCCACCCTCCTCCCTGACGACCAGAGAAGCTCTTTAGCTGAGGACAGTCTGCTCACGGCTTCCCTTCTCACTTCCCTCCACAGGGAGCCCCCTCAGGCTGGCTCTTGAGCCCCCAAGGCCCTCTGATTCTCTCCCCTCAGGGCAGGTGCAGGACCCTCCTCTGTGGTGCCCCCTCGGTCTGCTATGGGAGGGTGGTGAACAAGTTATTGCTAAATAAAATGGCACTTCCTCCACTTGTCTCCCAGATGCTGTGGGTTTGCCCAAGTGCATGGGCTTTTGTGTCATGTGGGCCCGGAAGGGCCAAGTCTGGTCTCTGCCAGTTACCAGGGCAAGTCATTCCCTGATCCGAGGCTCATTTATCCTCATCTGTAAAGTGAGGGTGACAGGTGATAACTCATAGGTGAGGTGCTTAGTACATTCTTCAGTACATAGAAATGCCCAAACAATGGTAGTTGGCAGAGTTGTTTCGTGACTGGCCTCTCAGCCTCCAGCTCAGATGAAGCAACATAGACTGACTGTAAGAGACTGTTTTGGGCCTCCACCTACCTCCAGGTTTCTCCATCCCAGACATCAGCGTCCTTGGGGTGGAGTTGTAGCTCAGAGAGAAGGGAAGGGGGTGTTCATTCACAAACACTGGTTAGTGCTTATTCTAAAGCAGAGATCCTCCACTTCAGCACAATTGGTGTCCTGGGCTGGATAATTCTTTGCTGTGGAGACTGCTCTGGGCATTATAGGATGTCCCACAGCATCTCTGGCCTCTACCCCCTAGATGCCAGTAGCATCCCACTCCAAATTGTGACAAAAATGTCTCCAGAAATTTCCAAATGTTCCCTGATGTGGGCAAAATTACTCCTCCCTGTACAGAACCACCGTCCTAGAGGCTTGGGTCCCTGGGGAAAGGGGGGGGGGGAAGGGGACCAGTGAAAAGGGGGACTGTCAGTCACCCGAGTCTACATGGAGTTGCAGAGGACAGCCTGTGTCTGCCTTAGTTTCTCCATCCTGCAGGATATATTGCCTGGGAGGCAGGCTGCCCAGTTCTGAGTAGTCAGTCTTTGGCCTGACTCCACGGAGCCTCATTAATCTCCCATTAATCACATTAATAAGCAGTTGGCCTCCTCTCCTCTTCCCACCTATTCCAGCCCTGCCCAGGGCTTAGGGACAAGTCACACCAAGTAAGGAGAGGAACCCACATGTCCAGTTCTCTAGTCCTCTCATGAGCCCAAATGCCCTGAGGGCCTGGCCTCCTGCCCTCAGGTCCTGGACCTCTCTATGGCCTTTGCCTGCCCCCACTTCCCTCAGAAAGGCATCCTCCGGCCCTGGCTTCCACTCCATCCAGGCGGAGTGGAAACATTTATTGATTGCCTACTGTGTGCCAGACACTGTCCTAGGCTCTGATGACACAGCAGGGATCCAAGGTGCTTACTTTCCATGGAGACCCACAGTGGGCAGAAAGGGGTTGTGACTTCTCTGTGCTAGAGACCCAGGGAGTCTGTCCTCCCCTACTCCAGCCCCAGGCACTGTCACTGGGGAGACAAGGGAGTCTCTGAGCTAATGCTTGCTTTAGGCAGGAAGTGAGGAAGGGAAGGGGGAGCTCTGGGGTGCTCCTAAAAATGAGATGTCTGCATTTCTGTATAGGAGTGAATGGGGACTTCGAGACAAAGAGACAGCCGCTGAGCTGAGGTGGGAGGGAAGAGGTAGAGTGAAAGCAGAAGCCCCTGTACACCGAGCATCTCTTGGCCAAAGATCTTGGCCTCGGTCCTTCTGGGTGGCCTGACCTGTCTGTGTCCCTGGTGAGGGGTGTGACATATGTCCCTGTGGTTCTGTGTCTTGTCTCTGTCACTGCCTCTGCACTCTCCACATATTGTTGTATGACCTCTGAACATCATGAAGCACCTTTCTCTGCAGCGAGGGTCATTCGAGGGCTTTCTCTCGCCTTTGCTCTTTCACCTGATCCTCGCGGACAGCTCCGCCCAAGGTGGCAAGAATGACCATGTGTGAATAAGGGGTGTGGAAGCTGGGCTGATGCGGGAGAGGTGGGAGGGTGCGCGTGAAGCTGGACACAGATCAGAACGTGAACCCCACCCCATCCTGCTCCCAGCCAGAGCTCAGTCCTTCTAGAACTGAGCCATCTGCTCCCCACTTCCCCAGAGCCCTGGAGGCGCCACCCTCACTTCCCTCCACTGGGGCTGGCTCAGGTGCCTGCTCCTTTCTGGTTCCTCTGCCCTGCCCCCAGATCCCACCCCTCGGCAGGCACCCAGGTGCCTGGCTCCATGACGCAGCAGCTGCGGTCTCCTCTTATCAGGGCTCCCCTGTGGGTTGGGGTGGCTCCATTTGTTTAAGACTTAGTCCTGAGGAGCCCCAGCCCCCATGACGTCAAGATTGGCTCCATATAAGGTGAGGGGTCCGCAGCCCATGGTCCCCAAGCAGCCACCCAGCTCCGACATGGCCCAGCCGGTCCACAGCCTCTGCTCCGCCTTTGGCCTCCAGTGCTGCCTCCTCTTCCTTCTAGCTTCTTGGGGGGCAGGTAAGATGCCCACAGGGGATACAGAAGACAGAAACAGCTTGTTTCTTAGTGTTCATAGCGTTGGACAACAAATAGAAATGAATGAAGGGGGCGGGCACGGGGCTGCTACAGACAGTTGTCTAGAGTGTTCTCTGCTCAAGTTTGCTGGCTAAGGGACATGTAGTAGGAGATGAAATCCAGCCTGTGCTCTGCTCTTTAAAACATGGCTCACAGGGCTGCACCCATCCAGAGGGGGTTTCTTCAAGTTTGCATAAAGACACTGTAGAGGCTGCCAGCCCTGGATGGTGGGGGTAGGCACCTGACATTCATTGAGCACCGTGCACGGAATTCACAGCTGCTCATGGTGATTTCTTTCTTCTTCTTCTTCTTCTTCTTCTTTTTTTTTTTTTTTTTTTTGAGAAGGAGTCTTGCTCTGTTGCCTAGGCTGGAGTGCAGTGGCACAATCTTGGCTCACTGCAGCCTCTGCCTCCCGGGTTCAAGCGATTCTTCTGCCTCAGTCTCCTGGGTAACTGGGATTACAGGCACCTGCCACCACGCCTGGCTCATTTTTTTGTATTTTTAGTAGAGACAGGATTTCACCATGTTGGCCAGGCTGGTCTCAAATGCCTGGCCTCAAGTGATCCGCCTGCCTCGGCCTCCCAAAGTGCTGGTATTACAAGTGAGAGCCACCGTGCCCAGAGACTCATCTCATTTCATCTCAGCATCCCCTGAGGTGGCTAATAATATCCCATCTTATAGTTGAGGAGAGTGGATTCACAATGATTATGTCCCATATCTCACAGCTAGAGGGAGGTAAGCAGGGATTCCAGCTCCACTGCCCCCAGCCCTGGGGGGACAGGTGGAGCTTCTCTCCTGAGAGCTCTGTTTTGTGCAGACCTAGCTTCCAGTCCTGACTCTGACCCATTTGCCTACTCTGGCCTTCCACACCATCTGTAAAATGGGCTGGATGCTGCTGCCCAGCCGTACCAGTATTTGATGCCTACAGAGCATTTACACTGCACCAGGTGTTGCTCTAGGGACTTCATCCACATTTACTCATTTAATCCACATGGAGACTCAGAAAAGTGTGCGTCAAAGGCTCTGTCCCTGTCTTACAGTTGGGAAACATCTCAGGACTTTGATGGGAAAATGACTATGGACAAGTTCGACGAACAAAACATACCCTAAAGATAAGATGAAATTATGAAATTAGTTCACTTAGTCAAGAAACGGACTGCTACTGAACCCGGGGAGCAGAGATGCTGAACACAGGGGCGGTGTGGAGGGCCTGGGCAATTTGGAGGAGGGTCTCCACAAGGCAGATGTAGAACAGCAGATTCAGAGACACTATCTACCCACTGGACAGTCATCCAAGGACAGAGCCATCCACAGGGTGATATTAGAGGCAGTGCCCCTTCCCTGAGCACAGTCAGGTTGAGGCCAGGGGTGGAGGCAGGGGCAGGTGGGTGGTGAATGGCGATGACTGAGGAATCTTTGAGCTGCCTCTGAAAGGTCTCAGCAGTGCGTCCTGTCTGTGCCCTGACTTGATGTCTGTCTCCCCTACCTTGAGGGTCTGGAGACAGAGGTACCACAGCTGCCCAACACCTCCCGGCCCCATCTCTCCCGCCTTTCCTTCCCCTTCCTCTCAGGCGGATTGTCCACTGGCTGCTCTCTCCTCCTTCCATCTTGCAGCTTAAGGAAGAGGAACCTGCAGGGGGCGGAAGGGAATCCACTCCATACACAGTCGCTCTGAGATTTGCTTCAGGGCGGAGATCTGAATTCCTGAGATTCCGATGGGGCCATGTGGGCGTGGTCTCGGAGAGGAGATAGGCGTGGCTGGGCGGCATGGAGGGAGGGGTGGGGAGGACAAGGGGAGCTGGCTGCTCCCATTCTGCAGATTTTGAAGACAAGAGTGAGTGGGTTACAGGTGGGGAGGGCTTGAGGCTGGGCTCGGGTTGTGATGAGGTCGGGTGGAACTGGAGTGTGAATCAGAGCTGGTGCATGGCTGTGCCCAGCAGAGAGAGAGGCCAGGGCAGGAAGGGAAGAGGGACAACTGGGATGGATGAAGCCCTTTAGTCTACCATTCTGGTGAGGAGACCCTGACGTTTGTCCACAGGACCAGTCAACACCCAGACAGATAACTAGATCCTGGAACCCCAGAGTCTGCATCATGCAGTCACAGAACCACAGGTACAATCTAGATTAAATCATCCGAGGGCAGCACAGGTGCAGTCCAGATTAAATCATCACAGAGAGGCATAGGTGCAGTCCAGATTAAGTCACCAGAGGGAGGCACAGGTGCAGTCTAGATTAAAGCATCTGAGGGAGCACAGGTGCAGTCTAGATTAAATCATCTGAGGGAGCACAGGTGCAGTCTAGATTAAATTATCACAGGGAGGCACAGGTGCAGTCCAGATTAAATCATCACAGGGAGGCTCAAGCGCAGTCTAGATTAAATCATCTGAGGGAGGCTCAAGTGCAGTCTAGATGAAATCATCTGAGGGAGCACAGGTGCAGCCCAGATGAAATCATCTGAGGGAGCACAGGTGCAGTCTAGATGAAACCATCTGAGAGAGTACAGGTGAGGCAGGAGATGGGAATTGGGGCTGGGGTCCTTGGAAGAATCTAACAAGAACATTTTCCTATAACAAATGTTATTTGATTTAATTTCTATAACACAAATAATGTATGCTCATTGTAGAAAATGGAAAATAGAAAAAATAAGAAAGAAAAATAAAATCTCTGTATACTCCCTAGTCCCCAAGCAATCATTTGATTATATCTCCCTTTAGCTTTCCTTTTTTTTTTTTGTAGAGACAGGTCTCGCTATGTTGCCCAGACTGGTCTCAAACTGGTGATCCTCCTGCCTCAGACTCCCTAAATGCTAGGATTATAGGTGTGAACAACTGTGCCCACCAGCTTTTCTTTTTCTATGTCTGCATTTTAAGCCACTTATTGAACTCATACTGTATAGGTATTTTAACAAACATTTACCCACATTATTGCAAATGGAGCATGCCATTTATGGGGGTAAGGATACCAGGAAACACTAGAGATGCTCTTTTGGGACAGCGTGCCCTGACAGCGACTCCAAGGCATGAGTTGCTTAGCAAGATATTCTTTCTCCCTTCCTTCCTTCCCTTTCCTTTCCTTTCCCTTCCTTCCTTCCTTTTCTTTCTTTTCTTCCTTTTCTTTCCCTTTCTCTTTCTTTCTTTCTCTGTCTCTCTTTCTTTCTTCTTTCGACAGAGTCTCACTCTGTGGCCCAGGTTGGAGTGTAGTGGCATGATCTTGGCTCACTGCAGCCTCTGCCTCCCAGGTTCAACTGATTCTCCTGCCTCAGCCTCCTGAGTAGCTGGGATTACAGGGTCCTGCCAACACGCCTGGCTAATTTTCATATTTTTAGTAGAGACGGGGTTTCGCCATGTTGGCCAGGCTGGTCTCGAACTCCTGACCTCAGGCCCACAATGGCCTCCCAAAGTGTTGGGATTGCAGGTATAAGGCACTGTGCCCAGCCGATGTCCTCTCTTTCAAATGAGTGAACAAAGCAGATGGCGGGGACCTTTGGCACTGTGCATCGTTTTGATGTTGTGGGATTTGTTCTTATTCTTTTATCCCAGCTGAGCATCCACCTACAGTGTCTTGTGCTAAAGTTGGATTTTCCTCTCTGCACCTCCTGCCTATTCTTCAGTGACCAAAACAGTTCTTTTCGGGCTATGATGGTTGTACGTGGAATGAATATCTCCTGGTGAAAACTTACTAGGGAAATAAGTCACTACCAAAGTAGATCGTCTGGGGCAGAGATGCTCCTCTTGTCCTGGGGGTTTACACTGATTTGCCTCTTGGCTGTGTCAGGGCCAAGGAATCCCTTGAGCTTTACCTCAGCTTTTTACAATCTATGGTTCCACAACTGTTTGATGCAGATCTAAAATTCTAAAATCTTGTTATCTGAGTCTAGTTATGGACTGTGATCCTGTGGTTTAATGACAACTGGTATCCCAGAATTGGTGGGCCAGAGGCCTTCTTTCAACGTCTTTTAATCTCAGAGCTCAATTACTGAACAGCGGAAGTCGCCCTTGGTCTTCCAGCCTGTGGAGGTCACAAATACATTTGGTTTTTACTTAACGTGCATGATGAAATGTTGTTGGCAAGGCTTTTAAGGAGTTTTCATCAGTCTTATTCTTTCATTCATTATTCAACAAATATTTACAAAGTGCCTCCTATGGATCAGACACTGTTCTAGGCTGGAGACAGCGATGAACAAAACAATAAAAATCCCTGCCAGGCCAGGCCAGGCCAGGCCAGGTGCAGTGGCTCACGCCTATAATCCTAATATTTTAGGAGGCTGAGATGAGAGGATCACTGAAGACCAGAGTTTGAGACCAGCCTGGCCAACATAGTGAGACCCTGCGTCTTAAAAAAAAAAAAAAAAAAAAGGTGAGGAGGGGGCATACTGGCTCACATTTGTAGTCCCAGCTGACAGGGAGGCTGAGGTGGGGGTACTGCTTGAGCCCAGGAGGTCAGGACTGCAGTGAGCTGTGACCATGCCACTGCACTCCAGCCTGGTGCAGAGTAAGACTCTATCTCAAACAACAACAACAACAACAAAAACCCCGGCCGGATGCAATGGCTCATGCCTGTAATCCCAGCACTTTGGGAGGCTGAGGTGGGCAGATCATGAGGTCAGGAGATCGAGACCATCCTGGCTAACACAGTGAAACCCCATCTCTACTAAAAATACAAAAAATTAGCTGGGTGTGGTGGCATGTGCCTGTAGTCCCAGCTACTCAGGAGGCTGAAGCAGGAAAATCACTTGAACCCAGGAGGTGGAGGTTGCAGTGAGCCCAGATCGCACCACTGCACTCCAGCCTTGGCGACAGAGTGAGACTCCATCTCAAAAAACAAACAAACAAAAAAAGCCTTGCCATTGTGGAAATTTAATTGTATTTATCACATATCAGAAAGTGATGAGTGCTGTGTTATTAAAACACAGCAGAGAAAGTGGCCCAGGAATGCAGAGGCTGCTGTTTTCAAGAAGGTGGCCACAGCAGGTGAGAGGTGGATGGAGCAGGCAGGGGGGTAGGGCTACTGCTCAGGCTCCCCTTACTACCAGGAGAAGGACAGGGCAAAGCACGAGATTATTTCAGAGACTACAATGTGGATTCAACAAACATTTAAATAGCTTCTGTGCTCCAGAGTCTTCCATGGTCCATACTTCCTTTAATCCTCACATTAAGCTGGTGCAGTCAGCATCATGGTTATTTACAGTCGAGAACATGGAGCTTCAGAGCACTTAAGAGACCTGAGCAAGAATGCAAAACCGCTGAGGGACCGAGCCTGGATGTCAAACCTGTCCTCTGATTCTTTAAGGCCAGTGGAAAATGCCCTTTGCATTGCTGCCAGCTCCTTTATTCACTCAATAGATAGTCATTCATCCCTTATCATGTTTAAAAACATCTGGGGCACAGTGAAAAGTCTAATTTTGCCAATTACTTAACCTCTTTGCGTCTCCTTTCCCCACCTGTAAAACAGTAAGATCACACTCCTCACTTCACAGGTTCATAATTATTTGATTAAATAAACAAATATATGAACAGCACCTTTCAGGGAGTCCACACATGTCAGTGTCTTTCCTTCTTTAAAAGACTGGGCTGACCTATTGGCTGTGCACTGTGGTCTTAACCAGCAATGATCTGGGCCCGGGACCCCAGGATGTGTGTTCAGATTCTGTCTCGACCTCTTACTTGCTGGGTGTCCTTGAGAAGATTACTTAACCACTCAGAACCTTGTTTCTTCATCTATAAAGTTTGGAGAATAGGATAGTTCTCAACCTCAACAGGTTCTTGTGAAAAGTAAATAAGTTAATGTATGCCCTCACTTGTAGAACCTGCCTGTCTCATTGTAGAGCTCTAGAAACGTTGCCCATTGCTATTGTTGTGGGACTATGTACAGGTCACTTTTCCTCCGTGAAATGTAAATTTCTCAGATGTAAAATAGGGGAAGTTGACCGCTTCTAAAGAGCCTTATGGAGCATTGGGAGATCAATCACCATAGAAGAGAATCCAGAAAGAGAATGTCTGTGAGGCCACCAGCCACATCCTGGGGCCGGGGAAGGTGTCCAATAAACAATAGCTATTACTGGTATTGCTGCCAAGGAGATCAGGTAATGGGATTGGGACAGTGGAGTGCAGGCCTGATCATTCAGCCCCCTTCTCTCCCCTCATTCTCAATTCCTTTCAGAGACTTGGGCTTCTCTATTACCCTCACACCCTTCTTGTCCTGCCCATATTTCTTTCAAGGACTAAGCTCCCCAGGCCGATTCTGCCCATCAGCAGGCAGGTGGACTGTGGTTTCTTGTGATTGGGAATAGGTCCAGGTTCCGGTTGCCGCCTTGAGCTAACAGGGACCAGAAACCTCAGTTATGTAATGACACTATCTCTTTCACTCTTTGGTGATCTCTTGGCCTTCACTCTTTTGGCTAGGTATCAGAGACATCTCCTCTGTCTCCATCAGGTTGTTTTTCCATGGAATTAAGGCGTGTATCTGTCCACTGATAGGGGTGTTTTCTCTCACACCCTGTCCTTAAACATAGTCAGTCCCTACCACAATCTAGTTGCCTCGTTTACTCCTGTCAGGACCCCCAAGCAGATATCTTTTCCTTTCAGGATGGCCCCTTTCATCTATCCCCAGTTGGCTTTAAATGTGTGAAGAGGGGGACCCAGTGGGGTGACCATAAGGGTTGGGTCATCTCATCCATTCCCCTCATCCAACTTTATCACCGAAATGAAAGCTTCCCATCTCCTTACTCTACCCATCCTCCATTCTTCTTATACATCTCTCACTCACAATTTGTGTCTACCTGCTAATCCCTATGGGAAGTTCTGCCAGAGGTCTTACCTCAATTTCTCACACTGTTACATTTGGGATGGTGTTAGAATGTTATGGAAAGGTGAAGAGTCTAACGTTTACTCCTGGTCTTCTCAGCTATGCCATAGAAAGAAGACTCCATTCCATAAGTTACAGACCCTAAAGGGGCACCTGCACAGTAAAATGCTAGTCCATACATGCCCTCAAAACCTTACCATTGGATAGGCATGGCAGGGAGTGGAGGTCGGCAGGCACGCAAACAACTGTAACGTGAAGTTGAAGGTAACAGGACAGAATGGTGAATAAAGACCTTTTCAAGCACTGAAATGAAGCTGGATTTTATCTGCTTAGACGGATCAGAAAAGATGCCTTAAAGCCAGAAGGCCTTGAGATGGAGAGTTGAGGAGATGTGGAAGGGGATGAGGTGGCATGCTTGCTGAAGGCACAGCCTGAGCCTAGGGGCTGGAGGTGAGAATGGGGAATAGATATCATAGTATTCAGAGGAGACTGGCTGGGGAGTCATATCAGGGGGAACAAAGAGATCCCCTAGAGAAGGAGGTGGGAAGGGGGAGTTGGAGAAGAACATGGGGGAAGTTTCTTATTTGCCTCTCTCCCTCCACAGGTGCTACTACATTCCAAGAATATCAGAAAACTGGGGAACTCTCAACATCCGATCACATATTTCCCCTCACTCCAGGCCTTGTTTATAGTATCCCTTTTGATCACATTGTTCTGCATTCAGGACAAAGACCTCCAGAGCTCCCTAAATCTACAGAAATCCATGAGCAAAAACGCCACTGCAACACCACACGCCATTCTAAGCCAACTGACAAGCCTACAGGCAACTCCAAAACTATAGACCACAAAAGCTCTACAGATAATCATGAGGCTCCTCCCACTTCTGAAGAAAACTCCAGCAACCAAGGGAAAGACCCAATGATCCGGAACCAGCGCTCTGTTGATCCTGCTGACTCCACTACCACACATAAAGAATCCGCTGGAAAAAAACATATAACGCCAGCACCCAAGAGCAAAATAAACTGTCGTAAGTCCACAACAGGCAAATCAACGGTAACAAGAAAATCAGATAAAACTGGAAGACCTTTGGAAAAGTCCATGAGTACTTTGGATAAGACAAGTACCAGCTCACATAAGACTACAACTTCCTTCCACAACTCAGGCAATTCACAGACCAAGCAAAAAAGCACATCTTTTCCAGAAAAAATCACAGCAGCCTCAAAAACAACATACAAGACCACAGGAACCCCAGAAGAGTCAGAAAAAACTGAAGATTCCAGAACAACAGTTGCCTCAGACAAGCTCCTGACAAAAACTACAAAAAACATACAAGAGACCATATCAGCCAATGAGCTCACACAATCTCTAGCAGAGCCTACAGAACATGGAGGAAGGACAGCCAATGAGAACAACACACCATCCCCAGCAGAGCCTACAGAAAATAGAGAAAGGACAGCCAATGAGAACACCACACTATCCCCAGCAGAGCCTATAGAAAATAGAGAAAGGACAGCCAATGAGAACACCGCACCATTCCCAGCAGGGCCTACAGAAAATAGAGAAATGACAGCCAATGAGAATACCACACTATTCCCAGCAGAGCCTACAGAACATGGAGAAAGGACAGCCAATGAGAACACCACACCATCCCCAGCAGAGCCTACAGAACATGGAGAAAGGACAGCCAATGAGAACACTACACCATCCCCAGCAGAGCCTACAGAACATGGAGAAAGGACCCCATTTGCCAATGACAAAACCACATCATCCTCAGCAGAGTCTACAGAACATGGAGAAAGGACCCCACTGGCCAACGAGAACACCACACCATCCCCAGCAGAGCCTACAGAAAATAGAGAAAGGACAGCCAATGAGAACACCACACCATCCCCAGCAGGGCCTACAGAAAACAGAGAAACGACAGCCAACGAGAAGACCACACTATCCCCAGTAGAGCCTACAGAAAATAGAGAAACAACAGCCAATGAGAAGACCACACCATCCCCAGCAGAGCCTACAGAAAATGGACAAAGGACCCCATTTGCCAATGAGAAAACCACATCATCCTCAGCAGAGCCTACAGAACACGGAGAAAGGACCCCACTGGCCAATGAGAACACCACACCATCCCCAGCAGAGCCTACAGAAAATAGAGAAAGGACAGCCAATGAGAAGACCACACCATCCCCAGCAGAGCCTACAGAAAATGGAGACAGGACTCCTTTGGCCAATGAGAAGACCACGCCATCTCTAGCAGAGCCTACAGAAAATGGACAAAGGACCCCATTTGCCAATGAGAAGACCACATCATCCTCAGCAGAGCCTACAGAACACGAAGAAAGGACTCCACTGGCCAATGAGAACACCACACCATCCCCGGCAGAGCCTACAGAAAATAGAGAAAGGACAGCCAATGAGAACACCACACCATCCCCAGCAGGGCCTACAGAAAATAGAGAAATGACAGCCAACGAGAAGACCACACTATTCCCAGCAGAGCCTACAGAAAATAGAGAAAGGACAGCCAATGAGAAGACCACATCATCCCCAGCAGAGCCTACAGAAAATGGACAAAGGACCCCATTTGCCAATGAGAAAACCACATCATCCTCAGCAGAGCCTACAGAACACGGAGAAAGGACCCCACTGGCCAATGAGAACACCACACTATCCCCAGCAGAGCCTACAGAAAATAGAGAAAGGACAGCCAATGAGAAGACCACACCATTCCCAGCAGAGCCTACAGAAAATAGAGAAAGGACAGCCAATGAGAACACCACACCATCCCCAGCACAGCCTACAGAAAATGGAGACAGGACTCCATTGGCCAATGAGAAGACCACACCATCTCTAGCAGAGCCTACAGAAAATGGAAAAAGGACCCCATTTGCCAATGAGAAGACCACATCATCCTCAGCAGAGCCTACAGAACACGCAGAAAGGACTCCACTGGCCAATGAGAACACCACATCATCCCCAGCAGAGCCTACAGAAAATAGAGAAAGGACAGCCAATGAGAAGACCACACAATTCCCAGCAGAGCCTACAGAAAATAGAGAAAGCACAGCCAATGAGAAGACCACACCATTCCCAGCAGAGCCTACAGAAAATAGAGAATGGACAGCCAATGAGAACACCACACTATCCCCAGCAGAGCCTACAGAACATGAAGAAATGACCCCATTGGCCAATGAGAAGACCACACTATCCCCAGCAGAGCCTACAGAAAATGGAGAAAGGACCCCATTTACCAATGAGAAGACCACACCATCCTCAGCAGAGCCTACAGAACATGGAGAAAGGACCCCACTGGCCAATGAGATCACCACACCATCCCGAGCAGAGCCTACAGAACATGGAGAAAGGATAGCCAATGAGAAGGCCACACCATCCCCAGCAAAGCCTACAGAACATGGAGAAACGACAGTCAATGAGGACACCACACCATCCTCAGCAGAGCCTACAGAAAATGGAGAAAGGACCCCACTGGCCAATGAGAACACCACAACATCCCCAACAGAGTCTACAGAACATGGAGAAAGGACAGCCAATGAGAAGACCACACCATCCCCAGCAGAGCCTACAGAACATGGAGAAAGGACACCATCAGCCAATGAGAAGACCATACCATCTCCAGCAAAGCCTACAGAACACGAAGAAATGACCCCATCGGCCAATGAGAACACCACACCATCCCCAGTAAAGCCTACAGAACATGGAGAAAAGACTACATTGGCCAATGAGAAGATCACACTATCCCCAGAAGGGCCTACAGAACATGGAGCAAAAACTACGTCGGCCAATGAGAAGATCACACCATCCCTAGCAAAGCCTACAGAACATGGAGAAAGGACCACATCACCCAATGACAAGATCACCTCATCTGCAGCAGAGTCTACAGAACATAGAGATAGGGCTACATCAGCCAATGTGATCACACCAGCCCCAGCAGAGCCTATAAAACATGCAAAAAGGACCACATTGGCCCATGAGAAGATGACACAAGTCACAGAAAAGTCCACAGAACACCCAGAAAAGACCACGTCAACCACAGAGAAAACCACAAGAACCCCAGAAAAGCCTACGCTATACTCAGAGAAGACCATATGCACCAAAGGGAAAAACACACCAGTCCCAGAAAAGCCTACAGAAAACCTGGGGAACACCACACTGACCACTGAGACCATAAAAGCCCCAGTAAAGTCCACAGAAAACCCAGAAAAAACAGCAGCAGTCACAAAGACTATAAAACCTTCAGTCAAGGTCACAGGAGACAAATCTCTCACTACTACCTCTTCTCATCTAAATAAAACTGAAGTTACTCATCAGGTGCCCACTGGTTCTTTCACCCTCATTACATCTAGAACGAAGCTGAGTTCTATCACATCAGAAGCCACAGGAAACGAGAGCCATCCATACCTCAATAAAGATGGCTCACAGAAAGGTATCCACGCTGGACAGATGGGAGAGAATGATTCATTCCCTGCATGGGCCATAGTTATTGTGGTCCTGGTGGCTGTGATTCTCCTCCTGGTGTTCCTTGGCCTGATCTTCTTGGTAAGGGACAGATGTGCCCCACAGAAATCAACCTATGGGATAGGGAATTGAGGATACATTAGGGGTCAGAGTTACAGGGAATAATGAGTCTAGGAAAAGAGACATGGCAGAAGTGGGAGGAACAGTAATAGAGGGAGAGTTTTGGTGAAAACTAAGGAGAAAGACAATAAATACACAGGAGGTAAAAAGCTGGAATTGGGGACAAGGCTGTGGCTGAGAATGAAAGGGTGTGAAAGAGAAAGTGTGGGGGGTGGAGAGTCTGGGGTATGAGAATAGGAGGTGTAAAGACAAGGAGAATATGGTAGAGTGGGGAACTGGAGATGGAGCTGGGACTCATTGTATTGGACCTGGAGCTGGAATAAACATCAAGGTTTGGATGGAATCTTGAGAATAGAATCAAGACCTGAGGTGAGTGTTGTGGAAAACAAATCGCAGATGGTTCTCATTCCTCCTTTCTCATCCCAATCACAGGTCTCCTATATGATGCGGACACGCCGCACACTAACCCAGAACACCCAGTACAATGATGCAGAGGATGAGGGTGGCCCCAATTCCTACCCGGTCTACCTGATGGAGCAGCAGAATCTTGGCATGGGCCAGATCCCTTCCCCACGGTGATCTTGGAGTAGGCGCCCAGCCCTGGCTCTTCCATGCTCTGCCCCTTTCCTGGATGAGGAACCGGACTCACAATTTCTATTTCCGGGACTACAGGAAGGGCAGAGAATACTGACGGTTACCAGTATTAACCCTTCATCTGTTCTTGAAACTGGTTGGGGAATGAGGTGATAAGCAAGGAGGGTGTAAGTTTAGGGGACAAAGAAGAAAGAATGAATAATACGAGCAGACATTCTCTGTAGAAGGTAATGGTCTGAGAATGAAAAGGTGTTTGATGGACATGTTGTGGGGGCACCAATGCAGAACACTGCACTGAGTCCTAAAGGAAGGACAGGAGCCTTATAGGCAATGCCCCAGACTGACTTGTGAGTGGGGTTTATGGGGAAAGGGAGGGACTGAGGGCAGAGTCTCTGGGTTTCAGGACAGCATTATGTTATTTCCATTCACTATTACTTAAGAGTTTGTGTGTAAACAGGCTCATCTCTGAGTTCTCAGGACCCTTGCCCCCACCCCCATTTTTTTAATGAAAAAAAAAAACAAAAAAAACGGATCCAAGAAGAAAAGAGAATTTATTTCCTTCTCCACTCTCTCCATGCCCTGGAGAAAAAAAAGTCCAGAAGAAATCATAAATATCTCTCATCTACATGGTTGCTTCCTCTTCCTCCCAAATCCCTTAGTTTTCCTAAATGTCTACAGTGGACGCCCTGTTGGTTTGGCTTGCTGGGTTGTGGGTGGACACGCAAGGAGGGGATTTTTATTTGGCCAGCAGTCTCACCCACTGATCTCCACCCCAGACCTTCCCTGATTGGTGTCTCAGCATTTATTTTCCTGTCTCTTCCACCAAAAGCCAGCTGTAGCTTTATCTCGTAAAAGTTACCCATCTTCTCTACTGTCCCCATTCTCTCTCCTCCCACCTTCACCCCAGATTCAAGTTTTCCTCCTTGTAGGCATTTCATCTGTGTGTGTTTTCTGGATTTTCTCTCTCTCTTCTTATGGCCATTTCACCTTATTACTGATTGGGTAGAGGGGGAAAAGGAGAATGATGATGATAGTTTCCTTCTGTCTATTGACCTTTTTTATAATAAAGTATAACATGTTTATAAAGGGCATCATAGTTATTAGACTATCCATTGGGAGAAAGTTCTGACTGGCGTTCCTGGCTCTGGCTGAGACCTTACAGAAGTGGAGGAGACAGAGGAGCTGGAGGGCAGGACTGGCAATCTATGGAGGGTCAAGAAAGGGGAGGCTGAATTTCTATTGCTCCAAAAATGGCTCCTTTCTGGGTTTAGGTAAGAGCCAGCCTCAGTCCAGGCTGGGTTTATTTGCATGGTGACAAAATGAGTAGAAAAACCTGTCAATTAATAAGCAAGTATTTTAAAGCAACTATTATATACTCTGTTGAGGATATAAAGAAGTATAAGACATAGTTCTCACCTGAGACACAAAGACAGGAAAATTAAAATTAAATAATTCAACAAGAGTTGTCACAAGTTAGGTGCTATATAGAATAAAACAACACCCTAATTCATTAAGCCCAACTCCGTGAGCATCTACTATGCCCCCTATTTATGTTAGGACACCAGCCCTGCTCCAAAACCGTTGTGTGCCCATGTCAGTCCCAACAGAAACCTCCCATCACCCATGCAGCCTTGGCTCTCTTACCAGAGTATGGCATCATCACTAATTGAACAGGTGCCCCAGTTTGCTGCCAGGCTCCTAAACGTAACTCCATCCAGAATCAAACAGCAGGGCCACAGGTCACTCGCTATCTGCTCCTTTGGGCATCCCCATTTGCTGAAAGCTGGAAACCTATCATGGTCAGTAATCCCAACCCTGACACTGATGTCACTGAACTATCTGGCCCTGGCTGGGCTGGGAAGGCCCTTATTACTGAATCTCCCACCAGAGACCCGCTCTGCTAAAGGCAAGATTGAAGCTTGACTCTCAGAAAGCAGACATGCCAGATGCCAGAGGGACCCAGACTTAGGCCCCTGGAGAAAGGAGGCAGAGGGACACCTGGGTTCTGGAAGGGGCTGGAGAGCCCTCGAGAAAAGGAGGAAGATGCCTGGATTTTAGTTGTCTGGGTAGACGGTGACTCAGCCTGTGGCATCTGCCAGGACAGGAGTGTCTCTCTGCCCTGGGAGGGATGCAGAAACCCCTAAACTCAGCCTGGACCCCAATTCAAAAACAAAACGAAATAAAAACATCTCTGCCTCTAGAGTCCTAAACATCCAACCGGACAGACCCCTCCCCTATCAAGACACCAAAATGCAGCACTGGAGGTCAAAGGGTGTATAAGGGGGATGGGGAGGTTCTTCGCCCGGCAAAGGCGGACTGTGGGCCCTGGGGCGCGGCGGGTGTCTCCCTCCCACTTTCCTCTCTATTCCCCGCTAATTATCACTTTGAAATCTAGGCGGAAATCCTTTAACAAGCTCCGGGGCTGGGCCCTCATTAGGGATAATTACTTAATCAGTAGGACGGGAGGGAATGCGCTCCCCCAGCCCTCGGGGAGTACACCTCGGGGGGAGCGAGTGCCCCGAGGGCAGGAGGCTGCCGGGGCGCCGGAAGCTGCTGTCCCGGCGGAGTCGCAGCGGGGGCTCCGGTTCCCCGAGACTGCGGCCCTCCCTCGTTCCTCCAGGTTCCGCTTTGCGGGCGGCTTCTGATCTCTTGCGGACAGCTCAGATTAGTGGCTCGAGGCCGCCGCCCCCGCAGCGCCCCAGCCCTACTGCGCCGAATCCCCTCCTCCCAGCCCCCAGCCCCCAGGGAGGGGCCTGGACTGACGGGCCTGGGCGTAGCTCCTACCCCCGTGACATTGGCCATAAAACTGACACCCGTTTGTGCTGTGCTTTCACGTACATCGCACCTGTGATCCTCCGATCACCCTGCGAGTTACGAGGCCTGCTTTACAAGCCTTATAAGAAGTTACAGACCTTATAAGAGTTCTTATAAAGCTTGCTTTACAGATGAGAAAACCGAGGCTCAGAGAAGAGCCCTGTTCAAACCCACACGGCTCCTATGGAACAGAAGGCTTGCTTTATTTTCTCCAAGCCTCAATTTCACTTTGTTCCTCAGTGGAGCCAGGTTCTCTGACACCAAGGCAGCCCCACCTGGACGGGTGGGATGTTACAGGGACCACCTAAGGAACAGGGTGTAATTGAGATTTGCACGAGGGTGTCCAGCCCCTTCTTCCAGAGTCCAGGCCTCCCTTTCCAGCTCCTTGAACGTCCAGAGTCTTCTTCTGGCCTCACTGCCAGTATCCCAGGTCAGGGTTTTTTCTGCCAGCCTCTGTCCCCGGAGACACATTAACTGGCCTCATAGTCACAGGCTCTGCATCCTCCCCTCACAGTGCCCAGCTGTCCCTGGAGAGGTGCTGGCAAAGTAAGAAGATCCAATGATTTGGGACACAGTCACCTTCATTTTTCTCCCCTCTGCCTCCTACAAAGGCCTCTGTCCCAGAAATGAGACATCCCAGAGAAAACAGGTTTCTGCTGACCTCTGGCTGGGAGGGTGGGTCTCCTCTCCTCCCACAGATGTGATTCCCTTGTTCTCTCCCGCTCCCTCCTTCTTCCCTCATATTGTCATGGCCTTAAGATACCCCTCCCTGGAGAGGGAGCGTCCAGAAGTTACGGCCTCCCCTGCCTGGTGGCAACTATAAATGCCACAGCTATGGTCAAGTGAGAAAAGAAATTAAGCCAGACATATTGTGGGAGCAACCCTCAGAACCCAGGAATCCAGCATTCCCAGTCCCCACTCACCACTGTCTTGGAACCTACCCCAACTGATCTTACTCCTCCCAGAACCCTGCCCCTGGCAAGCTTTTAATTCTTCCTGCAACTTCATGTCCCATTGAGACACCAGGCATCAAGGCCCCCTCTGGAGCCCATCTGCCCTCTAGAACCCAGGCATTCTAGATAACAACTTCCCACATGGATTATTTCAAGATGAGGTGAGGGAAATTACCTCCCACCTCCTGCATCCAGGTGATGCTTCTCTTTGGAATCTTGAGACTGGTAAGTGAATTATCCATCAATCGGAGAAGACACTGAGGCCACAAAAAGTCTGAAGGAGACAAGGGTTCCTGTCCCAGGCATTCTGTTTGCTTTTCTTATTCTCATTCTTTTGCAAAAGCAAAAAGCAAGCAAAGATGATGAACTTCTTTTTTGCCCCTTTCTGCAAAAGCCAGTACTAACCTTAACCCCCACTAACCACGATTTTGACCCCCAACTTCACCTTGCAGCAAACCCACCTTCATCTTCCCCTTCCAATGCTCCGCTGTAAGCATGAACACAAATAATAGCTGTGTTGTATTTCCTTAGAATCCCGGGTTTAACGGCTGCTCAACAAATGCTTTGTATCTAACTTGAAAATTCTAGTTTCAATATCATCTTTAAATATTTATTAGAGCTAGGCTCCAAGTCTAAAGCCAAGTGAAATGAAAATATCACTTCCAGAAATACTGCCTAAATTAAAATCCTCAGTAGGGCTTTCATAATCCCCGGATAGAGACAGGGAGGGATCCTTCGGATCCCAGGGATACGGGAACTGTGGGTGATATTAGCCTGAAGAGAAGTACAATCCAAATTCCTGTCTTCCTAGCCATTTCACCTGACTTCTCTCCACCTGACTTCTCTCCTTGGTCCCTTCAATGTTTCAAGTTTCTCTGCCTAATGACTACAACCCAATGTCAGGCAGATTTATAAAGCCCCTTCGCTTCCACTGTAGGATGGAATGCCATAAAAAGGGAGCAAGGAGACAGTTGTGGAATTGGAATAAACAGAAACAGCCCTAGGCTGAATGAACAGGAGGCTGCTTTGTGGTGGCTTCTTTGATGTCTGTTTCCTGCATCCTCTCTCTGCTCTCTTATCCCAGGCACTCTCCTGGAGACCCTGCCTTGCACATCCTGTTCTTTTCCTCCTCCCTGCGTCTCTGTGAGCTTGTTCATTTTAAGAGGCCCAAATTATTACTGCAACAGGCAACTTCCAAACTCATATTAAGTCTACCTTGGCTCTGAAATCCAGTCCTTTATTTTCAATTTTTTTTCAATAATATCTTCACTTGGATGTCACATCATATCAAACGTGACATTCACGTGTTCATCTGGCAAACATTTTTTGAGCATCTACTCTGTGCTAGTTCTGAAGATAAATCAGTGAACAAAACAGCAACAGGCCCTGCCTTCAGGGAGCTCACAGTTCACTAGGAAAGGCAGAGATCACACAAAGAAGGCATATAATAAAAGAGAGGCACAAGTGTGCAAAATACTGTCAGGACCCACCTCGTCTTCCCACCATCAAGTCTAAAAAGCCGCCTTCATCAGCATCCATTCTCCCCTGCTAACATTGGAGTGTTCGTGCATCTTGGCTCTGGCTCCCCCATCCCACACCTCCTGCCTTCTTCATGGGCTTCTTCCCCTTCCAGTTTTTCCTTCTCCTTCTACAGGGTCCTTCCCAACACCAGCCAAATAAGCCCTAAGCAGTGTGCACAGGAAGCACCCAGAGGAGAGTATTTTTAAAAAGTAGATTTCTAAAGACCCGGCACGGTGGCTCATGCGTATAATCCCAGCACTTTGGGAGGCTGAGGTGGGCGGATCACGCCAGGAGTTTGAGACCAGCCTGGACAACATAGCGAAACCCCGTCTCTACTAAAAATACAAAACTTAGCCAGGTGTGGTGGTGCACACCTGTAATCTCAGCTACTTGGGAGGCTGAGGCAGGGGAATCACTTGAACCTGGGAGGCAGAGGTTGCAGTGAGCTGAGATCACACCAGTGCACCCCAGCCTGGGTGACAGAATGAGATGCTGTCTCAAAAAAATAAAAAATAAATAAATAAAATGGAGATGGCCACTGGATGCAGTGGTTCAGGCCTGTAATCCCAGCACTTTTGGAAGACAAGGTGGGAGGATTGCCCAAAGCTAGGAGTCAGAGACCTGCCTGGGCGACATTGCGAGACACTGTCTCTATTAAAAAAAAAAAAAAAAAAATTAACAAGTTCCCCAGGCACTCCTGATGTGGTCCAGGGACACACTTTGGAAAGCTCTGCTCTGCTGGCAGCCATCTTCACAGACCCCCACCCACATCTTCTCAGCCTTGCCCCCATCAGCTCCCCTTCATCACCAAGCCTCTTGAAACAATCCCCTACAAACACTATCTTCATGTCCTTATCTCCTACTCTCTGTGTGTATGTATTTTCTCTGCAAGTTTTACCAGAGCAATCCATGTAAATAGTTTAAAGAGTCCAATAGTTCCATAGATTTATTGCAAAAACTAGCACGGATGCACCCTCCCCCTTTTCATGTCCAATTCCTGTTCTCCAGAGGAGACGACTTTTAACTTTTAGCTTTTTATCCCAGTATTTGCAAGTGCAGATTTAAACATCATGCCCATATTGTATTGCAATTCATAGATTTTTTTTAATGAGACCTTAAATTGCGTCTTTTATTGGACTAAAGAATATTGTAAGTCTCAAAATAGCTTCCTGTCCCAATCTCACCTCTGAAAGGACTTACTAATTTAAATATATCTACTATGAACTGAACAGTGTCCCCCCTAAATATGTTTAAGTCTTTTTTCTATTTTTTTTTTGAGACAGGGGCTTGCTCTGTCATCCAAGCTGGAGTGTAGTGGCACAATCATAGCTTGCTGCAGCCTTGACCTCCTGGGCTCAAGCGAGCCTCCCATCTCAGCACTCACCCCTCCCAGAGGCTGCCACCATGCCCAGCTAATTAGTTTTGTTTTAAATTTTAGTAGAGACCATATCTCACTATGTTGCCCAGGCTGGTCTTGAACCCCTGAGCTCAAGTGATCCTCCTGCCTTGGCCTCCCAAAGTGCTGGGATTATAGGCATGAGCCACCGTGCCCGGCTCATATGTTGAAGTCTTAATCATCAATGTGACTATATCTGAAGATAGGGTCTTTAGGAAGTAATTAAAGTTAATGGGGTCATAAGAGTGGTGCCCGAATTCAATGGGACTGTGGCCTTATCAAAGGAGAAAGAGAGTTCTTTCTGTCTTCACTATGTGAGGACACAGCAAGAAGGCAGCCATCTGCAATCCAGAAAGGAGCCCTGACAAGGAACCAAGTTGTCCAGTACCTTAACCTTGGACTTCCCAGCCTTCAGAACTGTGAGAAGACAAATTACCATTGTTTAAGCCACCCAGTTTGTGGTATTTGCTATAGCAGTCCAAGGTGATTAAGACAGTATCCAATATCATGGAGGGATAAATTTTCTTTTCAAAACAAAACTAAAAATATTTTTTAATTCTAATTTTTAAAAATCAGTAAACTTCATTTTAGCAGTAATCATAAAATAAAATGCAAAGGAAATTCTCTAAGTTACATGACTCGAGAGAAAATATCCATATCTATTGTTTCTGTTGTTTAAAACATAATTTATCTAGAATTTGGCTCATAAGTTTTAAAACAAACTGTATGAAAATATGACAGTGCATTTACTGTTAACTCCTGCTTATGTTTTAGAAAGCTCTTATGGAAAGAAAAAAAAAATGCTTTCCAGGTAGCAGACACAGATAGGTTATTTGGGGAATTGATAACTAAAAATTAGAGTCTTATTTTTTATTTTTTATTTTTTTGAGACGGAGTCTTGTTCTGTTGCCCAGGCTGGAGTGCAGTGGTGCGATCTTGGCTCACTGCAACCTCTGCCTCCCAGGTTCAGGCAATTCTTCTGCCTCAGCCTCCCGAGTAGCTGGGATTACAGGCATGCACCACCACACCTGGCTAATTTTTTTTATTTTTAGTAGAGACGGGGTTTCACCATGTTGGCCAGGCTGATCTTGAACTCCTGACCTCAGGTGATCCACCGACCTCGGCCTCCCAAAGTTCTGGGATTATAGGCATGAGCCACCATGCCCAGCCTTAGAGGCTTTATTAGCATTCAAAACCATGGATGCAATGAAGTGTGGAGTACTCTTAAACAAGCTCCAAGTCCATGAAATGCCGTGTCAGAATTTTTCCTTTCCTTTTTGCATAGCAAAGTACTTGCACAATCCCAAATATTTGTCTTCCTGAGCAGCAGCTACAAAGATGATGCCACCAGGCTTGGCCAGGGTAGCTGCTGATTTTCCCTTCTTCCTCCTCCTCTTCTCCTCCTCCTTTTTCTTCTAATTCTTCCTCCTCTTCCTCTTCTCTCTCCCTCTCTGCTTTCTCCTCCGCCTTCTTATTTTCTTAACCATGATAAAATATACATAACTTACAATACATCATTTTAGCCATTTATAAGAGTAAAGTTTAGTATCATTAAGTACATTCATGTGGTTGTGCAACCATCCCTGGTAATTTCTTCTTGATTCTCTGTCCCGGAACTACTAAACTCAGGCTGGGTTTAGCATAATCGTTGCCTGTGTACTTGAAAAGTGGAGAGTTGCTGACCTCTGATGGGTAGCTTGGTCTTGCTGGGCAAACCCTTCTGGAAGCTGTTCTAGCACAGCTCAGCCACCACTTGCACGGACTCCTGCTGTGCTGGAGCTCTCCTGACACAGCTTTCCCAGCTGCACAGTCGTTGCTATGTAGAGGAACTAATACTTGAGCGACTATTTTCTTATAGTTGGATAACTCTGTTTCCTTATAAATATTTTTCTTTATAAATAGAGAGTGCTGTCCCATCAATCCTGCATCCTTATACTAGCAGTCCTGAGGCTTTTCCTAACTGTTCAGCTGCCTGTTGAGGCATTCCACATTTTTAAATGCATTGCTGTTTGTTGGTATAACCGTACAGCCTTTTCTGGGTCTACATTTTCTCTGAGCTTTCCAGCTTGCTCCAATGCCTCTGAGGTTGCTGTGTCAGTGCTGCTGTTTTTTAGATCCATCAAAGGCTGGGATTTCTGCATTTCCTTCAACATTGTGTCAACTAGGTTGGGCGCGGTGGCTTACGCTTGTAATCCCAGCACTTCGGGAGACTGAGGTGGGCGGATCACTTGAGGTCAGGAGTTCATGGCTAACATGGTGAAACCATCTCTACTAAAAATATAAAAGTTAGCCGGGCGTGGTGACGTGTGCCTGTAGTCCCAGCTACTCAGGAGGCTGAGGCAGGAGAATCACTCAAACCCAGGAGGCGGAGGTTGCAGTGAGCCGAGATCACACCACTGCACTCCAGCCTGGGCAAAAAGAGTGAAACTCCATTTAAAAAAACAAAACAAAACAAAACAAAAACAAGAAAACATTGTGGCAATTTGCTCAGAAGCGCTACTTTTCCATATTCAGAAGGGCACTGTCACAGTACGGCTTCCATTTTGAAAAACCAGTCTGCAGGTATTTCTTTGCTTTGGGCCTCTCATTTCTTTTTTGGTCCTGCACATGGTCCTGCATGGAGGACAGGAGGGACTTTTCCTTTTGGCCCCTGAAAGAGTCCCAGTCAGCTATGCATAGGTTTTTCATTTCGGACATCATCCATTTACTTATTCATGGTCTCTCTCCCTTATTTGAATATAAGCTCTGTATCAACTTTTCAATCACTGTATCCCATGCCTGGCACATCATGTGGCCCACAGAAGGTTCTTAAGGAATATGTTTGAATAAATGAATGAGAAGGCCTGGATGCAGAGAGTGTATATCAGAGAGAAACCCAGACTAATCCCCCAGATTCTTCTCTAATCCATTCCCAGTGCTACCACTTAATCTAGTATGTTATACTAGAAGAGTAAATAAATGAAAGTAAGAAAGACAGGAAGGAAGGAGGGAAAGAAGGAAGGAAGGGAGGGAGGGAGGAAGAAGGAAGGAAGGAAGTAAAGAAGGGAGGAAGGAATTAAAGAAGAAAGGAAGGAAGAGAAAGAAAGAAAAAGAAAGAGAGAGAAAGAAAGAAAGAAGGAAAGAGAGAGAGAGAGAGAGAGAGGGAGGGGGGAGGGGAGGGGAGGGGAAAGGAGGGGAGGGGAAGAAATCTTCCCAAGGACTTTTCCCCCTAGTATCTCCTTGTGTCTCTTTACAAACTGCCTAACTCATCAACTTTCACCACCTGAAGAGGCTGGAAAAAAGCTGGCCTCCTGTGAATTTTACACCCCGGTGCTCTCAGATGGTGGATGAGAACCTGCAGGCTCCCTTCAGGCAGGGATCGTGTGCTGAACGTCCCAAAGAGTGATGGGGGACTTGCACCAGAGTGTCTCTGCTCAAGCTGCCCTCCTATGACCTCCTTGTCACTTCCACCCAGACAAGGGGATTCTTCTGATCAGTCCAGATGACCTGGATGAAGTTTTCTTTCTTTCTTTCTTTTTTTTTTTTTTTGAGACAGAGTTTTGCTCTTGTTGCCCAGGCTGGAGTGCAATGGCACGATCTCGGCTCACTGCAACCTCTGCCTCCTGGGTTCACGCAATTCTCTTCCCTCAGCATCCTGAGTAGCTGGGATTACAGGCATGCACCACCACACCTGGCTAATTTTGTATTTTTAGTAGAGACGGGGTTTCTCCATGTTGGTCAGGCTGGTCTCGAACTCCCAACCTCAGGTGATCTGCCCGCCTTGGCCTCCCAAAGTGTTGGGATTACAGGCGTGAGCCACTGTGCCTGGCCCTGGATGAGGTTTTCAAACAACACACTTTCCCCTAATCTGATGAGACCCAACTATCCTTAGTGTTATAACACACACAGAGATAATGTGGAGCCTCCTTAACATAGGTTAGATTTTATTTCACCTAGGCAAGTACAGTTCCAAAAAACATTATGGCAGAAAGGACAAGGTGCCAAGAAGATCGATCAAATGACTCATGCACTACAGAAGCACAGCTGAATCAGCAACCGGGCCCTTAGCTGCGGAGGAAACTGCAAATGCTGAGCCTCTGAAATACATGATTCCAAATAAAAGGTAACGACACCAGCAGTTCTGCTGATGTAAAGGAAACAAGAAAGACATATGCACGATGCTCCTAATTAAATATCAAAAATGTAAAGTAGGTGTCGTATTTGACTAAAAATTGATATTTTTCAGGAAGGACTATGCCCCCAGGGCCCACTGTAGCCTTTGAGACCATGGTGGAGTCTGTGTCCACAATGGCCTCAACCACAGGCTCTGAGAGTACCTCAACCTCTGAGATCATCGCCATCTCCACCATGGACTCTGAGACCTCCATAGGCTCAGAAGCCACCACAACTATTGTTGCAGCCTCTGAGGTTACCACACCCTCCACCACAGCATCTGTGCCACTGTGGCCTCAACCACCGGCTCTGAGAGCAGCACGGCCTCTGAGATCATCACGTCCTCTACAATGTCTGTGTCAGCCACAGCCTCCAGCACAGCCTCCAGCACAGCCTCTGAGATCACCATGAGCTCTGCAGCCATCCCAGTCTCCTCCACAGCTTATGAGACCATCAGGTTCTCCACTGCAGTGTCTGAGCCAGTGACAGCCTCTATCCTGGCCCTTGAGTCCACCCTGGCCTTCACCACGGTCTCTAACACCACCACATCTTCCACAGTAACACCTGTGCCCACCACAGCTTCCACCTCAGGCTCTAAGAACACAACAGCCTGTGAGGCCACCATGTCTGAAACTACCATTGCTGCCATCACAGCCTCCGAGGACACCACAGTCTCCACTCAAACCTCTGTGATAGCTGCAGAGTCTGTGCCCCACACAGCCACCAAAACACCTACTGACACCACCACAGCATCTGTGTCCGCCACAGTCCCCAAGAACAACACACCCTCTGTGATAACATCTACACCTTCCACAGCTCCCAACACAGCCTCTAAAACCATGACCACAGCTTCCAAGACCGCCACGACCTCTACGATAACATCTCTGCCCACCACAGTCTTCACCACAACCTCTAAAATCACCGCAGGCTCTGAGATCCCCACAGCCTCCACCACAGACTCTGCGACCACTGCAATCTCCACAAAAGCCTCTGGGACAACTGTAGAGTCTGCGCCCTCTACAGCCCCTCCAACACCTGCTGAGACCACCACAGCATCTGTGCCCACCACAACCTCTACCACAGGCTCTGAGAACACCGGACACCACACAGTATCATCTGTGCCCACCACAGTCTTCGCTACAGCCTCTGAAAGCAGCACAGGCTCTGAGACCACCAGAGCTTCCACCTCTGCCACTGAAGTGACTACAGCCATGACCACAGCCATGACCACAGGTTCTGAGACTGCTGTGGTCTCCACCAAAGCTCCTGTGACAACCACACAGTCTGGGTTCTCCACAGCCACCGTAATGCCTGCTAAGACCACTACAGCGTCTGTGTCCACCACAGCCTCCACCACACTCTATCAGAATACTATAGACTCCGTGACCAAGTCTGTGCCCACCATGGACTCTACCATAGCCTCCAAGAGCACCACTCTCTCCAAGATAGTATCTGTGCCTACTGCAGTCTTTATCAAAGCGCCTGAAACCACCACAGGCTCTGAGATCACTCTGGCTTCCATCATAACCTCAGGAACCACTGCAGTCTGTGACTACATTGGCCTCTAGCAAAGATTCCGAGATCCCCACAGCCTGGATGATAACCTCTGTGCCTACTGTAGCTCCCACCTCAGCCTCTGAAACTACTGAGGCCTTCTCCACAGCCTCTGAGTCCACCACATCCTCTTTCAAAATATTTGTGTCCACCACATCCTAGCCTCCACTATGGCCTTTGAGGCCACATCAACCTCTGAGACCCCCACTACCTCCACAATAGTATCTGTGCCCACAACAACCTCCAAAATAACCTCTGAGAACACTGCAGGATTTTTATCCATGATGGGCTCTGAGACCACCACAGCCTCCACTACAAGATCTGAGACCACTACAGCCACTGAAACCTCCACGGCTTCCCTCACAGATTCTGAGACCCCCAGTGCCTCCATAATAGTATCTATGCCCACAACCGCCTCCTCCACAGACTCTGAGACCACCACAGCCTCCACTGCAATATCCACGAGCAACATGGCTGTGAGCACAGCCTCTGAGGTCACTTCAGGGTCTGGAAGCAGCATGGCTTCCACCACAGGCTCTGAGGCCACCATGCCATCCACAGCAGTATCTGTGACCTCCACAGCCTTCGCTTTGGCCTCATCGCCCTTCTTGGCCTCTACCACAGCCTCTGGGGCCACTGCAACCTCCACCACTGTCTCTGCCACTTTCGTGCCCAACAAGGTCACTGACATTTCTACTCAGACCATCACCAAAACAGTTGTGTCAGGTACTAACCCCCATGTCTTCTCTGATCACACACATTTTAATTCCAATGGCAACCACTAGCTCTTCACCTGTTTCTATCATCTCTGCCCTGTCTCAAGTCAAGCCTGTACACTGTTAGGTATCATTTCCTGGAGGGCCCCTAGAGGCGAGGTTGAGAGTGTGACCCATGAGGAGATGTACTACACTCGAAAAGAACTGCTTGAATTTTCTAATTTATATAAACAGAAATCTGGAGAACAGGCATTAGAATGGATATGAAGGGTGTGGGATAATGGTGGAAGGAACATAGAGTTAGGTCAGGCTGAATTTATTGATTTGGCCCCACTAAATAGGGACTCTGCATTTAATGTTGCAGCTTGGGGAGTTAAAAAGGGTTCTAATAGTTTATTTGCTTAGTTAGCTAAAATATGGATTAAAAGATGGCCCACTGTGAGCAAGCTGATCTCCCTTGGTTTAATGTAAATGAAGGGATCCAAAGGCTTAGGGAGATTGGGATGGTGGAGTGGATTAGTCAATTTAGACCTACTCATCCCAGCTGGGAGGGTCCAGAAGATATACCCTTGATGATGCTTTGCAAAATACATTTGTGAGGGCAGCACCTGCATATCTGAAGAGCCCTATAATTGCTCTTCTCTGTATGTCAGATCTAACAGTGGGAACCGCCGTCAGTCAACTGCAAAATTTAAATACAATGGGAATAATTGGATCCAGAGGTGGCAGGGGCCAAGTGGTAGCACTCAAACATCGAAGGCAATGTGGGTGTAGGTACCATAATGGACAGCAGAGGCAAAGTGGCAATCAGAATAGTCCAACTCATGCAGAGCTCTGGCATTGGCTAATTAATCACAGTGTTCCTAGAAGTGAAATTGATAGGAAGCCTATTGCATTCCTATTTAATTTATACAAGCAGAGAACTTCTAGGCTGAATGGACAAAAGACTAATTTGAATTATAAAAACAGAATCACGGCCCCTCAACCAATTTCCAGACTTGAGCCAGTTCACAGACCCAGATCCCCTTGAATGAACGGGAGGCCGGGTCCCCTTGAGGAAGGACCCCACTACATTACCAACAATTTGTGCAGTGAATCTTTCTCCCATCCTTCCCCAAGACCTCTGGCCTTTTACCAGGGTAACTGTGTATTGGGGAAAGGGAAATGATTAGACATTTTGGGGACTACTGGACACTGGCTCTGAGCTGGCGTTGATTCCAGGAGACCCAAAATGTCATTGTGGCCCTCCAGTTAAAGTATGGGCTTATGAGTCCGGGAGTGGTGGTTCATGCCTGTAATCCCAGCATTTTGGAAGGCCAAGGCAGGTGGATCACGAGGTCAGGAGTTCGAGACCAGCCTGGCCAAAATAGTGAAACCCTCTCTACTAAAAATACAAAAATTAGCCACGTATGGTGGTGCACGCCTGTAGTCCCAGCTACTTGGGAGGCTGAGGCAGGAGAATAGCTTGAACCTGGGAAGTGGAGGTTGTGGTGAGCCAAGATCTGCCACTGCACTCCAGCCTGAGCAACAGAGTGAGACTCCGTCTCAAAAAAAAAAAAAAAAAAAAAAAAAGTAGGCGTTTATAGAAGTCAGGTAATTAATGGAGTTTTAGCCCAGGTCTGACTTATAGTGGGTCCCGTGGGTCCCTGGACTCATCCTGTGATCATTTCCTCAGTGCCAGAATGCATAATTGGCATATACTTAGCAGCTGGCAGAACCCCTGCATTGGCTCCATGACTGGTAGGGTGAGGGTTACTATGGTGGAAAAGGCTGAATGGAAGCCATTAGAGCTGCCTCTACCTAGAAAAATAGTAAATAAAAAAAAAAATCACATCCCAGGAGGGACTGCGGAGATTAGTGCCACCATCAAGGACTTGAAAGACACAGGGGTGGTGATTCCCACCATATCCCCATTCAGTTCTCCCATTTGGCCTGTGCAGAAGACAGATGAATCTTGGAGAAGGACAGTGGATTATCGTAAGCCTAACCAAGTGGTGATTCCAATTACAGTTGCTGTACCCGATGTTGTTTCATTGCTTGAGCAAATTAACTCATCTCCTGGTACCTAGTATGCAGCCATTGACTTGGCAAATGCCTTTTTCTCCATTCCTGTCCATAGGCCCACCAGAAGTAATTTGCCTTCCGCTGGCAAGGCCAGCAATACAGCTTTACTGTCCTGTCTCAGGGGTATATCAACTCTCCGGCTTTGTGTCATAATCTTATTCAGAGAGAGCTTGATCACTTTTTGCTTCTGCAAGATATCATACTGGTCCATTACATTGATGATATTATGCTGATTGGGTCCAGTGAGCAAGAAGTAGCAAACACACTGGACTTATTGGTGAGATATTTGTGTGCCAGAGGATGGGAAATAAATCTGACTAAAATTCAGGGAGCTTCTACCTCAGTAAAATTTCTAGGGGTCCAGTGGTGTGGGGCCTGTCAAGATATCCCTTCTAAGGTGAAGAAGTTGCTACATTTGGCCCCTCCTACAACCAAGAAAGAAGCACAACGCCTAGTGGGCTTACTTGGATTTTGGAAGCAACACATTCCACATTTGAGTGTGTTACTCCAGCTCATTTATTGAGTCACCCGAAAGGCTGACAGTTTTGAGTGGGATCCAGAACAGGAGAAGGCTCTGCAATACGTCCAGGCTGCTATGCAAGCTGCTCTGCCACTTGGGCCATATGACCCAGCAGATCCAATGGTGCTTGAGGTGTCAGTGGCAGATAGGGATGCTGTTTGGAGCCTTCGGCAGGCCCACATAAGTGAATCACAGCAGAGGCCTCTAGGATTTTGGAACAAGTCCCTGCCATCTTCTGCAGATAACTACTCTCCTTTTGAGAGACAGC